>NC_000012.12:97460128-97763158 GCF_000001405.40 Homo sapiens | reverse complement strand
TTTATAGTTGTGACCCACACGGTTTAAATTAGCTGGGAGGCTGGCAAAACACAATGTCATGCTGAAGTTATTTCCAGAACAGCAGGCGTCTCTTCAAGCAAACCAGCTAAAAAGATGTCAAACTTGCCAACCTATGTTCTCCAACACAGTTCTTTTAAGATTGAGTGAATGGTGGGAAAATGTGATCTTTCCATATATTCAAATTAATTTACCAGAAAGTATTTATTACTTACCATGAGTCAGACTTTAAAACAGAGACCTCACCAGTAGCGTGGAATCTGGAGTTGAACCCTGTGGATTTGAAACCTGGCTCTACCACTTACTGGCAGGATAGGCTTAGGCAAGTTACTTTGTGTGTCCACCACTTACTGGCTGGATAGGCTAAGGCAAGTTACCTCCATGTGTCTCAGTTTTCTTGCAGCAAAATGTTGCTAATAATAGTACCTGCCTTATGGAGTTGTAATGAGAATTAAATGAGTTAGTTCACTTGAAGTTCTCAAAGAAGTATGTGTGTGACTATTATCACTTCCCCAGGACCTGGTCCAAAGTCTGGCACATTGTCAACGTAAGCTGCACCCTTGAACACTCAAGAAGGTTTTATTCTAGTTGAAAGACATGATATACGTATAAGACAAGATTAACAAAATAGTATGGAAAATATACACACAAGGGTGTATTTATTATACAAGAGTAGGTCAGATGAGAGAACTGTCATTGATGGCAAAGTAGGTATAGAAGTTTCCATGTGAGTAGCAGGTGCTCTTGGATTAGCCAAGGTGTCTGTATGGAGGATGACTCATTCAGCAAATGTTTATGAAGCACCTACAGCGTGCTAGACACTGTACATAAAGGTTGACTCCTTTGACATGTAAACCAAAAACTATCTGAGATAGCTGTCAATTAATTTAGAAGTTTGTTTTGCCAAGTTTAAGACATGCCTGGAAGAAATAAACATAGAATCACAGAAATAGTCTGGGGTCTGTTTCTTCCAAGATGATTTTGAGATCTTCAGTATTTAAAGGGGAAAAATGGGCTGGAGGGAAAAGAGGGAGGGTATGGTAATCCACATGTTGCAAGAGAAAAGGAGGGAGTAGGGTAATAGTTAATTGTGTATTCATCTCATGCTCAGTAAACCAGCACCTTATCTAAGATAAGGGGAACACAAGAGTACTACTTGTGGGAACAATTTAACCTTTTATCTGTAGCTGTTTGCTAAGGAACAAAAGGCAAGGCAGCTTCTTGCATGACACCGTTTTCAGCTTAATTTTTTCTTTTGGCATAGTGAATTGGAGTCCTGAGTTTTTATTTTCCTCTCACAGACATCAGGATTAGGTTAAAACTTTCAATGAAAGACATGAAGATGAAATAGCCATGAGGTCTCCGTTTCAAATTGCAGAGGAGAAAATCTGGTTGACCCTCCTGTACCTCTTCCCTTATGTTTGAATTTGGAGAAAAATCGCAAGAATCTCTCCGGGGAGGGAGATTACAGGTGAGAGAGCAGGGCTGTGCATGACGGTATTAGATTTTTGCTAATATATTGCTTAAATTATTTTAAACAATTTAAAAGTTAATTTAAAATTAACCTAAAAAATACATGACTATGAGTTTTACAAATTTTTGTATGCCTAATTTCCAGCATGATGATGAGAAAATAGTAGGCACTCAAGATATTTTTGTCAAATGAATGAATAAATGAGTCAAATAATCTATAAATGAATTAGAAAAATATCGTCACAAAATATCATTTCACAAAATATCAGGGAAGCCATGGTCTCAAAGAAAACCAAGTCTCCCTTGAATGAGGAGCAGCCAGAAAATCTCACTAGTGTGAGAACCTCTGTGAAATATTCTGGATGGTGCTACAGGAAGAAGCAGCCACTGTCCCTCTTTTTTCAGAGGTCAGAAAAGGCAGCCTGGGAGGAAGAATGACTAGTGAGTAAAGAGGGGATGTCAAAGAAAAAGTTATTCTGACACTTTAAAAAAAAAAAGGTGAGAAAGATTTTATTTAAGGCTATTGTAATAGGGGTGAAAAATATTGCAATAAGATAAAGGAGTTTAACTCAATGCTAAATACAGCAAAGACAATTGAGGACTGATAGCCAGAGTGAGGGGGTCAGTAGTTGGAAAATTACCAAGACGAGATATCAAGGATGGGAGGATGGATTATTGCTAAACTGGCCTAACAGGATGCTTGCTAAAGGTGGGCCAATAACTTAGGTATCAAGAGGAGTGGGTGAGGAATTTGATATCAAAGGGGAGAGATTATAGCCAACATGACTTAGCGGGATTCTTGCTAAAAATTGAAGCCTAGTCAAGAAGAGGACTCAGAGGAAGCTGACTAAACTTGGCCGAACAGGGAGTCTTTATTTGGGGACATCTCCATGGAGTATGTTTGGAAGTCTAACTGTGCAAAAATGTTTTCTACACTAATCAAGCTTTATGTTGTCTTTTGTAGTCCTCTTTTGAGTATCTTCTTTTAAGACACGATTCTTCTGACTAAAACATGAAGCCAGTATGTTAGACTGCTTTTGGGGGGTCTCTTGCAATATCATACTCCTCTATGAGGAATAACCTTACGTCCAACATCTTTTGGCCTATTTCTCTGTTCTGCCTCCCTCTGTAGCACCATCCCGAGTATGTCAGAGGTCTTCGCATTAGTGAACTTTTGTGCCTGTTCCTCATTTAAGTCTATTTTTATTTTCCTTGAGATCATTGCTTTCTTGATATTTTGAGTGAAGAGATTTTGCAGGGATATCTCTCTAATGTATTTAAAGATTATTTGATTCATTAATTCGTTTGATATAAATATATTGCATACTGACTGTGTGCTCAGCATTGTGCTGAGGTTTGGGCATACAAGAATCCCTCCTGACCAGAGCTCGTTGATACTGGAAACACTTCCAAATTTGAGCCGAGCAAACTGTAATAGGAATATGGGAAGATTAAAATCTTGTTGGACCGTGGGCAAGCAGAGAAAGAGAGTTTGCAGAAAAAACATCTTGACTCTTTATGTTCCCAGAACCAGCAAGTATAAAGCATAGTTGAACTTCCTACAAGTAGGTCCTAGGACCCCTTCTGTGTTTTTAATTAGGAAGGTTTTTGTGCTTTGCAATGAAATGTGCTCGAACAAGTCCTTTCAGTGGCACCATAATGTAAGAGGTTATCTATATTCTTTCTTCTCTGGGAGGATCTCAGTTACTTAAAAAGGAACAAAAATAATGGCTTGAAGATAACCCACAAACATAAGGTATAAATCACTGTATTGCACCCTCCCCCTACTTCCACTTTCATTTTTGCACCCAAATCCTAAGAACCTGTCCAAGAAGAAAAAGAATTGCTAGAAATAGATTAATTGCGCCATCCAAAATCACAATACTCACAGCCAAGGATCCCAGGGATGCTAGAGACTGTCTTTCTTTACATCCAAACCCCAATAAGTACCTGACTTCAGACAGTCCAAGAAAAATAGATCCGAAGCGAGACAAGCTCAACTCACTTCACACAATCACCCATGACCCCAGGACTTTTGCAGGTTTGCACTGAAGACTATGCAGTAAAGCTCCCTCACTTCTCTTTTCCTTAGGAGGTGTTACTCCACAGGCCAAATTTAACATTTGCCATATGCTAAAATCTTAAGGATTCTTGTTGTGTATTGTATCTGTATGTGCAAAAATGTCTTTTGCTTTAGGGATTGGGCATGGGAGAGGCGGGGAGGACTCACCAATTTTAAAGGTATGATAAACTCACAATAGCCCTGATTTTGAACTTTTACAGAGTGGGGACAATAAATTTAGTGTCTTAAAATAGGATTCACAATGATAGTTCACTGTAAAAAACATGTCTGATGATTATCAAGTGTGTGATTTACTACACTAAAAGCCCTCTGAATTGGGTCCATTTCTGAACAAAGATTGCAACTACTCTGCCAAACACCTTCTCTCTGCTGGAGATTCAGTCCTGAAGTACACTTTCTGGTCTTTTTAGATTCCTATCATATTTACTTCTCAAATATATCTTTTTCATGAAAATCCAGGTGATAAAGGGTAGGTAGCAAATATAACCACAGGTTTCAGTCATGAAAATGCAAGTAGGGAAAGAGGTTTCTACAGGGACAACTTTGGTCAGCATCCTTTCTCCATGAAGGCTCTTTCCTACTGGGATACTAATGAGAAGGTAGCACCATATATGAAAGGAAAACATGGTATAGAATAGGCATAAGTGGGGAAGGGGAATGATACTGGCAGCATTCAAATTTTTGAAAAATACAGCATTTCTTGTTAGCAAAGCTGCCTTATGTCAATCTGATTTTCCCATCAGGTTTCTTGGCATTATTTGCATGTGGACAAGTAGGGTGTAGCTGGTTGGACTAGGGCCAGAAAGAGAGGCCCTAAAACAAGAAACCAGACATACCTAATAGTGAGCTTGCTGATAGAGGGAGTAGTCTTTCTCAGCAAGAAGTGGAAGCATCAAGATATGATGATGGCTAATCTGGCAGCACAACAGCTGCATTTATAAGAACCTAACCTGAGATTGTCACAGTCCAATTTTATCTGTGTTGTTAAATCTCGGTCCCCATACAGACCCTGAAAGGTGGTGTAGTTTATCAACAAACAGTAAAACAAAAAGAATTTACACGTTGATCAATTTATAACAAGGAAAATACTTATGTTATTTGCATAAGAGAGTGTTGCCCTTTGTTGAAATTGTAATGCATGATGGTGAGGATGGAATCAACTAGGATGTTAAAACCAGGCACCAATTCTGATTTGGACTAGTGTCAAGAAATGAATTCCAGGGGCAGCCAAAGTTAGAAATGTAAAGTCAGCTACAAATGAGGAAGTGTTCAGATTTCTGGAGTCTTGGTGACTTGCCATCCCTGAGGGCACTCTTGAAGAGATCTAACCCGCTTCTGAAACAGAACAAGATTTTTTTTTTTTTTTTTTAAACAAAGCCAGGCAAGTGGCTGCCATCAGGAAAGTTTCAGGTCATAATATGAGATTTCTAGTCATTAGTCATCGGTTCAAGGAGCAGGACACCATAGCTCTCAGGAAGACACAAATGTGAAAGGACAATGGTATATAATCAGTCATTAGAGCAGGACACAAAGTCCAAACTAAAGGCATGTTGAGGAAGACACAATGAGGCCCAGAGAGAGGTACTAGACTTATTCAAATCCCTTAGTCCCAAGCCTGAATTGATTCCAAGGGCAAGGATGTCTCCATTTGTGAGAAAAAAAAGAGCAAGAGAAACGAAACCAAGAAGTGCTTGACATCCTGAGCAATTCCCGGATGCTGCTTTGCCAGAGAGTAGGATGCCAAATATTTCGAGAAAGCCTTTCTGGACTTGAAAAGGAAAAATGAGAGCCAGTCTTGTCGTGTCATTTGACTTTTAAATCATCTCCTGGAGGAAGGTTATATGGGAGATCTTCAGCATGAGATGATTCTTTATAAGGCTAAATTAAAGCAAGGATTTTCCCTAGCCAATAACCTTAGAAATGCATGAGCTAGAATATTTCAAGCCCAAAACAAAATATGCCAAGAAGCACTGAAATCATGACGCAATGCTGGAAATGATATGAGAAACTTGGGTCTCAAATAATATTTGGAAGTGAGTGCAGATAAATGCAAGCTGTAACAAATAACTTCCTGTTGAGTGATTTATGTTAAAGTACATATGAAAATAAAAAATTGAGGACTCAGATTCTGAGAAACAACCACTCAAAAGGCTAAAAATCTGTTTCCCTAACGGTCACATGGCAATGACTACACACAATTTTAATGCCATGATTCCTGAATTGTTTTTCTCCCATGTAGAGGAATAAACCTTAGGAGAAGAGAGGTTTTGAACTGAAAGGAAATTCTAAGCTGGAAAAGTGCTTGCATTTTTACAGGAGAGACACTAAGTGACTTGGCTAAAGCTGAACAGTTAATCTTATAATTTCAAAAATTTCTACTACCCCGAAGTAGAATCTTAAAGTCCAAGCCATGTCATAAATTCTCCTGTTTCTAAAGGGGTATTTGTCTTTCTTTCCTTAGAGTTAAAGTCATTTAGAATGGCTTAATAGATGGTTTTAGAAGATGTTAACTCATCCTTTATACTTCGGGGGAAGGTGGGCTCTGGAGCCTGGCCCCACTCACCTGCCCTGTGTGTTGCAACCAGAAGCTCTGCTTTAATCCTCTGTACTGGGTATCTAGGGATCCCCCAGGGTCCGTAAGAGTTCAAGTTCTCAACTTGCTATGAGGAAGGGATTTAGCAATAGGAGGCTTTGGATTATTATCTGTGGAATGAACAGAAACCCTGCCTTTGGAGAGTCACTTCCATAATTTCAAGACAAAAAGAAAAACTCAGGAGGAAAACAAGTGCTATGTTGCTTACCATAAAAATTAAACCTTTTCTAGTATTTGCTTCATGTTCAAATAACTCCAATCCTTTTGGGACCCTGATGACCTCCATGTTTGATTCAGCTTTGACTGTTCTAAGATTTAACATAATTAAGAATGAAAAGTAACTTAACTGTCCAAGATGAGGACAGTGAGATTGCCATAAGTGCTTCTTGCCAAAGAAGGCAGGCTGGTTGTGATTACACCACCTCCTCCTCATTGTCCTATTCTTATCGTGTGCTGCAGTCAGCGTCTTTGACCTATATTTGATTCCCTCTTGCAATATGTGCTTTTGATCATGAAACTGCTGAGAAAAGGCTCCTTCTAAACCACAAAACAAGGTAAGCTGTTTCTTATTTGTTTGAATATATAGGAAGCTGGTGACAACCAATTTTTTTCCTCTACATCTAAGAAATCGAAAGGTCAGGTGCTAGGAGGGATTATGGAGAGTTTATGAGGCAAACAGCCCGCCCCACCGCAGGCCTTATCAGGAACAAGCCCAGCTTTCTTTCATAAGCCTCTGGTGGGCGGCTTGTGCTCATAGCTGGCGGTCTGGGGTGCACATTGCAGTTTATCATCAAGCAGCATCTTTGAAATGCCAAACTTTATTTATTGATCTTACAATTCTATGTTATCTCCAACGAGCCACGGGAAAGGTAATACATTTTGTATGGATTAATCCTTGTAATTCTACACAACGTACACCCAGAGATAACTCAAACTTGCTTTGTCGTCTCATTACCTAAACAGACTTGTCTTTCTTTAAGTCATCAACAGAGGTCATCTCCCAAATGCCCTTGTGAAATATTCATTAATCAAATAACTAATTTGAAATGGACCTTCAAAGCATTATTCATTTCCCCATCATTCTCCTAACATCAGTTTAAATGCTTTGTGGGTATAATGATTAGGCTGATGTTTAATTAATTGTGAAATTGTGAATTAAAGCTAAGTTAAAAGATAAATCATTTTTTTAGCGCATAAGGGAGAAAGAGAGCAAGCCAGAAGGAGACAATGAGCTTGATTGGTGGTTTTAGTTGGGAATTCTTAGCAAATGTTCCTTTATTCACAGCAACATGACAGCACTGGATTGTAAGGTTAACCTTTGTGAAGTAAATCTTATTCTTCCATTCTTTCTTGATGGATTTCAGATTCATCACCACATCAATGAGAAGATGCCACAGATCATTGAGCAAATATGCAGATGTAGATATAACCTGCTATTCTCAACAAGTTTTATTGTGAACAAAGTAAAACAAAACAATTACCAAAGACTCTGTTACGGAAATCACAGCCATAGTTTTGTTTACTGTGTGTGATGATGAAAGCTTTACCTTTTTCACCCTTGAAGAAAAGGTTTGATTCCCAACTGAGGCCTTCTCTGATTCATGTCTTTAAGCCCCAAGTGTACCCTAAAATTTATTATCAGGTACATCACAATGTAATCCCAACACTTTGGGAGGCTGAGGCAGGAGAATTGCTTGAGCCCAGGAATTAAAGACAACCTCTGAGCAACATAGTGAGACCCTGTCTCTACAAAAAATAAATTAGAAAAAAATTATCCGGTTGTAGTGTTATGCCCATAGTCTCAGCTACTTGGGAGGCTGAGGTGGGAGGATAGCTTGAGCCCCGGAGATCGAGGCTGCAGTGAGCTGTGATTGCACTACTACACTCCAGCCTAGGAAACAGAGAGAGACGCTGTCAAACAAACAAACAAAAACAGTGTCAATCAACCTGCACTGTTGCTATTTTTAAACCTGTCAATTACCCCAGTTTGACTATTAACTCTTCAAATGCATGGTCCAAGTGTTACACATCCTTATTTATACAGCACGGAATTTAATGCTTGTGTTCTCCAACCAAACAGATCCTAGAGTTTTGTTTGCTCTTCTCTTTTCCTGAAGTACTCTAATTAAATAATAAACTATTGGAGAAAAGAAACTTTTTTTCCACTATGGTTGCTAAGCAATAAGACATTACTACCTAAAGAAAAACTGAGAATAAAGCCAACAAAAAAAGCAGGTGTCAGAGGTAAAGAAACAGATTCTTGATTTGAACAGCTGGATTGAGCTATTCCTGAAGCTAATGTACCCGTAGACACTTCACTTTCATTATCTAATACATGCTCTTGTTTATTTAAGATGGTTTATATTTAGTTTATTTTGTTCGGAGCCAAATAAACTTGATGAGCACAGTCATTTGCAAGTCATCCATATGTTAGTTTTGTTATTATTCACCTGCTTAGAGGACTACCTAGTTCCTTCTTCTGTGATCTGTCAATGTGGCTACATTTGCTCCCTCCAAAGGCACATCACATCTCCTCAGCCCATTGCCCACAACCATCTCTGGCTGATATGGCTGATAGAACCTGTCCTGAAGTGCTTGCTCTGCCCAGTCTTTGGTGCCTGCTAAGCCATAGTTCCGACATAACAATCTCTCAGATGCAAAGCAATATAGCATATTGGTTATGCACGGAAACTTCAGTGCACTCTACATGAATATGAATGTTAGCTCTACTACTTACTAGCCGTATAACCTCATGCAAATCATTTAACTGTGACTCAGTTTCCTCATCTGCAAATCTAGAATAATAACATTGCCTATTTCACGTGGTTGTAAATGGGATAATGTATGCAAAGTAGTTAGAATAGGCTCTGGCAAGTAGGAAGTATGCAATACACATGGCAGTTATAATTTTCACTGTGATAGAACCAGCCCTCCAATGACATACCAGAAGAATGAAAAGATTTTATATCATATCATGTGTTTTATAAAGCTCAATTGAAAGCAGGACTCTGCTGTCTTTTTTTTGACCAATCTTCCTCCCTGACTAGATAATGAGCAACTTTTGGTAGGGTAAGAGCTATGCTTTGACTTTCTGTATTTTCAGTCCAGTGATGATGATAAGAGTAGACATTAACATGTGCTTAAATTGTTAATATCCAATAAGCAATAATAATTATTAATATCAATAAACACAAACTCTGTTAATGGTGAATCAGGGTGGCTAGCGATTACTCTTTTTTTCTCTCTTCCCCAGTGAGTTTAAATTCCAGGGGACACACCCACTCTTCCTAGATAAGCTTATGCCCTAAGTATTTATCTGCTTTTCTTCCCTGGGAAACTGACTGGCCCTGAGGAAGAAACATGAATGATGTATTTATTTTTCTCCCTTAAGATATGAAGACTGGAGTGAGCCCTCATCAGCCAGATGGACTGTTTCATCTCTTCCGAAATAGAAACCTCCAACCTACTCAGCCCTTTTGAGGCCAAAAAGATACCCATGGGCCCTCAAAAACCAACAGTCTCTACACCAGACTAAAACAAGTTTCCTAAAAGCATTTTCCTTTTGGGCTCATTTTTATTACCTCTCCATCCCATGGTCCGAAGATAAGAATAATTTGCATATAACAGTCAGTATTAAAATTTTTGATTTGCAATGGATCAATGAATGACGAGGTCAGCCCATCTGTGACTGAACCAATCAATGAATGAGAAATGGGTAGGTGATATTTACTGTCTTCTCTGTTCTAAGGCCTGGAGGGTGAGGGCATTGATCTACTAGTTTGCCCTTATATATTTTCTTTGCTGGAGTTTCAACATTTCTCCCTTTCATTCTGCTGCAATTGACCAAAACTTAAATAGTCTGGGAGAGGTGGAGAAAGTAGATCTAATAGTATCACTCACATAAACTCTGGTCTCCATAGGGACATGATGAATGGCCAATAGCCTCTCCTGAATATTTCCTTGCTTCCTGCTTAGGCAAAGAAAATTCGTCCTTCTAAGTCCAAGGAAACAATTGTTTTATGTCTGATTGTTTTTTTAATAAGCCTTCACCATGACCTCCCTGCCTCCACTTATTCTAACAGGAATTGGGGGAAGGGGGAGGTCACACATGCTTGGAATGTGGTGGATGATGTGCAGCTCAGATGTCACCAACCATGATGTTTGGCTGAAGTCTGCTTATTGCTAACTTGGTGTCATGGCTGTGTAGGTAAACAAATAAAAATCAAATTCACAGGTCAACCATTCTGAACAATACCTGGCTAATTTTCCTGTTTGAAAAATTGTCAAAGCTTTTCAACTGACTTAGAAGGTATTCCTAGGTCAGCTGCTTTGACTAACAAGTGGGTATTGTGTTTTTGAATGCGTGGGATAATGGCGATAAGGTCCCTAGGCCACAGGTGCTAAGGAGTTGCCACGTGCATGCAGCGCTTCAGAGTGGCACGTCCCTTAGCAACCCATAGTGCAATTAACAAACTTCATCTCATCCTCAGCAAAACAGCTTTTTTAAAGCATGCCAAATGTAGTAAAAGTCCATTCAGAATCAAAGCCACTATCCTCTTAAGAAAATAAATGGTTAGGGAAGTCCCTTTTATTTCTCACTGTGGTTGCTCAGCTTGGGGGCTACCTAATGAGACATAGCAGTTGGTCAAATTAGGGATCCCAGACCTTTGGATGTCATGAGTCAGTAAATATTTTCTCCACCCAAAATTATGGAAAGCCAATATTGAGTCATCATCATTTTCATTTGCCAAATATAGGCCACAAAACTAGATGAAAGAAGATAAAATTACCTTCTACTGTGACCATGATTAAATACAATAAAAGCTTAACAAATACCAAAAAGGTAGAAAGGATATAATTAGGAACAAAACACATCTCTTTGCCTTGAATTAATTTGGTGTTTTAAAAAGTTCTATGTTATTTTAATTTTTCTAATATTACTGAAGAAGGATGCAAACATGACTCCCACACAGGTCTTCAGAGTAATGTCTGAAAACCTGTATTAGTCAGGGTTCTCTAAAGAGACAGAATTAATAGGATAGATTTATAGATGAAAGGGAGTTTATAAGGAGTATTGACTCACACGATCACAAGGCGAAGTCTCACAACAGGCCTTCTGCAAGCTGAAGAACAGGAAAGCCAGTCCCAGTCACAAAACTTCAAAACTAGAGAAACAAACAGAGCAGCCTTCAGTCTGTGGCCAAAGGCCTGAGAGCCCCTGGCAAACCACTGTTGGAAGTCTAAGTGTCTAAAAGCTGAAGAACTTGGAGTCTGAGGTTCGAGGGCAGGAAGCATCCAGCACAGCAGAAAGATGAAGCCAGGAAGACTCAGCAAGTCAAGTCCTTCCATGTTCTTCTGCCTAGTTTATTCTGGCTGCATTGAGAGCTGATTGGATTGTGCCCCCGCAGATTGAGGGTGGGTCTGCTTCTCCCAGTCCACTGACTCGAATATTAATCTCCTTTGGCAACACCCCCACAGACACACCCAGGAAAAATACTTTGCATCCTTCAATCCGATCAAGTTGATACTCAGTATTAACCATCACTAAACCAACTGTCTAACTTTTAGCTGTATAGGTAAAATGCTTAAGTAAACTAAGGCAAAGATAACTGTAGCAATAAATGCAAAAAGTGTTTTGAAGATCCGTTCATGTCCCTGGCATTGCTCCTCTCCCTTTCTGGTTTTTCCAGCTCTCTTGGTGCCTCCTGCTCCACATATGCAGGTCAGGTGGCACCTGTCCTCCATCAGAATGCCTTTCACTGATGGTCGGATACAGGGGCCCTCAATCACTTTCTCCATGTGCTTCTGGCTCCTCATCTATAAAAAGAATGGAAGCCAGTAGTATAACTTCCCTCTAGAATCTATTTGGTTGGGAGGCATCATGATTCCAAATGTCTTGCCATACATACATCCTCCAGAAGGCTTTTCCAGTGATTGTTCCAAGATCCTATCATTGACATTTCTGCAGCACGCCTTATGTTCTGATATCAGAAGCATTTTTTTCTTAAGAATCCAATCAATGTAGTTTTGATGAGGCTGAACTCCACAGCCCAACCTCCACCACAGCTTTGACACTTGGTCCATGAGGGGCTGACGGTAGTGGGATTTTTGTGCTATAGACCAGGGGTCCCCAGCACCTGGGCCACAGACCGATACCAGTCCATGGCCTGTTGGGAACCAGACGCACAGCAGGAAGTGAGTGGCAGACCAGTGAGCAAAGCTTCATTTGTATTTACACTCCCCATTTCTTGCATTACCACCTGAGCTCCACCTCCTGTCAGATCAGTGGTGGCATTAGATTCTCTTAGGAGCGTGAGCCCTCTTGTGAACTGCGCATGCGAGAAATCCAGATTATGCATTCCTTACAAGAACCTAATGCCTGATGATCTGTCACTGACCCCATCACCCCCAGATGGGACCATCTACTTGCAGGAAAACAAGCTCAGGGCTCCCACTGATTCTACATTATGATGAGCTGTCTAATTATTTTATTATATATTACAATGCAATAATAATAGAAATAAAGTGCACAATAAATGTAATGTGCTTGAATCATTCCAAAACATCCTCCCCCATCCCCAGTCTATGGAAAAATTATCTTCCATGAAACCAATACCTGGTGCCAAAAAGATTGGGTACCACTGCTATAGACAGTGGAATGGTTTTGTTGAGTGTAGTGGGTTAAAGAGTATCCTCTGAAAATTGAAGTACATTTGGAAGCTCAGAATTTGACCTTGTTTGGAATAGTCTTCACAGAGGTTGTATGAGTTGAGGATCTCAAGAAAGATCATCCTAGATTTATGGTGGGCCCTAAATCCAGTGACTGGTATCCTCAAACGTAAAAGAGAGGGAGATTTTAGATCTTCTGAGAGACACAGAAAAGAAACACAAAAAAAGGCAATGTGAAGGTGGAGGGAGGGATTGGAGGGATGCACTCAAAAACAAATAAATGCCAAGAACTTCTTTCAAACACTAAAAGCTAGGAGAGAGGCATGCCATGGATTCCTTCTCGGAACCCCCAGAAGGAATCAACCAGCCAACGCTTTGGTTTTCAGTGTCTGAGTTCTGGCCTCCTGAATTGTGAGAAAATACATTTCTGTTGTTTGAAGCTACTATGCTCTGCTCATGGTGATTTGTTATAGCGGCCCTAAGAAACTAATGCACTGGGTTTGTTGAGAGCCATTGTGAACCAAAAAGTATCTGACACAGGTCTCAATAAATTTAGAAAGTTTATTTTGTCAAGGTTAAGGACACTCCTGTGACATCACCTCAGGAAGTCCTGATGACATGTGCCCAAGGTGGTAGGGGCACAGCTTGGTTTTATACATTTTAGGGAGATATGAGACATCAATCAATATATGTAAAATGTCCATTGGTTCAGTCTGGAAAGGTGGGACAACTTGATCTGGGGAGGAGGTGTTCCAGGTCATAGGTGGATAAGAGACAAACAGTTGCATTCTTGTGAGTTTCTGATTAGCCTTTCGCTGAATATACAATCTAGGGGAATAGTCACTTACACCTTAGTCTGGCTTAGTGAAACAGTAGGGCAAAGGAAGCAGTCAGATATGCATTTGTCTCACATGAGCAAAGGAATGACTTTGAGTTCTGTCTGTCCTTTGTCCACAGGGGATTTCCTTGTGAGCAAATTGTGAGGGAGGTAGGTAGGTAGCTTTTTTATCTTTGTTCTATCTTAATTAGGAATAGAATGGGAGGCAGGCTTGCCCTGCAGTTCCCAGCCTGACTTTTCCCTTTGGCTTAGTGATTTGGGGGTCCCAGGATTTATTTTCCTTTCACAACATTTTGTCCACCAGGGAGGATCTGTCCTAGGAATGGAGAGAGAAAGAGCGAGCTTGGATCATAACACTGGGGCCATGGATCCAGCTAGGCTTGAAGTCAGTTGTGCCTCTGTGTGTGAAACAATAACTGCCCTCTTTTTGTTTAAGCTCATTTGAGTTTAAGTTTCTCTCGTGGATAGCTGAACGACTTCTGATAAAAACACGGCTCAGCACTGAGAAAATCTTATTCATCTTTCAAGGCCCAGCCATAGTGGTATTTTCTCCACAAAGCCTTCCCAGGTGTCCCCAGCCTGAAAACTTTGTTTCTCCCTCTGGGTTCCGATTGCTCTGCTCTCCTCCCACACACCACCCTCTTAAACTCATCTTATCCCTGCTACGAGATCTTTTAGCCTTTTGGAAGCAAGAACCCTGTCCTTATCTCATTTTCTTTAGTGCACTAGCTTTATTCCATGTACATAGCAGGTGCTCAATTCATATTTGACCAGATGAATGAAAAAAAAATTAAAGGAATAAAGAATGGGGTTTCAGTGTTTATGGAAGGGAATAGAAAATATAGTTTTGTGTTAAGGGCTCTCCTGGTGTTCCTAATACCAAACACACAAATCCTCCATCTACTTTCTCATAAATCATCCTACTAGGGAAATCAGCCAAACACCAGGACTGCTATAAACAGGCATTGGGTTGTTTACTTTACCAGCATAATAACTGCCAGGCTTTTGTAAACGGCAGTTGTTACTTCAAATCTGAAGTATCTACTATATCACTCTCTTTCCTGTTTGAAACCTTTCAGCGACTTCCCTCTGCTCTTAGGAACAAGTCCAAAGTTGTGTTCATGGCTTACAAGTTCCTTTGAAACCTGGCTTCTCCTCATCTCTCTAATCCCATGTCTTAAAATCCCCCCACCTGGAATCTATGCTTTGGCTTCTTGCAGCTCCCTGATTATGCCAACAGCTTCACCTGCTCTCTCTTCTCTTTCTTGGTGTCCCTTTTCCTCTGTCTTTCCTTCCTCCAGGTTGTTGTTGTTCTTCTAGAATGATCACTCCTTCCCCAGTTAGTTTTACCTAGCTTATTCCTACACAGGCATGAGGCCTTTGCCTAGACATCATTTTCTCCAGGGACCTTCCCTTATCCACGGGGTCTCCCCAGCCATGTGCTCCCAGAGCTCCCTGCACCTCTCTAGCATAGCTTTTACCACACTGAACTGCGATTGCCCGTTTACTTGACAATCTGCCTCATTATACAGTTTGAGCCATGCCTATTTTGATCAACATTTCATTTCTAGCACACATCACATAGTAGGGATGCTCAATGCATATTGGTTAAATGGCCTAATGATGACATAAATGATGAAAAACTTCACAGTAATTCTCAGAGTCTAACTTGTCTTAGCCATGTCCTCCTTGGTTTTTTCACTTTCTAGGGGTGACCAGGCCTTCCTATCAGAGACAGAGGAGAACAGAGGGATATAAGGGCCATGGGATCTTTAGGGAAGGCAGGGGGATCATTTCTAACATGAATCCCTGTTGTCTTAACTGTCCATGAAAACAATAATGGGAGTCACCAAGATATGTTTAACATTTTAAGGGCCTTGTAGAAATCATGTAAATGCCCAAGACAAGACTGCATAGGCTAATAAAATAAGAAGGGGCAGAAGGTGTAGTCTGTGTATGATAGACAATAGTGTGTTCTGTTTCTGCTTCTTTCCGTAAAGAAACTGTTGGGGGGAATGCACTTCTACTTAGAGGCAGATATGGCGAAGCAAACCAAAGATCTTGTGTCTCTCTCTGATGGAGATATTTAATTGCTGGCATCATGCTTCCCAGTCTGTTCTTCCTGTCTGAGCAAATTTGGAAGCCCAAGCTACCATGGAGCTATCATATGGACCTCCCAGACTGTGTGAGCAAGAAATAAACCTTGGTTGAGATAAGCCGTTCAGGTAACTTTAATATTGTTAGTTACACTAGCAAAACCAGTTTATTTTGACTGAAGTACTATTTTATACTTCTTTGAACCTCCACGACTTAGCATGGTACTTGGCGCAGAGGAGATATCAAGCATTTGTTGAATAAATAAACACATGAGTGAATGAATAGAAAATAATTAACTGTGAAACCATGTAATTGCAGACCATTGCAAATCAGAAAACAGACTTTGAGGATTAAAAATATAATAAGTGAAATAGATGCCTCCAGACATCGCATTACAAAGTCTTCTTATTTCTTGCAGCAGGAGTAAGTAAATTTGCCAATAGAACTCAGTTAAAAACATAAGTCTTTTATAAGAAACTTTGTTCATAAATCTAAGCACTTTGATTATCTCAGTTATGAATGACTTTCTCTAAAATATCAGGAATGTAGGATTCATTGATATTGGTCTTAGCTACTCAGTGGGATTTAAAACTCAATAATGAATCCAGGAAGTGGTTTTCAATTCACTTGCTCAAACAAAATCTGTCCAATAAGTGGTATTAAATCAGGTGGAGACCAATTATCAGAATCTTTTTCAGTAGACCTTTGTGACTGCATGAATATAGTCTCACCTGGTTGGAAATAATAGCATGGCATATGCTGTTATGTGCCTTTGCTTCTGCATTTACAAAAGCTCACAGCCTAATGTCAATACTGGAGGCAGGGTCTTTCTTTTCTAGTACATTGATTTTAAATTAAATTAACTTTGATCTTTAGGTCATCTCCCAGATTCTAAAAGCTGAATGCCTCATTAATGGCGAAAGCAGTAGGAGTAAATGTATTGGAGCAGGTTGAACAATTTAAATACTTTGAAATGCAACTAGTGCAAAGTAACAGTATTGCAAGCTAGCTAATTAAGGGTTATTTCCAGACATGCTGATGAGGAAAAACTGCTTGAGTGGGTGATTCTTGGAAAATAGTTGGGATCTTCCAAGCTTCTTTCTTGCCCTCTATTCTTTGGGTCCTTCTGCTGTGCTCACACAAATTTCATTTTCCACTTGAATCATGATGGTCCCAATCTATTCCCACAATATTCTCCACTTTCAGAAGGCTGTATTAGTTATCTATTGCTGCATAACAAATTACTCCAAAACTTAGTGGCTTAAACATTTATTTTCTCATGGTCTCTGTGGGTCAAGAATCTGAGCACAGCTCAGTTGGATCTTCTGCTGCAGTGTCTCCCACAGTCTTCTATAAAGGTGCCAACTGGGGCTGCACTCACCCTAAGACATGAAAGGAAATCTGCTTAGGGAAGAATCTACTTTCAAGCTCAATCATGTAGTTGTTGGCAAGATACAGCTTCTTGCGGGCAGTTGAATTGAGAGGTTTCAGTTCTTTGAGGGCTGTTGGCCAGAAACAGCCCCAAGTTCCTTAAAACATAGACCTATTCATAGGGCAGCTCAAAACATGATGAATTGCTTCATCAGAGCAAGCAGGAAAAAAGAGCCAGAGAGAGAAAATGAGAGTGAGAGCGAGAGAGAACTAGAGAGAAAGAGAGAGCGAGAGCAAGATGGAAGTCACTAACTTTTATAACCAAATTTTTGAAGTGCTATTCCACCACTTTTGTTATATGTTATTCATTAGAAATGAGTCACTAAGATCAGCCTACATTCACAGGAAGTGGATTTCTTGGGGCATGAATACTATCAAGCGGAATCATTGGAAGCCACCTTAGAAGTCAGCCTGGCATGAAGAGCAAATGCATGCTAGCAGAAAGTACTTCTTAGACTTTTTCCTCTACTACAGCTCATTAGAAGAGGAGAATGAGGCCAGGCTCGGTGGCTCAGGCCTGTAATCCCAGCACTTTGGGAGCCTGAGGTGGGTGGATCACTTGAGGTCAGGAGTTCGAGACCAGCCTGGCCAACATGGTGGAACCCTGTCTCTACTAAAAATACAAAAATTAGCCGGGCTTGGTGGTGGGCGCCTGTAGTCCCAGCTACTTGGGAGGCTGAGGCAAGAGAATTGATTGAACCTGGGAAGTGGAAGTTGCAGTGAGCCGAGATCGTGCCACTGCACTCCAGCCTGGGCAAAGAAGTGAGACTGGAGACTCCGTCTCAAAAAACAAACAAACAAAAACAACAACAAGAAACAGGAAAATGAATGGATATTTGTGATTGAGGCAGCTTTCTGAAGTGAAGAAAATTATTTGATATGTTTTAACTTAAAAATTAAAGAATTTATGTATATGTATATATATATGCCCAGAAGAAGGATTTCTTGGTCATATGGCAATCCTACTTTTAATCTTTTGAGGAACCTCCATATTGTTTTTCCTAATGGCTGTACCCGATTATCTTCCCACCAACAGTGTACAAAGGTTTCCTTTACTCCACATCTTTGCCAACACTTGTTATTTGTTTGTTTGTTTATTTATTTATTTTTGAGACAGAGTCTACTCTGTCGCCTGATCTGGAGTGCAGTGGCACGATCTCAGCTCACTGTAACCCTCCGCCTTCTGGGTTCAAGCAATACTCCTGCCTCAGCCTCCTGAGTAGCTGGACTTACAGGCATGCACCACCACCCCGGCTAATTTTTTTGTATTTTTAGTAGAGATGGGGTTTCGCCATGTTGGCCAGGCTGGTCTCAGACTCCTGACCTCAGGTGATCCGCCCGTTTTGGCCTCCCAAATTGCTGGGATTACAGGCTTGAGCCACCGTGCCTGACCCTTCTTGTATTTTTTATAATAACCATGCTAGTTGGTGTGAAGTGATATCTCATTGTGCTTTTAATTTGTATTTCCCTGATAATTACTGAAGTTGAGCACCTTTGCCTGTATCTGTTGGCTATTTTTGTCTTTTTTGGAGAAATGTCTATTCAGATTGATTGCCCATTTTAAAATCAGATTATTTTAATTTACTGTATTTTTTGCTATCGAGTTGTGTAAGCGCCTAACATATTTTGGATATTAACCCCTTATCAGATTCATGGCTTACAAATATGTTTTTCCCAATATGTAGGCTGCCTTTTTATTTTGTTGATTGTTTTCTTTTCTGTGTAGAACCTTTTTATTTTGTGGTAGTGCCACTTGTTTATTTTTTTTCTCAACTGAGTTTTTGGTGGGATATCCAAAAATAATTGCCAAGGCCAATGTTTTCTCTGTGTTTTCTTCTAGGAGTTTTATAGTTTCAGGTCTTACATTTAGGTCTTTAACTCATTTCTAGATGATCTTTGTGTATGTTCTAATATAAGAGTCCAATTTCATTCTTTTACATGTAGATATCCAGTTTTCCCAGCACCATTATTGAAGAAGCCACCCTTTCCCCATGTGTCTTCTTGGTTCCCATGTTAAAAATTAATTTACTGTATGTGCTTGGATTTATTTCTGGGTCTGTATTCTGTTCTCAGCAATCCCTCTTCTGAGTATATATCCAAAGGGTATGAGATCAGCAGCTCATAGAGATAGCTGTGCTCCCATGTTCATTGCAGCATTATTCAGAGTAGCCAAGACATGGAATCAACCAAAATGTTCACTGACAGATAAATGGATAAAGAAATTGTGGTACACACACACACACACACACACACACACACCCCAATATATATATATATATAGGAATATTATTCAGCCTTCAAAAGGAAGGGGATCTTGCCTTATCCAACAACATGGATGAACCCTAAGGATATTATGTGAAAGTGAAGTAAGCCAGACACAGAAGTAAAAATACTGTATGATTTCCCTTATACAGAGAGTAGAATGGTGGCTACCAGCGGCAGAGGTGTTAAGGAAGGGGGTAATGGAGAGATGTAGTTCAAAGTTTATAAAGTTGCAGTTACTTGGAATGAATAAGTCTAGCAACCTAATGCATGGCATAGGACTCTAATTAAAAATATTTTATTGTATACTGCAAATTCACTGAGAATAGATACCAGGTGCTTTTACCACATGCACACATGCAAAGGTAGCTGTGTGAGATGATGAATATGTTCAGTAGCTTGACCGTAGTAATCATTTCACTATGCCTATGTATAACAAAACATGTGCATCTTAAATATACACAATAAAAATTAATGTTTCATTTTACTTCATCTATCCTATAAAAGTTACTACATATACTGTGCTTATTACATTCCAGGGATTCTTCTAAGTGTCTAATATGTATTAACTTGTTTTATTTTCTCACACACACAAAAATTCTACAAGAGAGTATCTCCATTTAAAAGACTGGGAGACTGAGGGGAAGATAGGTTCAATGAGTTGATCAAGGTTACTCACCTAGTTAATGAAAGAATCAGGATTCAGCCAAAGCAATCAAAGTCCAAAGTCCAGATTATTATGTATTATATTTTACTTCCTTTCTAGAGTGTTTTGAATTACCTGCTGTTATGGGCTGGATTGTGTGCCCCTGAAATTCATATGTAGAAGTCCTAATCTCTAGTACCTCAGAATGTGATTATACTTGGAGAAAGGCTTTTAAAGAGATAATTAAGGTTAAATAAAGCCATTGGGGGTGAGTCCTAATCAAATAAGACTAGAGACCTTCTAAGAAGAAGAGGTTAGGACACAGACACACACAAACAGGGAAGCCCATGTGAAGACACCGGAAGACGATGGCCATTTACAAACCAAATGAGGGGGAAGGCAGAAAAAACACTTCCACCACCCTGGTCTTGAACTTCTAGACTCCAGGACTGTGAGGAAGTACATTTCTGTTGTTTAAGCCACCTGATCTGTGTTATTTGTTATGGCTGTCTTAGTAAACCAATACACCTGCCATCAGGAATATTAATACCCCAGGGTGGTGTGCCATTTTCTGTCTGTGCCTTCCAGTATCCCCTGGTATGCTCCAGTATTACTAGTGTAGGTGTTATGGAAAGCTCATGGCATTTGGCAGCCAAAGCAAGAATTACCTTTAGCATGCAAAATTAGGCAAGCCCCATAACTTCCCTGTAAAGTGGATCTAACAACCTCTACCTCACAGGGCTGTTGAGAGGATTAATGAGATAATGTGAAAGTGCCTGGCACAGTAGCTGACATATATTAAATCCTTAGTAAATGTCATTTATTCCTTAAACAGCAAGTCACATGTTCAAGTAATTACTGAAGACACTTAACAGAAGCATGCCCCTTGTTCACTCTTTCTCTATGTCCATGCAGTCCTAGAAAGAGATGAAAAACATATTCTCAGTTTTTCTTCAGTGCAGGCATTCTCTATATTGGTTCATTACAATTGTTCTTCATCCTGGTCCAGACCCTTA
The DNA here is from genome assembly GCF_000001405.40 of Homo sapiens. Lineage (NCBI taxonomy): Eukaryota > Metazoa > Chordata > Mammalia > Primates > Hominidae > Homo > Homo sapiens. The sequence goes on along the minus strand of NC_000012.12, from coordinate 97,742,032 downwards.
CTACCATTTTCATGTAAATGCAAAATTTCAAGAGAATTCTAAAATGGCCTAGCTTCCAGTCTTCTGTGAGTTCTTTAGACTGGAGATGATTCAGAAAAATATGTCTTACTGTAAAAACAACAACAAAAATTCCATCAGAGTGGGCTGCAGTTTCATTCAACCAGGGCCTACTGAGTACCTAATGTGCAGGCAGTAAGCTACTTCCTATAAACTGTCACCCAACGACTAATACAATAAAGGCAATCTCAACTTGCAGCAAAGCCAGAATAGTTATAGAACAGGGAAGATCTGGATTCCCTGGCATTTTATATTGATCAGATCACATTTGCAACTATTTTCAATTGTGGACACTCTTTTTAAATATATAAATTAACAAAGGATATCATGTTCACTGGATGGTGGGAAGTCTAGGTAAAAAATTATTTAAATAAATGGGGACAATGCATCAGAAGGTAAAACCTAGGGAGGGTACTTTAAGTGTTTTAAATTCTTCAAATTTTGTCACTTGGAAGGTCTCATTACTGTTGCTCCTGGTAACAAAACTACAATAGTGAGGCATAATTCAATTAAGAGAAACTAAAAATTTCTGCTATGGACTGAATTGTATCTCCTCACCCCCACCCAACCAAATTTATATGCTGAAGCTCTACCTCTCAATGTGAGTGTGTTTGGAGGTAGGGCTTTTTAAAGGTAATTAAGGTTAAAAGAGATCATAAGGGTAGGATCATAATCAAATAGAATTGGTGGCCTTATAAGAAAAGGAAGAGATCTCTATGTCTCAGGAAAAGTCCATGTGAGGACATAGTGAGATGAGTGTTTACAAGCCAGTAAGCGGACCCTCACCAGGAACTGAATCAGCTGGCGTCTTCATCTTGGACTTCCCAGCCTTCAGAGCTGTGAGAAAATAAGTTTTGTTGTTTTAGCCACCAAGTCTATGTTATTTTGTTATGGCAGCCCAAGCTGCCTAAGGCAAAGTCTAAAAGCTAAAATTAAATGATGTAATGAGCATTGAATACCAAGCAGGGCCCTAGATGCACGTGTGTTTGTTAGGGCACACTACAGAAGGATTTTCCAGAGTGGGTTAGAGGTTGGAGTGGCTGACTTTTATGGTTTCTTTCTCCTCTGAGATTCTATAATTTCCAAGCCTTCAAAGCCAGATAGGTACAGAACCCCAGGTTCCTCTGCTTGTATTGCCATCCATCTTCTCACTTTAAGGAGGACGGAGACTTGACAAATTGGTTTCATCTCTTGTGTCAACTCTGATTACTTGGCAGTGGCTGCCTGGAACACTGTTTTGAGAAGGGTTTTGAAGCTTTCAGGAAAAAAATCCATCATAGAAAGAGCTAATATTTATTGGACACTTGTCATGTACCAGGTCCTATTCTAAACCTGGTATTTGTTTTAATTTACTTTATACTTGCCACAACTCTAAGAGGTGAATTAATGTGAGCATTTTTTTTATAAGAATGTCAAGACACAGACAAGCAACTACTCAAAGGCCACATGGCTGGTAAATGGCAACATCAGACCACACACCCAGTAGTTTGGCTTAAGAGCATGCCGATAACATCACGCTGTAATATCTTTCCAACAACCCATTTGCGATATTTATCATGAGCGGTAGGGGATGAAGAGGTATGTGCTTGAAAGGCAATCAGGATCTACTTTGGAGGAAACTCAAACTAAGACAAGTAAGCATAAAGTATTTTTATTTGAATGCCATAGTTATTCAGACCCAAATCAGAAAATGTTCAGACAACTTAATAATTGAATAACAGGTCTGTGCTCGGTAACAATAAATTACAAGGAAGCTGTGTCTGGAATTCCACGATTTCTTCCAAAATTCTGTTTGGAGTTATGTTGTATTAGTTCATGCTACGATGGGTAGTAGGAATAGGTAACACCAGTTATTAAACCATATTTCTCTGACTTTGCAGCTATCCATGATTGCAGGAACTCCAACTTCCTTCTTAATCTAATTCTCCCTTCCAGATATCTATTTATAGAAGTATGCTAGCAATCACATATGCCCAATAGTTGCCCCACACACCTCATTGCTTTCATTAGCTCTCCTCCTTTCTTGCTCTAGCTCCCTGTGACAGTATCTGCTTGAGTTTTTCATGCAATCTCTTGTTCAGGATGCTGATAGCTGCAAAACTATTTCCTTTTCCATCTTGTCACCTAACTGTGTCTCCTGAAGGTAATACCATTGTCTTTTTCTTCTGTGGTTTAGATTTGCTTGATTTCCTCAGTTAACCATGTCTGTTGAATACTCTATCAGTAACCCCCAAATTTGACACATGACAGTAGGTTTTTCCCTATAGACAAGCACAGCAGTTTCTCCAATTAACTCCAAAGGATGATTCCCAATATCTTATGTCCCTCAGTGTCTGGCAGATTTATGAGACACAGTGAATGGGAGGCACTGGCTTACAAAATAACCTTTCCAAGCCAAGCATTCATTGTGAATACACCTGATTTTTTGCATGATTTGAAGAAAATTCCATGTCTCTCCCTGCACAAATCTCAATGTGTCTCATTTTAGAATTTATTTAAAATAATACTTTCTGCCAAATTGGCCTCATGAGCCCTGTATTATTTCTCCTTCCAAAATTTCCTTGTGTTCTCCTTATTGTAGAGAAGGCTAAGGAGAGATGATAAAAATCTACCATTCTTGATCCTGCATTTTAAAATGCAAAATGTCAAAACCAAATAAAGTAGGTCAAGGCTTCTCTGTATTTAGCAGACACTAGTGCTTGTCCATATCAGCAAATATTAAAGTTGATAGATAATCAAAAGTGTGATATCTTTCTTTAGTATAAGAAAATGTTATCAAGGGGCTAGCATTCTATTTTTGTCTTAGTCAAAGAAATGGAACAAATCCAAATATATAACTTTATTGCTTATGAATATATAGATGAGTATTTTGTACATTTAAATAAAGGTACTTTATTTTGCATTTATTTGGACAACGAGTAATAGTTAAACACATTCAACTCATTAATTATCAGTGAAGTCTGTTCAAATACAGCCTGTGATTAAGTTCATGAAACCTTCAGGGGTTTGAAGCAATATTTAAAATTCTCATAGAACAAAATGGAAGAATGTGCAAGAAGGAATAATACTTGAATTCAAGACTAGAGGTATCTGGGGAAAACTGTAAGTCTTTGGTTTATTTTGAGATTGAAGGTTATGAATATCTTCCATTATTCTGGGACATAATAATACTCAGTTGGACAAACATAATAAAATGTGTAAGTAAAATTAAGTGATGGTGCTACTATTCCTTCTAATAATAGCAACTCTAATATCTAGGATACATGCTATGTTTCTTTAGTGAAGAAGAAAAATGTAAAAACCTCTGAAGCAGACCAACACTATTAATAGAATGAATGATTTTTTAAAATTCACCTCACTAATATCAATGAGTGATTTTAACAGCTACTTGCAGGATAATGAAAAGATGCTGCTATTAGTTAGTGGAGAGAGGCACGGGGTTGAAGGGCTTCATCCTGGGAAAGAAGATTGCAACCTGAAGCCTCAAATCTTTCATCTCCTTCCAAATATGCCACCTGCCTCCTTAAAGTATGAGAAGAGAGTTATAGTGATACCTATGTGAAATTGGAATTTTTCCTTGATGAGAATGTCATCTGTGTCTAATCCTGGAACCATTAGACACAGGAAGGGGAACATCACACACTGGGGCCTGTTGTGGGGTGCGGGGAGGGAGGAGGGATAGCATTAGGAGGTATACCTAATGTTAAATGACAAGTTAATGGGTGCAGCACACCAACATGGCACATGTATATATATGTAACAAACCTGCACGTTGTGCACATGTACCTTAAAACTTTAATAATAAAAAAAAGAAAAACACTGTATCATAAAAAAAAAAAAAGAACCTGATTCCCTAGAGTTCATGCTGTTATGCCCAATCAACAGCTAAATCCAATCCTTCAAAATAGGGAACATTGAGTTTGGAGCAGTTGCTCTACCATTTTCAGGGCACTGGCTGGGAACGTTGTCCTGAAAGCCATTCATGCCCTAGAAATGCTTGACATTGGCTTTATATCCATGATCCTGCATCCATTTCTGGTTTGGATGTAGGACTCCCTGAACCCGCGTCTCTGAGTGTTTGCAATGGACTCATCCTGCATCCCCTCTGCAATCTCTAATTTAGACTCTAGTTGTGTCTCAAGTACCCGGGCTGTGTCCTTAGGCCTATCAAAACTTTATGCCTGTCTATATTCTTCCCTGGTAAAAGAACTTCCTCCAACCCCCAACCAGCCACCTGCCATTTGTCATCAACAGTCTCCTAATCTGAATCGTGGGTTCTACATCTGCTATTTGCTCTGTGCCACCCTGTGGCTCCCAGGAAGAGCAGCCCTACCTGGAAGGCAGGTTGACCTCTTGTGTCTGAAAGTACTCCTTCTGACGCATTCATTTTCCTGATCTCTTTCTCTTTGGTGAAATGAAAACTAAATGTATAAGATTTATTAAAGGTGGTGGCAGTGGTAGACGAGGAGGAGGAAGAAGAAAAAATCATATAGGAGGAGATTGCTTTCAATGTCACTAACATAATAATTGATAATTCATGTGAAATGGTTAACACCTCTTGCTAAAATGGAAGCTCATGGAAGAGTGCAATTTTCTCTTATCAACTCAGACACCACCTCCTCTTCCCCCAATAAGTGACTATTACATCAGAAAGAGTTTTGAAATGTCCCTTTCTAAACTAAAATATCAAGAAGCCAGATTTGACTGTGTATATATATATATATATATATATATATATACACACACACATATACATATATATATAGTGCTTCTGTGTGTATATCTGTATCTAACTATATCTATCTACATCTAGATATCTATATGTAGATATGATATATCACATAGATACCTATTAATCTATATATAGTCCTTCTTTGCAGCATATTATATGTGTATATATATATATTTTACATCCCTGCAATATATACATTATATACATTGTATATATTGCAAACAGCACAGAGGTCGAGTGCACTAAACTATATGTGTGTGTGAGAGAGAGAGAGAAAGAAAGAGAGAGGAAAAAACTCCTGTTAGAATGGATTTAAATTTCTGTGATTCTGAAACTTTACAATTTAGGGAGTCTTCTTTTTTAAAAAAATAAAAGCACCTAAAATTATAAATAATAACTTAATAATTAGAATGACTATTTAGAATGAGAATAGAAATCCAACAAACAATAGATTTTTAACAGCTGACAAGTACCACAAACATCACAAAAAATAACAATGTTTATATTACTCAACTGCCTGACATAGCTCTATAATATTCTTGGCTACAATATATTCTCTTATTGTTTCTTCAAATGACTATAATTTTGAAATGCAGTAATTTCTAGGGAAAATAAAAAACAATCAGCATTTCAGCAATATTGATTAATATCTGTTTTATTGTTAATAATTTAGATATTTTATCTTTAACACTAATTACTGGTACTATCTCACAAATTTAAGAAAATTATTATCATGTTCTGTTATATATGAGCTATTACAGATGTATCCACTATTTGTAATATTGGTATGTGATAAATTCTCTTTCTTACTGTCACCATAAAAAAAAAATCTTCGTAACATTTGTGATTGCAAATATCATATTATAATGAATATATTCCTGACAGGAGAGAAATTCTATTCTGATCAGACATTAATGAGAAGTGAATGCCCCCTTTTCAATATTACATGTCTGCTAATGATAGATTTTCCACGGAGCAGTTCCTGGTTCCACACAGTTGCAACCTGTTTCCCCTCCAGGACCCCACATTCTTCCTGTGCCACTGGACATGCTCATATCATGGTGATATGGGCCTTGGCCCTGCACCTTGGTGTCATGAAGCTAAGGGAGTTAGTGTAATGAATGGTGGGAGTGTGCCTGGAAGCTGTTTCATTGACAGAAAGACGAGCAATAACTTGACTTCACACAGAGGGAACTGAGCTACACAAATACATCCACTAAACACAAATTGATGTATGATTAATTCCATTTTCCCTTAGTCAGATTCCCAAATTACCTGCAGCTACATCAACAGTATCTGACTTGAAGGGAAGTATGACAGAGTGGAGAGTGGAGTGGAAAGAAACTATGGCCTTCAGTAATTGTGGTTGTTATTTCGTTTTTGCAAATTTTACACATTTACAGAACCTTGGAAAGGGGCTGGTGCAGTTGAAGATTTCCAAAGTTTCACTTTCTTAGCTTCATGGTAAATTCAACTCTCTTCGAGCCAGCATCTTCCTGAGTGCTTAGGAAAGATGGGAAACTAAGCCCCCGCATGAAACGTTATTGAAGATGACTTAGCATTTAGAGACTATTCTTTGAGAAAAAGCATTATCAAAGACTAGAGATAAATCACACTTAGTAATTAGGTTCGTGAAGCAAGGTACCATATAGACATTTCTCATGTCAACTGATGGGAATGTCATAGAACACACTACAAGAAAAATCCAAATGGGTATGGTAGTATTCCCATAGATCTAATTTCTTATTGAGGAGAAACTGTATTTTACTGTCAGACACAAAGTGTCTTATTTATAATTTATTGAATATTGTGACACCATAAGAAATATATATTTGGTCTATGTCCCTTGTTCTGACAGAAAGCTTCTAAAACCCCTGCAATTTCCTGAGTGATGGGGTTGACAAAAATGTCACACAGAGCTCCTAAATCCCTTGGAATTTTTTGGGTGATATTAGAATCTCTTGTTCTAATGAGATGACTCTTAGCGTGCTCATAAATAGCTTCAGGATAAGAGCTGGTCATCAGAAAGACCAAACCAGGATTAGAAACTTGAAACTGTCAGCCCCATTCCCTATCGTATGGGGAGGAAAGAGGAACTGAAGATTGAGTTAATAATCATACCGATACAATAAAGCCTCCAGAAAAATCCCTAAATGCTGGAATTTGGAGACCTTCTAGGTTGGCGAATGCACCCACGTGTCAGAAGGGTAGTATACCCCAATCTATGGGAACAGAAGTTTCTGTATTCAGGACCCTTCTGGACCTGACCCCATACACCTCTTCATCTGGCTGTTGATTTATAGCCTTTATAATACCCTTTGTAATAAAAATGTTAAGTAAAGTGTTTCCCTGAGTTCTGTGAGCTGTTATAACAAATTATTGAACCTGGGGGGAGGATTACGGGAACCCTTGATTTGTAGCTAAGTTGGACAGAAGTGTGGGTACCCTGGGCAACCAGTACTTGTGACTGGCAGTAGGGCAGTATTCTGGGACTGAAGCCTTAACCTATGAGGTCTCTCTTAACTATGCATAGTCAGTGTCAGAATTGAATTAAGCTATAGGACACTCAGTTTGTGTCTGGAAAGTTAGAGAACTGGTTGGTACAAGAAGAAAAATTCCCATGCCTTTTGTATCAAAAGCGTTGTGAGCAGAAAAACAGTCTTCTTTTAAATATAAGAACTTGCCAAACAGGCATGGTGGTTCATGTCTGTAATCCCCAGCCCTTTGGGAGGTTGAGGCAGGAGGACTGCTGGAACCCAAGAGTTTGAGATCAGCCTGGGCAACATAACAAGATCCCATTTCTACGAAAAAACACAAAACACAAAAATTAACCAGGCATGGTGGCATGCTCCTATAGTCCCAACTACCAGGGGAACTGAGGCAGGAGGATCACTTGAGCCCAAGAGTTTGAAGCTGCAGTGAGCTATGATCACACCACTACGGTTCAAACTAGATGACAAAGTGAAAGAACCTGTCTCTTGAAAAAAAAAAGAAAAGAAAAAGGAAAAAAGGATATACTTTAAAATATACATAGTTTTTATCCTGTAGTATAGATTTCAGTCATTCTCAAATTCTGCTGTTGTCTGTAAATCATCTGGGCAAGTGACTGAGCTTTATGGACACTACATCACTAGTATAGTCTTTAGTCTTGATTTTGATGTTCAAATTGGGCTAAACCAGGATAAATAGCCCCTATATAGTATTCTGTCTTAATAAGACTGATTTGCTGGGTATGCTGCAAGTTACAAAAGGAGAATATATTTCAAAGACTGAAAGAATCACCTGTATTATGAGTACACTATTTGCAATAACTAAACCTGGATATTCTGGACTGAAGAAAGTATGGTGGGTTCTTCAGGTGGTACATAGAAACTGGAGCAAATGAAGGAAATGATGACAATAGATCCCACAAACTGATGAATACGCTCTATGACAAAATTTAAACAAGATTTAAAACGTTAATTATAAAATCTATGACAGTTGATTGTAAAATGAATCACTTTTCTATTACGAAGGAGATACAGAAAAACACTGCATCACTGTAAGAAAAAGAGATTCCCTTATTGAATAAAGCTAAGTGTGAGACATATGGGGAGTCATGAAGTCAAGATCCTGACTCTGAGTGGAGAGAAATAGAAGCATAAGCTACTAGCACAGCATTCTAGAGGATATGCTCTTGCTCCTCAAATGCTTACCTCAAGTTATTGAAGGAATCACGTTTGCTTTATATATGTATCTATTTCTTATGTGCATAATTAAGAATTTGTTAAAGAAATCTAGGGCTGACAAATACCGAAAAGAAGTTACCTAAATTCTTTTTCTTTGGGATAAAAATATCTCTAGGTTGCTGCTGGTGCTGGGGCCCGAGGAGGTCCGCGCCGGAGGAGGGCCACAGGGACTGAGCGAGTGACAGACGCACCACCCGTCAATGCTGCAACCCTGTAAGGCCTCCATGGACTCTCTACGTGAGTGTAGAATGAATCAAGCCGACTCAAACACAGCAGCTATTCCACATGCAGTGGAAGATATTCAAGGAGACGACAGATGGATATCTCAGCACAACAGATTTGTCCTGGATGGTAAAGACAAAAAGCCTAACGTTGTGTTTGTGGGAGACCCCATGGTGCAGTTAATGCAGCAACACGAGATATGGCGAGAGCTTTTTTCCCCGTTTCACGCACTGAATTTTAGAACTGAGGAAGATACAAGACATGTTTTATAGAAAATAAAGAGTAGAGAACTGGAGAATATTAAACTTAAGGTCATTGTTCTCTGGGTAAAAACAAACAACCATGAAAATACAGCAGTAGAGTTAGAAGGTAGGATCAAGGCCATCATTCACTCTACCAATTTATCAACATAAGGCAGCCACAAGGCAAAATTCTTGTATTGGATGTGTTACCTTGAGGTGAGAAGCCCAACACTTTGAGGCAAAAGGTGAACCAGCTTCTCAAGGTTTCCTTGCTGAAGCTTGCCCATGTGTAGGTCCTGCATACAGACGGGGGCTTCATGCACCCTGACAGTGCCATCTCCTGCCATGACATATTTGATTCTCTTCATCTTACAGGAGAGGGCTCTGCAAAGATCTGCAGAGCCCTCTATGAACTGATCATGCAGCTGATGGAGGAACACCCAAGGAGAGAAACAAACCACCATTGCCTGACTGGCTCCCATCAGCGTTAATCTCTTCCCAGCTTCCTTGATCAGTTATGCCACTGGCACTACAGAATCCATCTCTTTCTCAAAGCACTTTGCATTGCAAAATGTTCCTGGATGTTCAGCTCTAGTGTTTGAAAGGGTGGAGGGATTTACACTGGCCTTGCACGTAGAAGGTTTATTAGACACAGGAGAAAAAATAGCCTAGGAAGATTGTTGTTTAAATTTATCTGAAACCAGAAGGAGACTTTTTAGTTGTATGTGTGATGCATTTGTTGAATTATCACTGTTTTTCCTAGGACAATATCAAGTCCAAGAACTGACCGATATGAAGTTTTTTTTTCTTGGCCTTGCTTTCTATGGGTTATGTCATATGTAATAATTATCAGAATCACACCTACTTGGCTTAAAAACAGATTTTTATTTTAATTTTTAAAGCTCATAATTTAACCTTTTTTCTTGTTTTGCTTTATTCATATATATCCTCAATATTTTCTTAACATGCAGCAACAGATTGAACATGCTTGCCATTCAAATATGAGAGATGCTATAGTTACAAAGGAATTTGTTCCACTTTCTTAATCCTTCCTATGCATAGCAGTGAAAAACAAATTTTGCCCCATGCAGGGAACCCTTTGGAAGGTTTTTTGGTTTTGTTTGTTTGTTTGTTTTTTGTTTAGATGGATTCTCATTCTGTTGCCCAGGCTGGAGTGCAATAGCATGATCTCGGCTCACTGCAACCTCTGCCTCCTTGGTTCAAGCGATTCTCCTGCCTCAGCCTCCGGAATAGCTAGGATTACAGGCCCCCACCACCACGCCTGGCTAATTTTTTTGTGTTTTTAGTAGCAACGGGGTTTTACCATGTTGGTCAGGCTGATCTCGAACTCCTGACCTCAGGTGATCCACCCACTTCGGCCTCCCAAAGCGCTGGGACTACAGGCGTGAGCCACCGCAGTCAGCTGGAAGGTATCATTTTTATGTTGCTAAATATCATGTCTATCATAAACCTATGCCTGCAGCCTTTCCTCTTCTCTGAAGTATAAGCCCCCCTTACTCTCATGATATTACCAATGTAGAACTCATTCTTGTGTGGTATTCTGCACTATAGAGTCTGCGTAGTGTTCTGGTATGTTCTGGTATGTTTTGTTTGCTTTTCCCTGAAAATCTGCTATAGTTTCCTTTTTTTGGAAAAAAAAAACAACAAAAACCTCTGCTTTCCATTCCATACTACCTGCCATTATTTCAAGTTTTATAATATCCCAAGGTGTACATTTTATTTTTTTTTAATTGACTTTGTTTTTAAATAAAGCAGTCCAGAAAATTTGGTCTTTTCCCGGGAGGAAACAAATGAAGCTGCTCTTCAGAATAGCCATTCTGCTTTTATCCCACCAGTTCAGTAAAAAAGAACTAGATTTGTTTAACTTTTAAGGTTTCTCATTAACGTACCTTCACCTGAAAATTTCCTTCAAGAGAGCTCTTTATAATCTTAATGTTTGCTTGGGCAACAAGAACTGCCATGTAAAAATAAATAATGGGACGATAGATGGCATATTGTTCAATATACCTGCGGAATATGTATAAACTGGATGTACAGACAGATATTTTGAACTAGACCAGGTGGGTATTGAAGTAACCCAACAAAATGTGATCTGCAGTGATTCTGCTTAATGTTCAAATTCAACAGCTAAGGTATATGTTTTATGTTCTGCTCGCAAGGCAAATGGCAGTACTTTTGTGTGCTGGAGGAGAGGTTGCTGATTGGTGCCAAGACCCACTTCTGATTGAGAGGGATAAAAGTTGGGCTGAATTTTCTCTAGTCAAGACTCCTTCTAGATTTTTTTTTTTGTCTTTAAAAATACATACTTTAAAAATGTATCATGTCTTCATTAATAACAGAAAATACACATGGTGCTCACTAAATTTGTTTACTACATTAAAATTTCCTTTTTGTTTTTAGTAGTCCAGGTTCTTGAGTTTTTTCAAGGCAGAATTTTTTTATTTTATTTTATTTTTAGCTGAGGTACAGTTGTATAGGAAGGAGAATTAAGCCAGAATTTGGTGTGTGCAAAGACAATTTCCTATCCAGGTCTTTTTCTGTCAGAGAGTGAGAGTTTTGTCCAAATGAACCCATTAGGTTACTACTGAGCATGCGATTTTAGCTTTTCTTTTCACGGAGGATCAAATATCCCTTTGTGAGCTGAGCTTCCACTTGTTTGCTTATGTATGTAAACTTCAGATATCACTATATTCTATATCTACCACAGCTATTCAGGCAACAGTATTCTAATAGCTAGCCTTTAAATAAAAATCTGCCTCATTACTAATGTTCAAAAAAACAAAGATAAAAATAGGTCTAATCCTAGGTAGAAAAGGTGTTTTTCCATACATCAAGATTTATAGAAAAGGAGATTCAGAGTCATGCTAAGACAGAATTTCAATGCTTACATTGTTCTCCTCAAAGATAAATTCATTCATCTAACCATCTTACAGAGTAATCTTTGTTTTTGTTTGGTTCTTTCCATTAAAAAAATTAAGATCGATCTGTTTTTTTGCACACTAACTATTCACAAAATTTTGCTAAATTCTCTCTCCGAGTTTTGCATTTTCTTTTCTGACCAGAAAAATTCTATTTGCTTTGTTGTTTTGTCACATAATTCTTTTTTTTTTCTTTGTTTTGACATGAGGTAAATCTTTTTTTTCTTTTTTATTTATTTATTTTATTATTATTATACTTTAAGTTTTAGGGTACATGTGCACATTGTGCAGGTTACATACATATACATGTGCCATGCTGGTGTGCTGCACCCACTAACTTGTCATGTAGCATTAGGTATATCTCCCAATGCTATCCCTCCCCGTCCCCCCTCCCCCCACCCCACAACAGTCCCCAGAGTGTGATGTTCCCCTTCCTGTGTCCATGTGATCTCATTGTTCAATTCCCACCTATGAGTGAGAATATGCGGTGTTTGGTTTTTTGTTCTTGCGATAGTTTACTGAGAATGATGATTTCCAATTTCATCCATGTCCCTACAAAGGACATGAACTCATCATTTTTTATGGCTGCATAGTATTCCATGGTGTATATGTGCCACATTTTCTTAATCCAGTCTATCATTGTTGGACATTTGGGTTGGTTCCAAGTCTTTGCTATTGTGAATAATGCCGCAATAAACATACGTGTGCATGTGTCTTTATAGCAGCAAGATTTATAGTCCTTTGGGTATATACCCAGTAATGGGATGGCTGGGTCAAATGGTATTTCTAGTTCTAGATCCCTGAGGAATCGCCACACTGACTTCCACAAGGGTTGAACTAGTTTACAGTCCCACCAACAGTGTAAAAGTGTTCCTATTTCTCCACATCATCTCCAGCACCTGTTGTTTCCTCACTTTTTAATGATTGCCATTCTAACTGGTGTGAGATGGTATCTCATTGTGGTTTTGATTTGCATTTCTCTGATGGCCAGTGATAATGAGCATTTTTTCATGTGTTTTTTGGCTGCATAAATGTCTTCTTTTGAGAAGTGTCTGTTCATGTCCTTCGCCCACTTTTTGATGGGGTTGTTTGTTTTTTTCTTGTAAATTTGTTGGAGTTCATTGTAGATTCTGGATATTAGCCCTTTGTCAGATGAGTAGGTTGCGAAAATTTTCTCCCATTTTGTAGGTTGCCTGCTCACTCTGATGGTAGTTTCTTTTGCTGTGCAGAAGCTCTTTAGTTTAATTAGATCCCATTTGTCAATTTTGGCTTTTGTTGCCATTGCTTTTGGTGTTTTAGACATGAAGTCCTTGCCCATGCCTCTGTCCTGAATGGTAATGCCTAGGTTTTCTTCTACGGTTTTTATGGTTTTAGGTCTAACGTTTAAGTCTTTAATCCATCTTGAATTGATTTTTGTATAAGGTGTAAGGAAGGGATCCAGTTTCAGCTTTCTACATATGGCTAGCCAGTTTTCCCAGCACCATTTATTAAATAGGGAATCCTTTCCCCATTGCTTGTTTTTCTCCGGTTTGTCAAAGATCAGATAGTTGTAGATACGTGGCGTTATTTCTGAGGGCTCTGTTCTGTTCCATTGATCTATATCTCTGTTTTGGTACCAGTACTATGCTGTTTTGGTTACTGTAGCCTTGTAGTATAGTTTGAAGTCAGGTAGTGTGATGCCTCCAGCTTTGTTCTTTTGGCTTACGATTGACTTGGCGATACGGGCTCTTTTTTGGTTCCATATGAACTTTAAAGTGGTTTTTTCCAATTCTGTGAAGAAAGTCATTGGTAGCTTGATGGGGATGGCATTGAATCTGTAAATTACCTTGGGCATTATGGATATTTTCACGATATTGATTCTTCCTACCCATGAGCATGGAATGTTCTTTCATTTGTTTGTATCCTCTTTTATTTCCTTGAGCAGTGGTTTGTAGTTCTCCTTGAAGAGGTCCTTCACATCCCTTGTAAGTTGGATTCCTAGCTATTTTATTCTCTTTGAAGCAATTGTGAATGGGAGTTCACTCATGATTTGGCTCTCTGTTTGTCTGTTGTTGGTGTATAGGAATGCTTATGATTTTTGCACATTGATTTTGTATCCTGAGATTTTGCTGAAGTTGCTTATCAGCTTAAGGAGATTTTGGGCTGAGACGATGGGGTTTTCTAGATATACAGTCATGTCGTCTGCACACAGGGACAATTTGACTTCCTCTTTTCCTAACTGAATACCCTTTATTTCCTTCTCCCGCCTAATTGCCCTGGCCAGAACTTCCAACACTATGTTGAATAGTAGTGGTGAGAGAGGGCATCCCCGTCTTGTGCCAGTTTTCAAAGGGAATGCTTCCAGTTTTTGCCCATTCAGTATGATATTGGCTGTGGGTTTGTCATAGGTAGCTCTTATTATTTTGAAATACGTCCCATCAATACCTAATTTATTGGGAGTTTTTAGCATGAAGCGTTGTTGAATTTTGTCAAAGGCTTTTTCTGCATCTATTGAGATAATCATGTGGTTTTTGTCTTTGGCTCTGTTTATATGCTGGATTACATTTATTGATTTGCGTATATTGAACCAGCCTTGCATCCCAGGGATGAAGCCCACTTGATCATGGTGGATAAGCTTTTTGATGTGCTGCTGGATTCGTTTTGCCAGTATTTTATTGAGGATTTTTGCATCAATGTTCATCAAGGATATTGGTCTAAAATTCTCTTTTTTGGTTGTGTCTCTGCCCGGCTTTGGTATCAGAATGATGCTGGCCTCATAAAATGAGTTAGGGAGGATTCCCTCTTTTTCTATTGATTGGAATAGTTTCAGAAGGAATGGTACCAGTTCCTCCTGGTACCTCCGGTAGAATTCGGCTGTGAATCCATCTGGTCCTGGACTCTTTTTGGTTGGTAAACTATTGATTATTGCCACAATTTCAGCTCCTGTTATTGGTCTATTCAGAGATTCAATTTCTTCCTGGATTAGTCTTTGGAGAGTGTATGTGCTGAGGAATTTATCCATTTCTTCTAGACTTTCTAGTTTATTTGCGTAGAGGTGTTTGTAGTATTCTCTGATGGTAGTTTGTATTTCTGTGGGATCGGTGGTGATATCCCCTTTATCATTTTTTATTGTGTCTATTTGATTCTTCTCTCTTTTTTTCTTTATTAGTCTTGCTAGCAGTCTATCAATTTTTTTGATCCTTTCAAAAAACCAGCTCCTGGATTCATTAATTTTTTGATGGGTTTTTTGTGTCTGTATTTCCTTCAGTTCTGCTCTGATTTTAGTTGTTTCTTGCCTTCTGCTAGCTTTTGAATGTGTTTGCTCTTGCTTTTCTAGTTCTTTTAGTTGTGATGTTAGGGTGTCAATTTTGGATCTTTCCTGCTTTCTTTTGTGGGCATTTAGTGCTATAAATTTCCCTCTACACACTGCTTTGAATGCATCCCAGAGATTCTGGTATGTTGTGTCTTTGTTCTCGTTGGTTTCAAAGAACATCTTTATTTCTGCCTTCATTTCGTTATGTACCCAGTAGTCATTCAGGAGCAGGTTGTTCAGTTTCCATGTAGTTGAGCGGCTTTGAGTGAGATTCTTAATCCTGAGTTCTAGTTTGATTGCACTGTGGTCTGAGAGATAGTTCGTTATAATTTCTGTTCTTTTACATTTGCTGAGGAGACCTTTACTTCCAAGTATGTGGTTAATTTTGGAATAGGTGTGGTGTGGTGCTGAAAAAAATGTATATTCTGTTGATTTGGGGTGGAGAGTTCTGTAGATGTCTATTAGGTCCACTTGGTGCAGAGCTGAGTTCAATTCCTGGGTATCCTTGTTGACTTTCTGTCTCGTTGATCTGTCTAATGTTGATAGTGGGGTGTTAAAGTCTCCCATTATTAATGTGTGGGAGTCTAAGTCTCTTTGTAGGTCACTCAGGACTTGCTTTATGAAGCTAGGTGCTCCTGTATTGGGTGCATATATATTTAGGATAGTTAGCTCTTCTTGTTGAATTGATCCCTTTACCATTATGTAATGGCCTTCTTTGTGTCTTTTGATCTTTGTTGGTTTAAAGTCTGTTTTATCCGAGACTAGGATTGCAACCCCTGCCTTTTTTTGTTTTCCATTTGCTTGGTAGATCTTCCTCCATTCTTTTATTTTGAGCCTATGTGTGTCTCTGCACGTGACATGGGTTTCCTGAATACAGCACACTGATGGGTCTTGACTGTTTATCCAATTTGCCAGTCTGTGTCTTTTAATTGGAGCATTTAGTCCATTTACATTTAAAGTTAATAGTGTTATGTGTGAATTTGATCCTGTCATTATGATGTTAGCTGGTGATTTTGCTCATTAGTTGATGTAGTTTCTTCCTAGTCTCGATGGTCTTTACATTTTGGCATGATTTTGCAGCGGCTGGTACCGGTTGTTCCTTTCCATGTTTAGCGCTTCCTTCAGGAGCTCTTTTAGGGCAGGACTGGTGGTGACAAAATCTCTCAGCATTTGCTTGTCTGTAAAGGATTTTATTTCTCCTTCACTTATGAAGCTTAGTTTGGCTGGATATGAAATTCTGGGTTGAAAATTCTTTTCTTTAAGAATGTTGAATATTGGCCCCCACTCTCTTCTGGCTTGTAGGGTTTCTGCCCAGAGATCCGCTGTTAGTCTGATGGGCTTCCCTTTGAGGGTAACCCGACCTTTCTCTCTGGCTGCCCTTAACATTTTTTCCTTCATTTCAACTTTGGTGAATCTGACAATTATGTGTCTTGGAGTTGCTCTTCTCGAGGAGTATCTTTGTGGCGTTCTCTGTATTTCCCGAATCTGAACGTTGGCCTGCCTTGCTAGATTGGGGAAGTTCTCCTGGATAATATCCTGCAGAGTGTTTTCCAACTTGGTTCCATTCTCCCCATCACTTTCAGGTACACCAATCAGACGTGGATTTGGTCTTTTCACATAGTCCCATATTTCTTGGAGGCTTTGCTCATTTCTTTTTATTCTTTTTTCTCTAAACGTCCCTTCTCGCTTCATTTCATTCATTTTATCTTCCATTGCTGATACCCTTTCTTCCAGTTGATCGCATCGGCTCCTGGGGCTTCTGCATTCTTCACGTAGTTCTTGAGCCTTGGTTTTCAGCTCCAACAGCTCCTATAAGCACTTCTCTGTATTGGTTATTCTAGTTATACATTCTTCTAAATTTTTTTCAAAGTTTTCAACTTTTTTGCCTTTGGTTTGAATGTCCTCCCATAGCTCAGAGTAATTTGATCGTCTGAAGCCTTCTTCTCTCAGCTCGTCAAAGTCATTCTCCATCCAGCTTTGTTCCATTGCTGGTGAGGAACTGGGTTCCTTTGGAGGAGGAGAGGCGCTCTGCGTTTTAGAGTTTCCAGTTTTTCTGTTCTGTTTTTTCCCCATCTTTGTGGTTTTATCTACTTTTGGTCTTTGATGATGGTGATGTGCAGATGGGTTTTTGGTGTGGATGTCCTTTCTGTTTGTTAGTTTTCCTTCTAACAAACAGACAGGACCCTTAGCTGCAGGTCTGTTGGAATACCCTGCCATGTGAGGTGTCAGTGTGCCCCTGCTGGGGGGTGCCTCCCAGTTAGGCTGCTCAGGGGTCAGGGGTCAGGGACCCACTTGAGGAGGCAGTCTGCCAGTTCTCAGATCTCCAGCTGTGTGCTGGGAGAACCACTGCTCTCTTCAAAGCTGTCAGACAGGAACATTTTAGTCTGCAGAGGTTACTGCTGTCTTTTTGTTTGTCTGTGACCTGCCCCCAGAGGTGGAGCCTACAGAGGCAGGCAGGCCTCCTTGAGCTGTGGTGGGCTCCACCCAGTTCGAGCTTCCCAGCTAATTTGTTTACCTAAGCAAGCCTGGGCAATGGCGGGCGCCCCTCCCCTAGCCTCTCTGCCGCCTTGCAGTTTGATCTCAGACTGCTGTGCTAGCAATCAGCGACATTCCGTGGGTGTAGGACCCTCCGAGCCAGGTGTGGGATATAATGTCGTGGTGCGCCACATTTTAAGCCGGTCCGAAAAGCGCAATATTCGGGTGGGGGTGACCCGATTTTCCAGGTGCGTCTGTCACCCCTTTCTTTGACTCGGAATGGGAACTCCCTGACCCCTTGCGCTTCCCAAGTGAGTCAATGCCTCACCCGGCTTCGGCTAGCGCACGGTGCGCGCACCCACTGGCCTGCGCCCACTGTCTGGCACTCCCTAGTGAGATGAACCCAGTACCTCAGATGGAAATGCAGAAATCACCTGTCTTCTGCGTCGCTCATGCTGGGAGCTGTAGACCAGAGCTGTTCCTATTCGGCCATCTTGGCTCCTCCCAGTAGTTTGTATTTCTGTGGGATCGGTGGTGATATCCCCTTTATCATTTTTTATTGCGTCTATTTGATTCTTCTCTCTTTTTTTCTTTATTAGTCTTGCTAGTGGTCTATCAATTTTGTTGATCCCTTCAAAAAACCAGCTCCTGGATTCATTAATTTTTTGAAGGGTTTTTTGTGTCTCTATTTCCTTCAGTTCTGCTCTGATTTTAGTTGTTTCTTGCCTTCTGCTAGCTTTTGAATGTGTTTGCTCTTGCTTTTCTAGTTCTTTTAGTTGTGATGTTAGGGTGTCAATTTTGGATCTTTCCTGCTTTCTCCTGTGGGCATTTAGTGCTATAAATTTCCCTCTACACACTGCTTTGAATGCATCCCAGAGATTCTGGTATGTTGTGTCTTTGTTCTCGTTGGTTTCAAAGAACATCTTTATTTCTGCCTTCATTTCGTTATGTACCCAGTAGTCATTCAGGAGCAGGTTGTTCAGTTTCCATGTAGTTGAGCGGCTTTGAGTGAGATTCTTAATCCTGAGTTCTAGTTTGATTGCACTGTGGTCCGAGAGATAGTTCGTTATAATTTCTGTTCTTTTACATTTGCTGAGGAGAACTTTACTTCCAAGTATGTGGTTAATTTTGGAATAGGTGTGGCGTGGTGCTGAAAAAAATGTATATTCTGTTGATTTGGGGTGGAGAGTTCTGTAGATGTCTATTAGGTCCACTTGGTGCAGAGCTGAGTTCAATTCCTGGGTATCCTTGTTGACTTTCTGTCTCGTTGATCTGTCTAATGTTGATAGTGGGGTGTTAAAGTCTCCCATTATTAATGTGTGGGAGTCTAAGTCTCTTTGTAGGTCACTCAGGACTTGCTTTATGAATCTGGGTGCTCCTGTATTGGGTGCATATATATTTAGGATAGTTAGCTCTTCTTGTTGAATTGATCCCTTTACCATTATGTAATGGCCTTCTTTGTGTCTTTTGATCTTTGTTGGTTTAAAGTCTGTTTTATCCGAGACTAGGATTGCAACCCCTGCCTTTTTTTGTTTTCCATTTGCTTGGTAGATCTTCCTCCATCCTTTTATTTTGAGCCTATGTGTGTCTCTGCACGTGAGATGGGTTTCCTGAATACAGCACACTGATGGGTCTTGATTCTTTATCCAATTTGCCAGTCTGTGTCTTTTAATTGGAGCATTTAGTCCATTTACATTTAAAGTTAATAGTGTTATGTGTGAATTTGATCCTGTCATTATGATGTTAGCTGGTGATTTTGCTCGTTAGTTGATGCAGTTTCTTCCTAGTCTCGATGGTCTTTACATTTTGGCATGATTTTGCAGCGGCTGGTACCGGTTGTTCCTTTCCATGTTTAGCGCTTCCTTCAGGAGCTCTTTTAGGGCAGGACTGGTGGTGACAAAATCTCTCAGCATTTGCTTGTCTGTAAAGGATTTTATTTCTCCTTCACTTATGAAGCTTAGTTTGGCTGGATGTGAAATTCTGGGTTGAAAATTCTTTTCTTTAAGAATGTTGAATATTGGCCCCCACTCTCTTCTGGCTTGTAGGGTTTCTGCCCAGAGATCTGCTGTTAGTCTGATGGGCTTCCCTTTGAGGGTAACCTGACCTTTCTCTCTGGCTGCCCTTAACATTTTTTCCTTCATTTCAACTTTGGTGAATCTGACAATTATGTGTCTTGGAGTTGCTCTTCTCGAGGAGTATCTTTGTGGCGTTCTCTGTATTTCCTGAATCTGAACGTTGGCCTGCCTTGCTAGACTGGGGAAATTCTCCTGGATAATATCCTGCAGAGTGTTTTCCAACTTGGTTCCATCTTCCCCATCACTTTCAGGTACACCAATCAGACGTGGATTTGGTATTTTCACATAGTCCCATAGTTCTTGGATGCTTTGCTCATTTCTTTTTATGCTTTTTTCTCTAAACTTTCCTTCTCGCTTCATTTCATTCATTTCATCTTCCATTGCTGATACCCTTTCTTCCAGTTGATCGCATCGGCTCCTGAGGCTTCTGCATTCTTCACGTAGTTCTAAAAATATGGAACGCTTCACGAATTTGCGTGTCATCCTTGCGCAGGGGCCATGCTAATCTTCTCTGTATCGTTCCAATTTTAGTATATGTGCTGCCGGAGCGAGCACTGTCACATAATTCTTAATCCATCTTTTATGACTCTTCTCTTTATTTGATCCCTCTTTAGTTGTACAGCTCAGTTTAGCTCATCTTCTATAAAAATGTGTTGCATCAGTCAAGAATATATTTGACTGCAAGTAACAGAAAGCCCTAACACATAATATCTTAAACAGGAAAGAGATTTGCCTGTATCATGCAATAAAAGCACGGGGGTTGGTAGAAAAAGGGCAGGATAGTAGGGGCTCAATGATGTGATTAAGACTCCATCTATTTCCCCAATATTTCCCCCTCTGCACGAGCCCTTCTTCAACATGTGTATAATCTCATAGTCACAAAATGGATGCTGCACCTCCACGCTTATGTTCATGTTACATGCAGAATGATGCAGAAAAAGACTACAATCCTCTTATCAAGTGGTGGAATCTATTTCCTTACCCATTGAGTCTGGTTTGGCCTTGTGACTTGCCACGGCCAACAGAATGTGAAGGAATCAAAGATATTCCAGCCCCAAGAAGTCTTTCATGCTTTTAAAATTTGCTTTGATGCCACCAAAACAGCCTGCTAGAGGATGAGAAACCATGTGAGGCAGAGACTGACTATTCCAGATGAGTCTACATTAGACTGGTGACCCCTCAACTGACCCACATCTCACCACAACACATGTGTGAGCCAGCCAAAACTGTAAGAGCTGCTCAGCTGAGCTCCACCTAACTTGGTGACCTAAAGAATCATGAGCTAAATAGTTGTTTTAAGCCGCTAAGTCTTGAAGTGTGTTTTTATGCAGCAAAAGCTTACTAATACCCATGGGCTCTTCAGAATTGCACCATTCCCACCCCATCTGCACCTGCAATTTCCTTGACCTAAAGGAATGCATTTCTATTCTGGCTGAATATTTACCTCTCATTCTTCATTAGTAGAAATTGAGTGGAGCTATTGGCTTCTTTCTGCTGAACTCCCTTCACCAGTTTTGGACAAACCAACAATGAGCCCAAATGGCTTTCTCTTGGGCGTGTCCTACACATGACCTCACATTCTTAGCTCAGATTCATTCTGGAGGAGCAAGCTGCCTAACACAGTCACCCCTTCTTGTCTTCAGATGTTGTTGTGGGTGAAAGATCCCAATATAGTATCCCACAAACTTAGAGGATAGTTATCAAGTTCTCTGAATCATCCTAAATTCCTTCTCTATTGGCTTGAGGTGGAGGTGGAAGTAACCCTCCTACACTTTAGTAAACGAGAGAGACTCATGACACACCAGCTGCCTCCAAAACTCCTCTGCAATCTCCAATAATCCAACTACTGCTACCCTCCTTGGGGTGCTGGGCTAAGAATCATTCTTTTTTAAGGGACAAGGTCTCACTCTGTCACCCATGCTGGACTCTGGTGATGAGATCCTAGCTAATTGCAACCTTGAACTCCTGGATTTCAAGTGATTCTCCTGCCTCAGTGTCTTGAGTAGTTGTTAGGACCACGAGTAGGCACCAGCATGCCTGACTTTCTTTTTTTTTTCTTTTTTTTTTTTTTTTGTAGAAATAGGGTCTCACCTCTTGCACTTGCTGAGAATCTTTTAACAGATTTTTAAAATAACATTCCTTTCAAATTCCACATTATGGTTTCTCACCTCACATCAGAATGTGACACCAATTTCCATTTTATCATCCTGTACACTGAGATAAAGTAGTCCCCACATGCAGATTTAAAGTGTATTAACAAATACTAAAGTCATTTTGGGATAGAGACGGAGAGGGGAGGAAGTTAGATAACTGCTTTTCAGAACTCAGAACTGAACAGAAAGCATGCCATGTCTCAATTCAAATTTTAATCACAAAACTTTAAATTCACTTGAACATCATCCTTATCACTTGGGATTCAAAGCTACCTGAAGGACTATAAACAAAAGGTAATGAATGCCAGCGAAGAGGTGTCATAAATGTTGAGACGATTCCTGGTGGGGTGCGGCAGAAAGCAGCTGCCCTACAATGTCTGTTCTGATTTAACATCTTCATTCATAAGCCAGAGTAGGGAACAGACAGCGCACTGATATAATTCACAGATGGTACTCATTTGGGAGATATTATGAATACTAGAGATATCAGAGAAATGATACAAAAGGACCTAGAGAAGGAATAACAATGAGACTTGACTTGACTTTGAAAATGCAAAGTGATATGTCAGCGTGAAAAAAGGAAATCTTCAACATTTAAACAGCAGGGAGAAACTGGAAGTCAATGTTTAAAGTGACATCAAGTTAAATAATGGAATGAAATTTAAAATTGGAAAATTTTAAATATAGCAGTAAAATTACTAGTATATCTTTTAATCGTCTTTAATTACTGAAAGCTTAATTAGGTATCCTTCCGATGTGCCCCTATATCCCTATCTTGTCACATTGTTTTTATACATTACATTTGATTTGTTTATCCTTCCCTCCAGACTTTGAGCTTCTTGAACATAGAGACTGGGTTACATTCATCATTGTAAATCTGGGGTCCACCTCAATGACGAGCACATGAGAGGCATTGGATAAATACTTCCTGAAGGTAAAAATGAACTACTTCCAATAGCATCTCTTTGTACAGAATGCAATGATGCAAAGTTACCTGGTAATATTTAGATTTTCAGAACTCTACAAGTAAAGCGGAAGGGTTATGAAGAGTTGGCAATAACAATAATACCACCTTTCATTATTTGTATAGGTTTTTCATAATTATTGTTTGAAGAGAAAAATATAATGACTTTAACTTTTTTAGATCCCATTTGTCAATTTTGACAAATGGGATCTAATTAAACTAAAGAGCTTCTGCACAGCAAAAGAAACTACCATCAGAGTGAACAGGCAACCTACAACATGGGAGAAAATTTTCGCAACCTACTCATCTGACAAAGGGCTAATATCTAGAATCTACAATGAACTCAAACAAATTTACAAGAAAAAAACAAACAACCCCATCAAAAAGTGGGCGAAGGACATGAACAGACACTTCTCAAAAGAAGACATTTATGCAGCCAAAAAACACATGAAGAAATGCTCATCATCACTGGCCATCAGAGAAATGCAAATCAAAACCACTATGAGATATCATCTCACACCAGTTAGAATGGCAATCATTAAAAAGTGAGGAAACAACAGGTGCTGGAGAGGATGTGGAGAAATAGGAACACTTTTACACTGTTGGTGGGACTGTAAACTAGTTCAACCCTTGTGGAAGTCAGTGTGGCGATTCCTCAGGGATCTAGAACTAGAAATACCATTTGACCCAGCCATCCCATTACTGGGTATATACCCAAAGGACTATAAATCATGCTGCTATAAAGACACATGCACACGTATGTTTATTGCGGCACTATTCACAATAGCAAAGACTTGGAACCAACCCAAATGTCCAACAGTGATAGACTGGATTAAGAAAATGTGGCACATATACACCATGGAATACTATGCAGCCAAAAAAATGATGAGTTCATGTCCTTTGTAGGGACATGGATGAAATTGGAAACCATCATTCTCAGTAAACTATCGCAAGAACAAAAAAACCAAACACCGCATATTCTCACTCATAGGTGGGAATTGAACAATGAGATCACATGGACACAGGAAGGGGAATATCACACTCTGGGGACTGTGGTGGGGTCGGGGGAGGGGGGAGGGATAGCATTGGGAGATATACCTAATGCTAGATGACACGTTAGTGGGTGCAGCGCACCAGCATGGCACATGTATACATATGTAACTAACCTGCACAATGTGCACATGTACCCTAAAACTTAGAGTATAATAAAAAAAAAAAAAAAAGACTTTAACTTAACTCTTATATTTAAAAGAGACAGAGAGGGCCAGGCATGGTGGCTCATGCATGTAATCCCAGTGATTTGGGTGACCAAGGTGGAAAAATTTCTTGAGGCCAGGAGTTGGAGACCAGCCTGGGCAACATGGTGAGACCCTGACTCTACAAAAAATAAAAAAATTAGCCAGGTGTGGTGATGGGTTCCTGTTGTTCCAGCTACTTGGGAGACTGAGGTAGGAGGATCACTTGAGCCTGGGAGATGGGGACCTCAGTGGGCCATGACTGCACCACTGCACACCAGACCAGGTGACAGAGCAAGACTCTGTTTCAAAAAATAAATATAAAAAATATAAAATATAAATACATAAATTCAAAGGAGAGGGAGGGGGCATTCTTTACTATACAGCATACATTTGAGAATTATAGATACTCTCTGATTTGTAGAAGATACTTATGTCAACTTGAACATTACATTAGACATGCAAGGCATGCTAGCATAGTGTGCAGTAGGAAACAGCAAAATGCAGAAGAAGTTTATAGCAGTGGTTTACTGAGTATGGCTTAGGAACCTGTGTTGGTCTCCAAAACTCTTATGGGGTCTGCAAAGTCAAAAGTATTTTCATAATTATACTGAGATGTCATTTGCCTCTTTTACTCTCATTCTTTCTTGAGTGTACAGTGGAGTTTTCCAGAGGCTAAGTAACATGTGATGGTATCACCCAATGACTTGTGGAATGTTTACTTCTATACTCTTGTGCTTTACGTTGTTCACAGCTTGAATTTCTAATACAATAAATATTCACAGACGTAACACACACAAACAAAAGCTTTTGGGGACGCTTAGTCATTTTTAATAAGGTAAAGCAGTCCTGCAACCAAAAAAGTTGAGACCTGCTGGCTTAGAATTCAGACTTTGGGGTCAAATATAGATTGAAATCCCCATTTTACTGATTTATCAGTTATTTACCTTTTATATGCCCTCATGTCCTGGGCATAAGATTAATATTTACCTCATGGAGTTGTTGTGAGAATTAAACAAGAAAATACTAGCAAAGAACACAGTTCAGTGCCAAGTCCATAGCCCAAGGCTTAATAAGTAGTTTATCATCATTTTAAAGGAATGAAAACATGGTGACTTCCAGGAGCACTTTTATGACCCTTTGGAAACCAGGTTTCCTTTGCGGTACCCCATTCATCCTCCAAAGGGAGCAGAGGAGAGAAGGTGAGAGGGCAGAGTCTTCATTGCTCTTCCTGCCTAGAAATCAATGAGAAATTGATGATTCTGCTGCTTCTGACTTCTGAGGGTGTGGGTTCATTATTAATTTCAAACTTGCCTTTGGTAGCGCCTGTGTGTAAATCAGAACATGAAACAGATGATGTCTCCCCTCTGGTGGTTAGAGCAGGAAAGGGCATCAATTTCAAGCAGGAGGAGCAAAGGGGCTCCATGCTTCTTAGCAATGGCCTTTACAGAGACACATCCCTGCCATGGACAACAGTCCCAGGTGGAGAATATCAAAGATCATACTCTTTCTTTTCTTAGAGGAAGCTGGTTCCTAAGGACTGCTGCATTCAAAATAGTAATACTAATACAAATATTATAAATTATAAGGATAATCAGATTTACATTTCTCTGACATTTCCCAGTGAACACTTCCATTTGCATAGATCTCAAACATCAGAGCTGGAAGGATCATGGTGATTATTGGAACTAAGCCTCTAATATAGAGATGACATGAAGAAAAGGGGACTCAGAAAATTTAATTGACTTGCCCAAGATTATACAAATAATGAAAGAACCATGGTCTTATTAAAACTTGTAATAACTTTATGTGCAGAGTGGATATTGTCTGTTACACCCAATTTGCAGGTGAGAGAACTGAGACAGGTTAAATTATTTCCCCAGAGTTATCTACTGAGTAAGTTGCACAGCCAGGATTCAAGTCCATGTCATCCAAGGGGACTTCACTACTTTATCTTCAGCATTACTATCATATTTTCAGGGACCCCCTACTTCCTAGAAAAACAACTGTAAGGAATAATGCTTCAGGAAACACTGCTGGTAGCACAAATGTTACTATCCTTGCCCTTCTTTCTCCCATCAAACATTTCAGTCTTGCTATACCCTTACATAGGCCCGTGCTGTCTCAAGAGTTCCCAGTGTGTCCCTAAGCTTTTAGAAGCCTGTATGCTGGGCAGAATGGGCACATTCATGAGAGATGCCGATACTACTGAAGAATTAGACTCCTCAGGCAGAGCTGATGACTCTGACCCAGGAAGCACCAAAGGGCTCTCTTGCTCAGAGCTAGTTCCTCTACCATTTTGCTGCTGTAGTGTATATCTGCCCCCAACACCTATTCATTCATTTACATTACACTTTTGAACGGCTTACAATAGACATGTAATTTTGGCAGGGTGATGCTTTTCATATAAATATAGATTAGTTCCATATTGAGATCAGAAGAAATAGGGTTCTATGGTAAAAGCTACAGTCGTGAGCAACTGGAGAGCACTGAATATCAAGGAAAGTCTTACTGCATTTCCCTCAAATGTGATCTTTTTAGAGATATTCTTCTTTGATCTCTAAAGCTATCAAAGCTGGCCTGTTTTTACTGATTTCCACAGATCCCTTTACCTAGCTCCATCTTAGACACTCTAGTCATTGATCCCTTCGTTTCGTCTATTCTAGTTAATTAGCCAACTAGGTAGCCCATTTGTGCTGCAGAGAAGTCAATGCATATCCATATCACAGGTACTTCTCCATATAAAGTCTGTGGCCAATTGTTGTATACTACCTGTATCTTTGCCCATTGGGAGGGCTTCAGGCTCACCCAAGCGGTGGCTGCCATGCAGTAGCAATCTATTTCTAGCAAGCACCAATATGTCTTGCTGACACACCAGTGAACTGTGTCTTAACTCCACAGCAGCAGGAGTAATGGAGGCCTTGCTGTAGTCCAATACTTGCCAAGAGAGCTGGTAATGCTGGTGGATGAGGTAGTAGCAGCTATAGCTAAAAAGACAACAGTAGCAGCTGGAAGACAGGGGAAGTTAAGTGAATCTGAATGGATGCATACTATTTACACAAATAGTATAGTATAGAAAGCCTCACAAAATTATTTGACCATAGAGCAAGTTCTATTAATATCTTGAAGATTTTGTAGAATGCATGTAAACAGGGTTATTTCTGTTTTATGGATACTGTACAAGTTTGAACTACATAGATGAATTAGCAATTATCTTTCTAATATTGGAAAAGATCTTTTTCATTCGTATGTGTAGCTTCTGATTATGATACTTAGCATATAGGAGAAACATTTATGGACATGGGGCTTTGGTTCAGTGCCTTTCTCTGCTGCTTATAAACCCTGCAACCTTGAGTAACGTACTTAACCTTCTGAGCTTCAGTTTCCTCATCTCTGCAATGCAGATAATAATGGCTATATTCCAGGATTTTTGCTATGAACTTAATACATGGAAACTTTTATAATCATGATTACCAGTTAGGCATTAACTACTCCATTAGCTAGCCAAGATAAACGAGGTTATGCTGCAATAACAAATCAATCTCAAAATCCCATGGCTTAACACAACAAAAATTTGTTTTTCACCCAGACTACACATCCACTGTGGGTTAGTGAGGGCTACGCTCAGAACCCAGGCTAATAGTCCCCCTGATCTTTTAACTGAACCATCTGAGATGTGTGAACCTTTCGTCACCCAGCAGAGTAAGAGAGCTCTGGAGAGTCTTGCACCAGCAATTAAAACCTTTGGCCCAGAAATGACACATGTCATTTCAGCTCACAGCCTGGTGGCTAAAGATATCCTCATGGACTCACATGATTGCATGGTGGTTGGATGCAGTGGAAGCCCCATGTGTATTTGTTGAATGAATAAATAAAGGAATAAACCAATGAATACAAATTATAATTTGTATATAGTGTTGTTTCTATGTGCCCCCAAACTGCGATTTACACACATTTTTTCTTGTGTAATAACTAAATGGTTACAACTAGGTAGGTATACAATTGGCTGTGAGTACTGATACAAATACACTTTTATAATACATGATTTTAGTAAAATTGTCAATCGTTATGTTATGTTTCTTTGCAGCATCACTTTAGAGAGAATAACTCACAAGCCCTGAAGTCCTGCATTTGGTTTGGCTCATTGAAAAACTACTCAGAGGAATTTGACAACGACATTAGGTGTCTCCATCACAGCTTTATGGAACAGTTAATGTGAGCTCGCTTTCAAGTCAGAATCTAAAAGTCCAGGTGCATCTTAACTCTGAACCTTTGAAGTTTACTCATCCTCATTTAATGTGATAATGTAATCTATATGTTCAGAATCCATTTGAGGGGCAGTACAGGGAAAATGGCATGCAGAAGGAAAGATGAACTGCTCTCAGGGGTGAAATCTATCTCACACGTGCATTTATCTTGGGCAGACACTGTTGTTTAAACTAAAGATAATCACAGGCAGTTCTGTGACATTAACCTGCTTAGTTACTCCTGAATAAAACCAGGAATGAAAATGAGGGCAAAGGTGAGCAGTGACTATGAGGATTATTTTATTTCTGTGCTAACACTGTCTCATCCTGCCTTTAGGAAAATGGTACCTGTGTGTTAGAAGCTCACATTGATTTCTCAAGTTATAATTAATATACTTGGGCTGTTGTTACATATGAAAGATTAGAAGGCTGAATACTCTATTTACTCTAACAATGCAGTCAGATTACCACTTTAATGCTCAGAAAAGGCTCTGCCATTACCATAAGCTCCATGGCATTATTCAGAAGGCACCGCTTACTCATTTTATTTTCCTTGTCCTTCACCATATTCTAAATAGGTAAAAAGGTAAACATATTAATAGGCTTAGTATATCCCCCTCCACCCAGAAAGAATGTGAAGAATAACATCTATCCTGAAAAAAAGACAAAAGAGAAGAAAGCTCATTCAGAAAAATAAAGGGGAGAGGAGTAAGCGTGGAGGGTTGATGGTAGGGGGAAAAGGGAAGCTGAAAAATAGAATTTACATAATGAGCAAAGGAAAAAGGTTAAAGCCTTTTTAAAATTCGTATGCTGCCTCTTCTTAAGAATGCCTCAAGGATTAGAATAGACATTAGTCATATTCATACCAAATATGAGAAACGCAGCCTTAGGATAGCCCTTTTTAAAAAATTCTTCAAGAAACAAGCAATTATTTCTTATCTATGGGGGAAATCATTGGAATTGTGGTGGGGGGCGCAGCACACAGTTGAAAAAAACAAAAAACAGAGAAAACCCGAAAGACCCTGAGGAAGTAATGCCTTCCACTTCAAACATTGAGAATGGCTGTTTGTTATCATGAAGCAACCCTGTCAGGTAGCCTTCAAATCTTTTGAATTCTTTCTTACCTCATCTCTCACTTCAAATAAGAAGCAGCTGCCTATCATAAAACGAGTTATCAAAAACTAAACCAAATGGAAGTTGTTTGCACAACAGTCAATCTGGGCTAACTGCAACAAACAAAATGAAGCTAAGAAATCTCAAATGCTGCCGTTATATTTGGTGAAGAGCTCAAGTATTTCCCTACACTCTCACAGTGGTGTATATGTTACCACTGTGGTTTTAATATTGGCTCTGGGACATGTTTCTTAGCTTCTCTGATGGACACAAATGCCCCTTTTGTGTTCTCATGGTAGCGTGTACCTCTCCTTTGTAACTCTAACTACCCTTGAAATTCTACATTTACTCAAATGATTGATTATTTTAGTAAATTTTGTCTTCTCTACTCATCTGGTTCCCTGAGGACAGGGGATATGCCATTTCCTGGTTCACCATTGTGTCGCTGTCTCTTGGCAGAGGTCCTGGTACCTGCAGACATGCAAATGATATGTGTTAGGTGAACAGATGACTGAAGTAGGTGAACCTGTTAATTAGTTCAAATTAAAGTCTCAGAAAATAACTACCTCTATTTTCTTCTTCAACTGTCTTTCTCCTGTTGCCTACCCCTTATTCTCTAAGCACTTTACCTAGGAATTCTGTCTTCAGTAACTTTTTCTTACATATGTAAATTTCATGTTTTAGAACGGTGTTAGATTTACAGAAAAATTGCAAATATAATGGAATTCCCATATATCCTGATTTCAATTTTCCCTATTATTAACATTTTACATTAGCATTTGTCACAATTAATGAAACAATATTTATACCTTCTTCTTATTAAAGTCCATTACTTTATTCAGATTTCCTTAGTCTTTACCTAATGTCATTCTTCTGACCCCATCCAAGATACCATATCACATTTAAACATCATACTTCCTTAAGTTCTTCTTGACTGTGACAATTTCTCAGGCTTTGTTTTTGATGACCGTGACAGTTTTGAGGAGTACTGGTGGGATATTCCACAGAAAGTCTCTTTTGGGATTTGTCCAAAATTCTTCTCATGATTAGATTGGGGTTATGGGTTTAGGGGAGGAAAACTACAGAGGAAAAATGCTATTTTTCAGTACATCATATCATGGATAGGTACTATCAACATGACATCACTGTGGTTGATCTTGATCACCTGGATGAGGTGTTGTGTGCAGCGACACTAAAGAATAATGTGTTATGCTCCGTATCTTTGAAAGTGGAGATTTACATAAATTATTTGGAATTCTTCTGCACGGAGGAGTTGTCTATTCTCCGTCATTTATTTAATGAATCCTTACTTATATCAGTAGGGCTTGTGGATATTTATCTTATATTTAAAGTTATCATCCAACACTTTATTTATTTATTTGTTTATTGTCAAATTGTTTCAACTCTGGCTACTTAGAGCTCTTTCAGTTGTATTCCTTTGGCATTCTTTCTTTCATTTTCAGTTATTTTTGTTTGAGCACTTACTTATTTTATGGCACTGTAAGATGCTTCAAGCTATTCTTATATATTTCATGCCCCAGACATACAATCTGCCATTTTAAGTCAGTTCTTCAAGGAGCCTGATATGGTTTAAGTAATGGCGTCCCCTTCAACATTTATGTTGAAACTTAATCCCCAGTGCAGCAGTATTTTTATTATGATGTGCTTAATATGATTTAACATTTAATAAAACCAAATAAGTATATTAAATAATACATAGCAAAAAAATGACCTATTTTACTTTAGTAAGATATTCAACACCTGGTAAAGGGAAATAATATGAACTGATTGCATGTGGATGTGCTAAAGTCTATATAAAATGGATGAAGTGATGTAAGCTAGATTTTGTGAAAATAAAAATATATTTAAAAAAAAAAAAAGAGGTGTGGCGTTTGGGAGGTGACACCCTTCAAAAGTGCTGGAGGTCAGTGGAAGCACTCTCTTGCCCTTTCACCTTCTGCCATGTGAGGACACAGCAACAAGGTGCCATGTGGGAGGCAGAGAGCAGCCCTCATCAGATGCCAAGGCTGGTGCTTCGATCTTGGACTTCCCAGCTTTGAGAACTATAAGGAAAAAAAAAATCTGTTGGGTATAAATTACCCATTATAAGGTATCTTGTTATAGCAACACAAACAACTAAGATAGAATCCTTGCTTCTTTTACTGGAGAATGAAAACCAAGATCTCTGCTCATGTTACTGGAGTGTTGGCTCTTCTATGCCCTGTGAGCTTAAAGAGCAAGGAAATACATATGTGTGTAGATTTACAGATACACAGGTATCTATAAATATTTCGTTTTCTTCTTCTTCTTTTTTTTTTTGATAGAGGGTCTCACTCTGTCACCCAGGCTGTACTGCAGTGGCGCAATCAAGGTTCACTGCAGCCTCAACCTCTCAGGCTCAAACGATTCTCCCACCTCTGCCCCCCAGGTAGCTCGGACCACAGGTGTGCTACCATACCCAGCTAATTTTTGTAATTTTTGTAGAGACACATTTTTGCCATGTTGCCTAGGCTGGTC
This sequence comes from Homo sapiens, assembly GCF_000001405.40. Classification (NCBI taxonomy): domain Eukaryota; kingdom Metazoa; phylum Chordata; class Mammalia; order Primates; family Hominidae; genus Homo; species Homo sapiens. The sequence continues at coordinate 97,710,041 of NC_000012.12, read as the reverse complement.
TTGAACTTCTGAACTCAAGTGATTCACCTGCCTTGGCCTCCCAATGTGCTGGGATTACATGTGTGAGCCACCATGTCTGGTCTAGATATTTCTATATGTAATCATCTGCATGTATATTTAGTTGAGTATGAGTTCATACTGATGATGTCTCCAATTCCAATTCATTACTACATATATCACGCCAGCTTCCTCCCCTTGCTTTTTTGTAAACTCTCACTCCAGCAGTGAGAAACCTGGCTCCCACCCTCTGCCATTCATCCATTTATGTAATTATTCAATTCCTGCATAAGTGGATGTAAGTATCAGAATTTTTAACCCATACTCCTGTGGGACATAACATTATCAGCTAAAATACATACTTATGTACTATTTATTTTGCCTTTAGTTGTATAGACTTCATTTATTTCCAAAGTGACTTAGATCAGCACCTTTTCCCCCACACACTTCAGTAAGGTTGTTTCCTACACTTGGAATAGTTAGATTGTTTTGTCACATTCTGTATTCCATCCTGTGATTCTCAGACTTCTTACATGATGTTATGTTCAATTTGCATACATTACAGTTTACTCTTTGTGCTGTAAAATGTAGTGGGTTTTAATAATCACATAGTATTATGTATTCACAAATACAGTATCATACAGAATAGTCTCACGGCCCTAAAAATCTCTTGTGCACCACCTATTCAACCTTCCCTTTCCTTTCTTCCAAATCCATGCCAACCACTGATTCTTTTTCACTATTGCTAGATTTTGCCTTTTCCAGAGTGTCATATAATTGGAATCATACAATATGTAGTCTTTTTAGACTGGTTCCTTTCACTTAGCAATATGCATTTAAGATTAATCCATGCCAAAAAATGTTAAGGGCAGCCAGAGAGAAAGGTCGGGTTACCCTCAAAGGGAAGCCCATCAGACTAACAGCGGATCTCTGGGCAGAAACCCTACAAGCCAGAAGAGAGTGGGGGCCAATATTCAACATTCTTAAAGAAAAGAATTTTCAACCCAGAATTTCATATCCAGCCAAACTAAGCTTCATAAGTGAAGGAGAAATAAAATCCTTTACAGACAAGCAAATGCTGAGAGATTTTGTCACCACCAGTCCTGCCCTAAAAGAGCTCCTGAAGGAAGCGCTAAACATGGAAAGGAACAACCGGTACCAGCCGCTGCAAAATCATGCCAAAATGTAAAGACCATCGAGACTAGGAAGAAACTGCATCAACTAATGAGCAAAATCACCAGCTAACATCATAATGACAGGATCAAATTCACACATAACACTATTAACTTTAAATGTAAATGGACTAAATGCTCCAATTAAAAGACACAGACTGGCAAATTGGCTAAAGAGTCAAGACCCATCAGTGTGCTGTATTCAGGAAACCCATGTCACGTGCAGAGACACACATAGGCTCAAAATAAAAGAATGGAGGAAGATCTACCAAGCAAATGGAAAACAAAAAAAGGCAGGGGTTGCAATCCTAGTCTCGGATAAAACAGACTTTAAACCAACAAAGATCAAAAGACACAAAGAAGGCCATTACATAATGGTAAAGGGATCAATTCAACAAGAAGAGCTAACTATCCTAAATATATATGCACCCAATACAGGAGCACCTAGCTTCATAAAGCAAGTCCTGAGTGACCTACAAAGAGACTTAGACTCCCACACATTAATAATGGGAGACTTTAACACCCCACTATCAACATTAGACAGATCAACGAGACAGAAAGTCAACAAGGATACCCAGGAATTGAACTCAGCTCTGCACCAAGTGGACCTAATAGACATCTACAGAACTCTCCACCCCAAATCAACAGAATATACATTTTTTTCAGCACCACACCACACCTATTCCAAAATTAACCACATACTTGGAAGTAAAGGTCTCCTCAGCAAATGTAAAAGAACAGAAATTATAACGAACTATCTCTCAGACCACAGTGCAATCAAACTAGAACTCAGGATTAAGAATCTCACTCAAAGCCGCTCAACTACATGGAAACTGAACAACCTGCTCCTGAATGACTACTGGGTACATAACGAAATGAAGGCAGAAATAAAGATGTTCTTTGAAACCAACGAGAACAAAGACACAACATACCAGAATCTCTGGGATGCATTCAAAGCAGTGTGTAGAGGGAAATTTATAGCACTAAATGCCCACAAAAGAAAGCAGGAAAGATCCAAAATTGACACCCTAACATCACAACTAAAAGAACTAGAAAAGCAAGAGCAAACACATTCAAAAGCTAGCAGAAGGCAAGAAACAACTAAAATCAGAGCAGAACTGAAGGAAATACAGACACAAAAAACCCATCAAAAAATTAATGAATCCAGGAGCTGGTTTTTTGAAAGGATCAAAAAAATTGATAGACTGCTAGCAAGACTAATAAAGAAAAAAAGAGAGAAGAATCAAATAGACACAATAAAAAATGATAAAGGGGATATCACCACCGATCCCACAGAAATACAAACTACCATCAGAGAATACTACAAACACCTCTACGCAAATAAACTAGAAAGTCTAGAAGAAATGGATAAATTCCTCAGCACATACACTCTCCAAAGACTAATCCAGGAAGAAATTGAATCTCTGAATAGACCAATAACAGGAGCTGAAATTGTGGCAATAATCAATAGTTTACCAACCAAAAAGAGTCCAGGACCAGATGGATTCACAGCCGAATTCTACCGGAGGTACCAGGAGGAACTGGTACCATTCCTTCTGAAACTATTCCAATCAATAGAAAAAGAGGGAATCCTCCCTAACTCATTTTATGAGGCCAGCATCATTCTGATACCAAAGCCGGGCAGAGACACAACCAAAAAAGAGAATTTTAGACCAATATCCTTGATGAACATTGATGCAAAAATCCTCAATAAAATACTGGCAAAACGAATCCAGCAGCACATCAAAAAGCTTATCCACCATGATCAAGTGGGCTTCATCCCTGGGATGCAAGGCTGGTTCAATATACGCAAATCAATAAATGTAATCCAGCATATAAACAGAGCCAAAGACAAAAACCACATGATTATCTCAATAGATGCAGAAAAAGCCTTTGACAAAATTCAACAACGCTTCATGCTAAAAACTCTCAATAAATTAGGTATTGATGGGACGTATTTCAAAATAATAAGAGCTACCTATGACAAACCCACAGCCAATATCATACTGAATGGGCAAAAACTGGAAGCATTCCCTTTGAAAACTGGCACAAGACGGGGATGCCCTCTCTCACCACTACTATTCAACATAGTGTTGGAAGTTCTGGCCAGGGCAATTAGGCGGGAGAAGGAAATAAAGGGTATTCAGTTAGGAAAAGAGGAAGTCAAATTGTCCCTGTGTGCAGACGACATGATTGTATATCTAGAAAACCCCATTGTCTCAGCCCAAAATCTCCTTAAGCTGATAAGCAACTTCAGCAAAATCTCAGGATACAAAATCAATTGCAAAAATCATAAGCATTCCTATACACCAACAACAGACAAACAGAGAGCCAAATCATGAGTGAACTCCCATTCACAATTGCTTCAAAGAGAATAAAATAGCTAGGAATCCAACTTACAAGGGATGTGAAGGACCTCTTCAAGGAGAACTACAAACCACTGCTCAAGGAAATAAAAGAGGATACAAACAAATGAAAGAACATTCCATGCTCATGGGTAGGAAGAATCAATATCGTGAAAATATCCATACTGCCCAAGGTAATTTACAGATTCAATGCCATCCCCATCAAGCTACCAATGACTTTCTTCACAGAATTGGAAAAAACCACTTTAAAGTTCATATGGAACCAAAAAAGAGCCCGTATCGCCAAGTCAATCGTAAGCCAAAAGAACAAAGCTGGAGGCATCACACTACCTGACTTCAAACTATACTACAAGGCTACAGTAACCAAAACAGCATAGTACTGGTACCAAAACAGAGATATAGATCAATGGAACAGAACAGAGCCCTCAGAAATAACGCCACGTATCTACAACTATCTGATCTTTGACAAACCGGAGAAAAACAAGCAATGGGGAAAGGATTCCCTATTTAATAAATGGTGCTGGGAAAACTGGCTAGCCATATGTAGAAAGCAGAAACTGGATCCCTTCCTTACACCTTATACAAAAATCAATTCAAGATGGATTAAAGACTTAAACGTTAGACCTAAAACCATAAAAACCCTAGAAGAAAACCTAGGCATCACCATTCAGGACATAGGCATGGGCAAGGACTTCATGTCCAAAACACCAACAGCAATGGCAACAAAAGCCAAAATTGACAAATGGGACCTAATTAAACTAAGGAGCTTCTGCACAGCAAAAGAAACTACCATCAGAGTGAACAGGCAACCTACAAAATGGGAGAAAATTTTCGCAACCTACTCATCTGACAAAGGGCTAATATCTAGAATCTACAATGAACTCAAACAAATTTACAAGAAAAAAACAAACAACCCCATCAAAAAGTGGGCGAAGGACATGAACAGACTCTTCTCAAAAGAAGACATTTATGCAGCCAAAAAACACATGAAAAAATGCTCATTATCACTGGCCATCAGAGAAATGCAAATCAAAACCACAATGAGATACCATCTCACACCAGTTAGAATGGCAATCATTAAAAAGTGAGGAAACAACAGGTGCTGGAGAGGATGTGGAGAAATAGGAACACTTTTACACTGTTGGTGGGACTGTAAACTAGTTCAACCATTGTGGAAGTCAGTGTGGCGATTCCTCAGGGATCTAGAACTAGAAATACCATTTGACCCAGCCATCCCATTACTGGGTATATACCCAAAGGACTATAAATCTTGCTGCTATAAAGACACATGCACACGTATGTTTATTGCGGCATTATTCACAATAGCAAAGACTTGGAACCAACCCAAATGTCCAACAATGATAGACTGGATTAAGAAAATGTGGCACATATACACCATGGAATACTATGCAGCCATAAAAAATGATGAGTTCATGTCCTTTGTAGGGACATGGATGAAATTGGAAATCATTATTCTCAGTAAACTATCGCAAGAACAAAAAACCAAACACCGAATATTCTCACTCATAGGTGGGAATTGAACAATGAGATCACATGGAGACAGGAAGGGGAATATCACACTCTGGGGACTGTGGTGGGGTGGGGGGAGGGGGTCGGGATAGCACTGGGAGATATACCTAATGCTAGATGACGAGTTAGTGGGTGCAGCGCACCAGCGTGGCAAATGTATACATATGTAACTAACCTGCACAATGTGCACATGTACCCTAAAACTTAAAGTATAATAAAAAATAAATAATAAATAAATAAATAAATAAAGATTAATCCATGCCTTTTCACGGCTTGATGCCACGTTTCTTTCAAGTATTGGATTATATCTCATTGTAAGGATGTACACAGTTTGTTTATCCAATCACTTTTTCATCAAAGAACTTTTTAGTTTTTCCCAGTTTTTGGTAATTATAAATAAAGTTACTATAAACATTTATGTGCTGGTTTGCAGGTTTTTGTATGGACATAATTTTTCAAATCAGTTGGGTAAATACCCAGGAATGCAATTACTGGATGGTATCTCCAGTAACTTTTAATGACTACCAACAAAATCTCATTGAGGGATTAACTGATAGTGTATTGAAATATGAAGCCTTATCTAAGGCTACTTTACTGTGATTTACACAGTAATGTAGTATATTAGTCAGAATTCTTTAGACACAAATAAAATAAATCCAAATTGTAATAGTTTATGCAAAATGAAGAATTTATTGTTTCAGATAATGGAAAAGTTAGAAGAAGCTGGTTATAGGCAGAGGTGGATTCAGGAATCGACAGCTCTTGGCTGTGCTTCTCTTTCTCTTGATTGACTGTTGGCTATATCTCAGTCAAATTCTTCCCCTCCCTCCAACTGGTGGCACTATGACTGCCAGCATTTCCATTTTAATAGCTTCCCAGGGGAAGTAAAGATCCTCTTTTCCCAACAGAAAAGGTTCCAAAATTAAGACTTCATTAAGCAATTTAGATCATATGCCCATCCCTGAATCAACCACTCTAACCAGAATCACTAGCCAGAACTGGGTCACATACATACTCCTACAATTAGGGGTAGAGCCAGTCAGCCCAAACAGCAAAAACAGAAATGTAAAGGGGGTCTTCCAAGGAAAGTATATGGAATTAATGTGAGTGAACCAAATTATAATCGCTCTTCTGGGAAAACAACAACTCAGAATCAAGTCACTTATGTACAAGCTATGTGACCTTGAACGAATGAAATATCTTCTAAGAATTAGGGCTTTGGTGCCAAACAGACTGGCTGAATTTTTTCTCTGTCATTTCTTAGCTGTATGACTTTGAGCAGGATATGTTATCTCTCTATTCTTCAGTTTCTTCCTCTGTAAAATGGCACAACTCATAGAATCTGGGGAAAGACTGAATGGGTTTAAACCATGTATATATAGTCCTAGAAAAATGTTTGCCACATATAATTGTGCTATTCATTAAATGTTGCAATTGGCTAACATTTAAAAATTACTGTGCCTCAGTTTCCCTAAATTTAACATAGGTCTTTACCTTTCTTGACTAATGGACAGAAAGAAAGGGAGAACATACACATGATGGCATGTCGAAAAATGTAAGAAAATCTGCAACTGTTTTGTGGCAATGGCATTGTTATTGCCCTTCCAGGAATCAGATGTCATTTGCTCACAGTACCTCCTTCAACTACAATTTGTCTGCCTAACCCTGTGAAGTAACATTATTGGAATTATACCTTACTTGCCACTTTCCAGCAAGCTTCTCCAGCACAACTTCACTCATGAGTGCTTGGTTTTTGCTCTAAGTAAAAAAGGGAGCCATGAAAGGCGTTTGGTAGATCATATTGCTCCTCTGCTCAATCAAACCTTCTGGAGGCATCCTACCTTACCCAGAATAAATGCGAGGTCCTCACCATGGCCAATGACCCTATGTGATCTGTCCTCCTAATTCCTCTCTTATCTCATTGCCTCACATTCCCCTCCTCTCTTATTGGTTTCACCCATACTGGCCTCCTTGCTTTTTCTAGAATAAGAACATGCAACATATATCACTGCCCAAGAGGATTTGCATGTACTGTTAACTCTTCCTAATCCACCTCCTTACTTCAGTCAAGCATGGCAAATGTCACCTTATATGAAAAGCCTTTTCTAATCTGCATGACAGAATATATACCCCTCCTGATGCTCTGAATCCACAGAGCCTACCCTGCCATAAGTTTTTTATAAGCATGCATCTTTACTTGATATTTTATATATTTATTTAATATGTTTTCATTTGTAATTTGTTTCCCCTAACAACAATAAAAGCTCGTTAGAGGAAGGACTTTTTTGTTGTTTTTGTTCATGGTTTTAGCCCTAGTTCCTGAGGAGTTTCTGGCCTTAGTACTAGAGATTCAATATGTATTTGCAGAATAATAAACAAGGGATGTAAAAGTGCCTAGTATAAACTTTCAAGCCCCCTAATTTTGCTGGCACTTGTGGGTGAAGACACGTTGGAAGGAGAGGAGCCCTAGCCTGGAATTAGAAAAGGCTTCCCTGTACACAGCTCCTGTTTTCCTTCTCAAGAAAAAAGGAAGAGATCTACATCTCTTTATCAAATCTTCCTTTTATTCTCATTCAACCTTAATTTTTAAAAGGAATCTTTCAAAAATTAAGGTGGTCTGTTAAAGAAAAATGTTATTCAGTGATACTTCCTAAATCACTGTAAGGAAGACTTTATTTAGAAACACTGCAGTAGGTATAGGAGCCACTGTGATGGGATCTTGCAGTGGGGGAAAGAGATGGGGTTCAACTCTGAATACAGCACAGGCAAATGAGAATTTATAGCCAAGGAGGCAAGGGGAGTGGTCAAAATTACTAAGAGGGAGATTCAGAGGTAAGGGAAATTCTGGCTAAACTGACCTAACAGGATTCTTGCTGAAGACCGGTCAGGTTGACCACACATCCCATAAGGGACGTTAACGAATGAGGAAACTTAGATAAGGAGGGTGATCAGATGTCAGCGATGGGGGTTTCATGCTAAACTCACTTAGCAGGGCTTTTTGTTACAATGAGATTTTACAAGGAAATGCACAGATGGGCCTAGGAAATGGTTCAGAAGCCTGATTAAAGTTTGGCCAAGCAAATGATCTTTGTCAGATCATTGTGGAAAGAGGCATTATGATGCCAGAGTTTTATATTCGCCATGGTTCTCAGGACTAGAAGCCTTGAATGCTTACATGAGGGAGATGGTAATATATTGCTAAAGAGTTCACTCATTGTTTATCAACAATAGATACTTTCACTTGGGAAGGTAAAATGACCCATGCATTATTTGCCCAGTGTGGTTTTATAGCTTGAAACACCCAGAACACAACTGCATTCTTCTCTCCCCTCAGACATCCCTCCAACCTGAGTCTTGTTTTAGCTGGTGTGCTATCGTAGCTGGAAAAGGCAATGTAATGCGATTTCTTGTCCATTTCACTGATTACAACTATTTAGTATATTCTCAAAGAAAGATGATTACAACGTGCTGGTTCTTAATGCTTAATTTATTTACATGCATGCCTGCTACAGAGTTATTTTATTCATCTCCCAAATGATGGCATAAAATCATTGAGAAATGATGGGCAATAAACATGGCTATTCTGCCGCAGTCCTCAGTGGATAACACCCACCATCACTCCTAACATTGGTTGACCCATGTTCCATTGCTGTTAAAATCCAGCCATAATGAAATCAGTGCAGGCATGAAATTCTTTTATTGCTACTTTGTTCTGACAAAACTTGCACAACAACAGATTTTTTTGGTTAAAATAAAATCCATACCAAATTGGTATTTTTGTGTTAGTAACTGAAGCAAAACCACATATATTTCTCCTTTTTCTTTCATTCCTTTCTTTTTATTTTGCTTTTTTTTTTAAGAAAAAAAATGTCATATTAGCTGGAAGAAAGGGTGAATTTTTGGAACCATGACTGCATTCTAATTGTCTCTTCTGTTGTTGCCTGGGCAAGGCTATTCACATTAAGCTGAACAAATGCCACATATGCATTTCTGCTAAGTGCTAGCATTTTCTGTATTTTTTTTTTTTTGGCAATTCTCATTTCAGTAAGAACACTTGAAAAGTTACCTAAATTAGTCTACCAGGGTTGCTCAGCTTCTCATCCAAACTGGGAAGAAAAAAAAAATGGGACTTTTCGCCAAATTGCTGAAAGTCTTGACTCAGCAGAAAGACCTTGCCCTTTTTATTTGGGGATTAGAATCAGAATGAGACAATAAAGTTAAAATGAGCAGAATGAGTGTTTCCTTTTTTTTTTTTTTCTTTTTTCCCTAACAAAACAGCAGAGGCGAGTTGGTGCCAGCACGCAGGGGGTATTACCCTGCATCTCAGAAGACAAGATGCATTAATGAGGATATTCTCTCTACTACTTCTTATCTAAACAGCATCCAACAACTTTCTATTCTCTTCCTTAAAAAACAAAAATGCAGGGTCTATTTTTTTTTTTTTAGTCAAAACAAAATCCACAATCATGCTGTCTCTTTCAAAATCACATTATTATGTTATTATAAATAAGGACTAGACATTTCCCTTCAAGGAGGTTGCTGAAGGACTGCCACGAAAGTACTGCTTGTACTGTGATTATTGGAACTTCTAATGATGTTTGGTTCTCAAAAGACGGCAGAAAGGAAAACTCAAAAGGTAACCGAGCATTCTATCCCCAACCTCATGACCTCCTTACAGAACACAATTAACATTGTTAGATTTTCAAACTTATTTCTATTAAGAGCTAATGTAAAATGACTTTTGAAAATTAGAGAGCAAACAGAGAGGCATGAAGGGGTTCTTATTTCATCAGAAAAACACATTTCATTTCTTTCCCTTTTAAGTTTTTAAAGGATTCAAACTCACTGTAAGGCAGTTTTGGTTTTACTAAAATATAGGAAGAGATCTTGCTTCCTAGAAGAGCAGCCTCACCTGTATCATTATTGTGAATGTCTCAAATACCTACAGAAACATACCAAAAGCCTTCCCAGGGTTTTGTCTAAAAGTCTGACCCAAATGAAGGGCGTGGTTGTCTTTGGAAGATTACGAAATAATAAGGACTGTAGGTAGTTAATCTAAGACAGAATGCTTCAACCAAGGAAAGTGTTTTTTTTTTTGTTTTTTTGTTTTTTTTAAAAAAAAAAGGAAAGAAAATATGGATATTACAGATTCCCCTACAGAGAGAAAAATGCTTCTGAAAGAGAGAGGAATAAAGGGCAGAATAGGTATATATTAGTTATCAAGTTCATGCTTTGCATCCCCTCTGCATCATTTGCCTGACACTTCCTCATGATCCATCCTTAACCCCTCGTTCCTCTTTCAGTGGGGCAAGGAATGCTCCAAAACAATCATTCACACCTGGCAAAAGAAATGGTCAATTCCTGCACAATTCCCAGGCTCAGATACGACAGGCCCACCCACCACTGTGTGTATACTACTTAGGGTGTGGCTGTAAATCAGAATTAACCGCTGCATTGGATTGAGTGGTGGCCCATAAAAAGATAGATCCATATCCTAATTTCTGGAACCTGTGAATGTTACCTTATTTGGAAAAAAAGTCTCTGTAGATGTAATTAAGTTAAGGTCTTAAAGATTCGATCATGCTGGATTCTCCAAGTTAGCCCTAAATCCAAAGCCCAGTATCCTGCTAAGAGACATAGAGGAGAACAGATGCACAGGAGACAGAGATGTGAACAGGAGGCAGAGATTGGAGTCATGTGGCCACAAGCCAAGGAATAACAAGAAATGTGACAGGCACCAGAATATAGAAGAGGCAAGGATGGATTCTCCCCTAGAGCCTCCAAAGGGAACACAGCACTGTCAACAAGTTAATTTCAGATTCCTGACCTCCAGAATGGTGAGAGAATATATTTCTGTTGTTTCAAGACACCTAGTTTGTGATAATTTGTTGAGGCAGCCCTAGCAAACCAATACACCTGGGAAGACTGTAAAGATGCCATGTCAAGGTCGCACTCTGAAACAATTAAATAAGGCTTTCTGCAGATAGGATCTGGACATCAGTAATTATGAAAGCTCTCTGAGGTGATTCCAATGTACAGGAAGGCTAGGAACCACTGATTTGGGGCTTAGGCTATTGCCTCTGTTTATTAAAATTTCTTCCATCTAGACCTCGAGGAAGTCCTATTTTGAGAATTTTTTGGCTTTATTGCTGTCAGTTTGATTTTTCTGATAGAAGAATGGCTAGATCTTTGGACTTGCCCATAATAGTTCACTTAATATAATTATGCTGTAGCAATAATAACAATAAGAACTACTATTCACTGGGTGCCTACTAGGTTCAGGTACTGGGTATAAAGTGATAAACTGGTCCCTGTTGGGCCGGGTGCAGTGGCTCACACCTGTAATCCCAGCACTTTGGGAGGCTGAGGTGGGTGGATCACAAGGTCAGGAGATCGAGACAATTTTGGCCAACATGGTGAAACCCCGTCTCTACTAAAATACAAAAAATTAGCCAGGCATGGTGGTGCGTGCCTGTAATCCCAGCTACTTGGGAGGCTGAGGCAGGAGAATCATTTGATCCCACGAGGCGGAGGTTGCGGTGAGCTGAGATCACGCCACTGCACTCCAGCCTGGTGACAGAGCAAGACTCTGTCTCAAAAGAAAAAAAAAAAAAATTGGTCCCTGACCAGGGAACTTTACAGTCTAGGGAGAGATAAAAATGCATAAATAGGCAATTGCAATACAGAGTGATGAGCCAATAGTGGAGAATGTATAATGCACGTTAAAAGTTCATGGGGAGAGGGTACGTAACCTAGAGTTGGCATAAAGGAAAATTTCTGGAGAAAGTGGCATCTAAGCTAGGGCAAGGAAAAAAAACCAGCTAAAAATGGGTTTGCCATGTGAAAGGCAGATGGAAGGTGTCCCAGGCAAAGAGAATAAACAGCATGGATGAAGGTGTACAGCAGGGGTAAGCAAACTAAGGCCCAGCCCAATCTGCATTCCCACCAATTGGCCCCAATCTCCCATGTGTTAGTTGAATTGTCACGCAGCCACACCCATTCATGTATGTGTTGTCTACAGCTGCACTGGCACCACAATGGCAGAGGGGAACAGTTTCAATAGAGACTATTTGGCCTGCAAAGCCTAAACAAAATTCCTGTCATTTGGCCATTTACAGGAAAATTGTGTTGTCCCCTGCTTTATAATCAAGCAAAAGAGCTCACTATACTGAGAGAGATGCAACAGGGCTAGAGTTAGAGTGTGAATGAGAGAGTGGTATGGGTAGAAGCTCAAGGAAGAGTTGAGACAGAGAATCTGCAGAGCCTACAAGCCAGAATGCAAGGCTGGACTTTATATTAGTCAGAGTTCTCCAGAGAAAAAGAAATTGTAAATGTATTGTAAGGAGAATAGTAACATAATTATGGAGCCTAAGTCATGACATCTGCAGTCAGCAAGCTGTAGACTCTGAGAGCAATGGTATCATTTCAGTCCAAGTCCAAAGGCCTGAGAAGCAGAAGAGCTAAGGGTGCAAGCCTCAGTCCGAGTCTGGGTCTGAGGGCAGTATAAGACTGATTTCCAGTTGCTAACAGGGGAGGAGGTTCCAAGATGGCTGAACAGGAACAGCTCCAGTCTGCAGTTCCCAGTGTGAGCGACGCAGAAGATGGGTGATTTCTGCATTTCCAACTCAGGTACCAGTTTCATCTCACTGGGGCTTATCAGACAGTGGGTGCAGCCCACGGAGCAGGGCAGGGCATCGCCTCACCAGGGAAGCACAAGGGGTTGGGGAATTCCCTTTCCCAGCAAAGGGAAGCCGTGACAGACAGTACCTGGAAAATTGGATAACACTCACCCTAATACTCCACTTTTCCAATGGTCTTAGCAAATGGCACACTAGGAGATTATATCCCATGCCTGGCTCGGAGGGTCTCACGCCCATGGAGCCTCGCTCACTGCTAACACAGCAGTCTGAGATCGAACTGCAAGGCAGGCAGCAGGGAGGCTGAGGGAGGAGCGTCTGCCATTGCTGAGGCTTGAGTAGGTAAACAAAGCAACTGGGAATCTCGAACTGGGTGGAGCCCACCGCAGCTCAAGGAGGCCTGCCTGCCTCCATAGACTCCACCTCTGGGGGCAGGGCATAGCTGAAAAAAAGGCAGCAGAAATTCTGCAGACTTAAATGTCCTTGTCTGACAGCTTTGAAGAGAGTAGTGGTTCTCCCAGCACAGAGTTTGAGATCTGAGAACAGACAGACTGCCTCCTCAAGAGGATCCCTGACCCCCAAGTAGCCTAACTGGGAGACACCTCCCAGGAGGGGCTGAGTGACACTTCATACAGCCGGGTACCCCTCTGAGATGAAGCTTCCAGAGGAAGGATAAGGCAGCAAATATTGCCGTTCTGCAATCTTTGCTGTTCTGCAGCCTCTGCTGGTGATACCCAGGCAAACAGGGTCTGGAGTGGACTTCCAGCAATCTCCAACAGACCTGCACTGGAGGGTCCTGACTGATAGGAGGAAAACTAACAAACAAAAAGGACATCCACACCAAAACCCCATCTGTACGTCACCATCATCAAAGACCAAAGGTAGATGACAAAACCACAAAGATGGGGAGAAACCAGAATAGAAAAGCTGAAAATTCTAAAAATCAGAGTGCCTCTTCTCCACCAAAGGAACACAGCTCCTCGCCAGCAATGGAACAAAGCGGGATGAAGAATAACTTTGACGAGTTGAGAGAAAAAGGCTTCAGATGATCGGTAATAACAAACTTCTCCAAGCTAAAAGAGTATGTTTGAACCCATTGCAAAGAAGCTAAAAACCTTGAAAAAAGATTAGATGAATGTCTAACTAGAATAAACAGTGTAGAGAAGTCCTTAAATGACCTGATGGAGCTGAAAACCATGGCACGAGAACTACGTGATGCATGCACAAGCTTCAGTAGCCAATTTGATCAAGTGGAAGAAAGGGTATCAGTGATTGAAGATCAAATGAATGGAATGAAGCCAGAAGAGAAGTTTAGAGAAAAAAGAGTATAAAGAAATGAACAAAGCCTCCAAGAAATATGGGACTATGTGAAAAGACCAAATCTACATCTGATTGGTGTACCTGAAAGTGATGGAGAGAAAGGAACCAAGTTGGAAAACACTCTTCAGGATATTATCCAGGAGAACTTCCCCAACTGAGTGAGGCAGGCCAACATTCAAATTCAGGAAATACAAAGAATGCCACAAAGATAATCCTCGAGAAGAGCAACTCCAAGACACATAATTGTCAGATTCACCAAAGTTGAAATGAAGGAAAAAATGTTAAGGGCAGCCAGAGAGACAGGTAGGGTTACCCACAAGGGGAAACCCATCAGACTAACAGCAGATCTATCTGCAGAAACCCTACAAACCAGAAGAGAGTGAGGGCCAATATTCAACGTTCTTAAAGAAAAGAATTTTCAACCCAGAATTTCATATCCAGCCAAACTAAGCTTCATAAGTGGAGGAGAAATAAAATCCTTTACAGACAAGCAAATGCTGAGAGACTTTATAACCACCAGGCCTGTCATACAGGAGCTCCTGAAGGAAGCACTAAACATGGAAAGGAACAGCCAGTACCAGCCACTGCAAAAACATGCCAAATTGTAAAGATCATCAATGCTAGGAAGAAATTGCATCAACTAACGAGCAAAATAGCCAGTGAACATCATAATGACAGGATCAACTTCACACATAACAATATTAATCTTAAATGTAAGTGGGCTAAATGCCCCAATTCAAAGACACATGCTGGCAAATTGGATAAGGAGTCAAAACCCATCAGTGTGCTGTATTCAGGAGACCCACCACTCGTGCAAAGACACACATAGGCTCAAACTAAAGGGATGGAGGAAGATCTACCAAGCAAATGGAAAGCAAAAAAAAAAAAAAAAAAAAAAGCAGGGGTTGCAATCCTAGTTTCTGATAAAACAGACTTTAAACCAACAAAGATCGAAAGAGACAAAGAAGACCATTACATAATGGTAAAGGGATAATTCAACAAGAAGAGCTAACTATCCTAAATATATATGCACCCAATACAGGAGCACCCAGATTCATAAAGCAAGTCCTTAGAGACCTATAAAGAGACCCAGACTCCCACACAATAATAATGGGAGACTTTAGCACCCCACTGTCAACATTAGACAGATCAATGAGACAGAAAGTTAAAAAGGATATCCAAGAATTGAACTCAGCTCTGCACCAAATGGACCTAATAGACATCTACAAAACTCTGCACCCCAAATCAACAGAATATACATTCTTCTCAGCACCACATCATACTTATTCTAAAATTGACCACATAGTTGGAAGTAAAGCACTCCTCAGCAAATAAAAAAGAATAGTAATTATAACAAACTGTCTCTCAGACCACAGTGCAAACAAACCAGAACTCAGGATTAAGAAACTCACTCAAAACTGCTCAACTACATGGAAACTGAACAACCTGCTCCTGAATGACTACCGGGTACATAACGAAATGAAGGCAGAAATAAAGATGTTCTTTGAAACCAATGAGAACAAAG
Organism: Homo sapiens; assembly: GCF_000001405.40. Taxonomy (NCBI): domain Eukaryota; kingdom Metazoa; phylum Chordata; class Mammalia; order Primates; family Hominidae; genus Homo; species Homo sapiens. The sequence goes on along the minus strand of NC_000012.12, from coordinate 97,694,494 downwards.
ACACAACATACCAGAATCTCTGGGACACATTTAAAGCAGTGTGTAGAGGGAAATTTACAGCCTAAATGCCCACAAAAGAAAGCAAGAAAGATCTAAAATTGATGCCCTAACATCACAATTAAAAGAACTAGAGAAGCAAGAGCAAACAAATTCAAAAGCTAGCAGAAGGCAAGAAAGAACTAAGATTGGAGCAGAACTGAAAGAGATAGAGACACAAAATACCTTCAAAAAATCTATGAATCCAGGAGCTCGTTTTTTGAAAAGACAACAAAATTGATGGACTGCTAGCAAGATTAATAAAGAAGAAAAGAGAGATGCAATAAAAAATGATAAAGGGGATATCAGCACCAATCCCACAGAAATACAAACTACCATCAGAGAATAATATGAACACCTCTACCAAAATAAGCTAGAAAATCTAGAAGAAATGGATAAATTCCTGGACACATACAGACTCCCAAGACTAAACCAGGAAGAATTTGAATCCCTGAATAGAACAATAACAGGTTCTGAAATTGAGGCAATAATTAATAGCCTACCAAGGAAAAAAGTCCAGGACCAGACAGATTCACAGCCGAATTCTACCAGAGGTACAAAGAGGAGCTGGTACCATTCCTTCTGAAACTATGCCAATCAATAGAAAAAGAGGGAATCCTCCCTCATTCATTTTATGAGGCCAACATCATCCTGATACCAAAGCCTGGCAGAGACGCAACAAAAAAAAGAGAATTTTAGACCAAATATCCCTGATGAACATTGATGCAAAAATCGTCAAAAAAATACTGGCAAACTGACTCCAGCAGCACATCAAAAACTTATCCACCACGATCGAGTCGGCTTCATCCCTGGGATGCAAGGCTGGTTCAACACATGCAAATCAATAAACCTAATCCACCATATAAACAGAACCAAAGACAAAAACCACATGATTATCTCAATAGATGCAGAAAAGGCCTTCGACAAAATTCAACAGCCCTTCATGCTAAAAACTCTCAACAAACTAGGTATTGATAGGACATATCTCAAAATAATAAGAGCTATTTATGACAAACCCACAGCCAATATCATACTGAATGGGCAAAAACTGGAAGCATTCCCTTTGAAAACTGGCACAAGACAGGGATGCCCTCTCTCACCACTCCTATTCAACATAGTGTTGGAAGTTCTGGCCAGGGCAATTAGGCAGGAGAAAGAAATAAAGGGTATGCAATTAGGAAAAGAGGAAGTCAAATTGTCCCTTTTTGCGGATGACATGATTGTATATTTAGAAAACCGCACTGTCTCAGCCCAAAATCTCCTTAAGCTGATAAGCAACTTCAGCAAAGTCTCAGGAACAAAATTAATGTGCAAAAATCACAAGCATCCTACACACCAATCACAGACAAACAGAGAACCAAATCATGAGTAAACTCCCATTCGCAATTACTTCAAAGGGAATAAAATACCTAGGAATCCAACTTACAAGGGATGTGAACGACCTATTCAAGGAGAACTGCAAAGCACTGCTCAATGAAATAAAAGAGGACACAGACAAATGGAAGAACATTCCATACTCACGGATAGAAAGAATCAATATCATGAAAATGGCCATACTGCCCAAGGTAATTTATATATTCAATGCCATCCCCATCAAGCTACCAATGACTTTCTTCACAGAATTGGAAAAAACTACTTTAAAGTTCATATGGAACCAAAAAAGAGCCCGTATCGCCAAGTCAATCCTAAGCCAAAAGAACAAAGCTGGAGGCATCACGCTACCTGACTTCAAACTATACTACAAGGCTACCATAACCAAAACAGCATGGTATTGGTACCAAAACAGAGATATAGACCAGTGGAACAGAATAGAGCCCTCAGAAATAATACCACACATCTACAACCATCTGATCTTTAACAAACCTGACAAAACAAGAAATGGGGAAGAGATTCTCTATTTAATAAATGGTGCTGGGAAAACTGGCTAGCCATATGTAGAAAGCTGAAACTGCATCCCTTCCTTACACCTTATACAAAAATTAATTCAAGATTGATTAAAGACTTAAATGTTAGACCTAAAACCATAAAAACCCTAGAAGAAAACCTAGGCAATACCATTCAGGACATAGGCATGGGCAAGGACTTCATGACTAAAACACCAAAAACAATGGCAACAAAAGCCAAAATTGACAAATGGGATCTAATTAAACTAAGGAGCTTCTGCACAGCAAAAGAAACTACCATCAGAGTGAACAGACAACCTACAGAATGGGAGAAAATTTTTACAATGTACCCATCTGACAAAGGGCTAATATCCAGAATCTACAAAGAACTTAAACAAATTTACAAGAAAAAATCAAACAACCCCACCAAAAAGTGGCCAAAGGATATGAACAGACACTTCTCAAAAGAAGACATGTATGCAGCCAACAGACACATGAAACAATGCTCATCATCACTGGCCATCAGAGAAATGCAAATCAAAACCACAATGAGATACCATCTCACACCAGTTAGAATGGCGATCATTCAAAAGTCAGGAAGCAACAGGTGCTGGAGAGGATGTAGAGTAATAGGAATGCTTTTACACTGTTGGTGGGACTGTAAACTAGTTCAACCATTGTGGAAGACAGTGTGGCCATTCCTGAAGGATCTAGAACTAGAAATACCATTTGACCTAGCCATCCCATTACTGAGCATATACCCAAAAGATTATAAATCATGCTGCTATAAAGACACATGCACACGTATGTTTATTGTGGCACCATTCACAATAGCAAAGACTTGGAACCAACCCAAATGTCCATCAATGATAGACTAGATTAAGGAAATGTGGTACGTATACACCATGGAATACTATGCAGCCATAAAAAGGATGAGTTCATGTCCTTTGTTGGGACATGGATGAAGGTAGAAACCATCATTCTGAGCAAACTATCACAGGGACAGAAAACCAAACACTGCATGTTCTCACTCATAGGTGGGAGTTGAACAATGAGAACACTTGGACACAGGGAGGAGAACATCACACACCAGGGCCTGTTGTGGGGTGGGGGTAGGGGGGAGGGATAGCATTAGGAGATATACCTAATGTAAGTGACAAGTTAATAGGTGCAGCACACCAACATGGCACATGTATACATATGTAACAAACCTGCATGTTGTGCATATGTACCGTAGAACTTAAAGAATAAAAAAAAAAAAAAAAGACTGATTTCCCAGCCCAAAGATAGGCAGAGAGAGTGAATTCTCCTTTATTCAGCCTTTTTGTTCTATTCAGGCCTTCAATGAGCCTAATGAGGCCCACCCACACTGGGGAGGGTAATCTTCTTTACTCAATCGACCGGTTCAACTGTTAACCTCATCTAGAATCACCCTCACAGAAACACCCCAAAAAATATTTAGTCAAATATCTGGGCACTCCATGGCCCAGTCAAGTTGATACATAAAACTAACCATCAGAGCCTTTATGTAAAAAGCAATAGTAAGCTACTGAAAGGTTCTAAGGAAGGCAGGGACTTGATCAGAACTGCATCTTGGAAAGAACACTCCGGCTGCAGTGTGTGTCATACAGCCGATAATAGAAAAGATTCAAATTCAGACTGCTCTGGTGCTAAAGCCCAGGCTGTCTCCATTGGTCCGGGCAGATGCCTGCAGACGAAGCACTATGCTTCGAAGAATTCTTCATCTGAAAGCAGCCTGGTGAAGCAAGACAGCACAGGGCCTGATTGAAAACTGAGCCCTGTTTCTCCAGTCTGACATTCAGGCCCAGTATAAAGAAGTTGAGGAATCAGGTAAGGGTCCTTAGAAAAGAAGCAAAGGTCTAGAGATCATCAAGGAGGCAAGGGAAGGCTGGAAGGCATGATTTGTATTTGTCGCCAGCTGTAGGGCTCATTTGCTTTCAGTGGGAAGTAGAAATGATTACAGACAGGGGATGAGCCCCTTGGCCTTGTTGCAAATATGGGTTGAGGAGAGAATGTAGGGAAATGAAGAGGGAAGTGCTGAAGTGGTTGGTGGTATTGACCACAGTGAGTCCTTATTGAGAGTCCACCAAGTGGAGGGATTTCTTCAAGGCATTATCAAAGAATTCCAGCTCAGTGACCTACCCTACCCCTATTCTAATAGTTTGAGTGTTGTGGATATTCAGAAAGTCAGTGTATCTTCTGCAACCCTCCCTCTCTGCCCCTTTTCCTCTCTCCCTGCCTGCTTTCTTTCTCTCTCTTTCTTGCTTGTTTGCCCTTTCTTTCTTTCCTTCTTTCTTTCTTTCCCTCCCTCCCTCTCTCTCTTTCTCTCTTTCTCTCTCTTTCTTTCTTTTTCCTTTCTTTCTTCTTTCTACTTTCTTTTCTTTCTTTTTTGAAAAGTGTTGACATTTCTTCATCTATTTAAATTGGATTTCAACCAATTGGAGATTTGTGAGTAAATTGAGTCACACAGTAAAATAAAGCACTCAAGACTTTCTTGAAGTTGAAGTAGCAATTTCATCTTTTTTTTTCCATCAGAGGCAGTCTTCTGTAAGCCTTTTTGATGAGTTTTGTGAAAACAAAATCCATGTGGACTGGAATTTCTCAAACTTAGTTTCAGGTTAAAATTAAAGATAAACATTTACTGAGAGTTGATGTCTTGCAAAAAAAATAAGTTTTTAAAAACGTAATTTTTTCAAAGTCTTGAAGAACTTGAGAAAAATGGACATTCTTTCGGAAATTCAAACTTTCATGTGTAATCCTCCTCAAGCTCCATTGATGTGACATACCTGAAAAAATCTAGCTTAGAAGTAAAATTTAAGCAATCACAATCGTTAACCTTCTCAACATTGGCAGATCAGGTTAGGAAATTCTATGGCTGCTGTCATATGTGATGGTTAAGGTGTCCAGATGGGACAACAGTTAATGGTCATATCTGTCTCTGACCCATCACTTCAATGAAGAGGAGCAAGGGTCATTGTTTTACAGCTCTGCAGACACACTCCACTGAGTTTAAGCCCACCATGTCAATTGTATTTTTAAAAAAGTTATACCTTATTTTATTTGATCTACTCATCAATGAAAGCATACTAAAGAACTGAAAATTGGAATACATCTATTTGTGATAGAAAAGACTTTGCGGGATGGAGAAGCTAGAATCATGTACGATTATTGAAAGGGAGATCAATATATACGGAGAGACCTAGGTGATATAGGTGGAGCAAAATGATTTGGAAATCCCTCTTCTAGTTGCCAAAGGGCAAAAGTGATATGCTTGCTTCCTTGCTCATATCCCTGGAGTTGATGGCCACTGAAAAATAAATAAAATCTTTAAAAATTTGAAAATTTTGGTGGCCAACCAATTAATAGGAAAAAGTGTTTTTTTCACTTTTCTGACATGAAAAGTTATAATGGTCTACACTGAAATGTTAACAGAAAATGGTGTACATATTGTTTGAGGTCAGCCATGAACTATAAAAGCAAGATGACTTTTTACCATAGTCCTTTTGTTACTGGTACAAACTCATAAAGGGCTAATGTTATTCTAAATCACTGCACCATACAACCACAAGAGTTGCAAAAATACAAGACCGAAGTATAAGAACCAAGTTCCTTAAGTTACAATAAAATATTTTACAAACTGATCTGAAGCAGAAAATAGGAGAAGAAAAGGAATATTTCCTTTGGACTTTGCTAGATAGAAAAACCATTTTCCCATTCTTGGTTTCCATGAGGAGGGGAATTCTTCCCTGGATTCTTCACCTTGAATATTGGAGAAGAATCATCACTGGGTGTGTGCATGCTGGCTCACTCTTTTTCCTCTTGAGAGGAGCTTCCAGCAAGGAACATACTTCGCTTAACTTTTCTGTTGTTCCTGCAGGGATGGAGATGGAGGAGACCTGCTGGCCCCAGCACTGGTGTGACCCAGCAGATAGGTCTACCTAATTCTGGAATTCAATAATCGTTCAGTCCACTTAACTTCCGGACTTGACTAGTCACTCTAACTTAGTCTCTCCTCGTATTTTAGTTCTCTATATCACATTTTCTCAAATTGTTCAGAACTCGAACAGAAAAGAAATCCCAAAATTTAGCAAGCCTTCTGCATTATCTGAATTAGTGTTGGCACAGATGGTACCCAGAAACTTAATGGCCTTTGAGAGAAGTTTTAGTTTCATCAGCATGTCGATTAGTAGCTGCCATTTGTCCTGAAGTCACAATCCATGAATGTGAACACGGTTGACAGAAATGTTCTCACAAGAGCTTGATTTTGGACACTGCATTTACTATGTTTGCAAGAGGAAGTCTTTGTCCTCATATTGACTTCTTTCTCAGAAAAGGTTTCTTGAGATCTTTCCACCTGCTAGCAATGTTTAGAAATTCAGACAACGGCAGCTCCAGTCACTGGTCTTATTCGAGTGCTTTGCTTTTTCAAGTATATTTAGAAGCTCGCAATTCCCATTCCCCCTTAGGGACTTGTGTTACTAGAATTTTGAAGATGCTTTCATGAAGGGTGAGCTTTGTTCAATAGTTTGGCTTCCATGTACTCCAAAATCTTGTGAGCAGGCATTTCGGTTTTATGCTACTGTGACCACTACCACTGATTCCCATCATGGAATTGCTTAGACCTAAGAGATTTTTCTTTCAAGTAAATTTCAACTTCTTTATATTATTCTTAGAGATAGGGTCTCATTCCATTTTCCAGGCTGTAGTGCAGTAGCATGATCATGATCATAGCTCGCTGCAGCTTCAAACTCCTGGACTCAAGCGATCTTCCCACCTTAGCCTCTGGAGGTGGTACACAACTGTAGTCCCACCGACTGACTACACTTGGCCCATACCTGTAGTAAATAGGTGGGACTACAGGTGTGTGCCACCATGCCTGGCTAATTATATTTAATTTTTTTCTAGAGATGTGGTCTCACTATGTTGCCAGGGCTGGTCTTGAACTTCTGGCCTTAAGCTATCCTCCTGCCTCAGCCTCCCAAAGTGCTGGGATCACAGGAGGGATCTTATGTAAATAGTAAATTTCTCCAGTAAAGTAGAAGTAAAAATAAAGTTTTTTTGCTTTTTTTTTTTTGTGACAGAGTCTCGCTCTGTCGTCCAGGCTGGAGTGCAGTGACGTGATCTCGGTTTACTGCAAGCTCCTCCTCCCGGGTTCACGCCATTCTCCTGCTTCAGGCTCCCGAGTAGCTGGGACTACAGGCGCCCGCCAGAACGCCTGGCTAATTTTTTATATTTTTAGTAGAGACGGGGTTTCACCGTGTTAGCCAGGATGGTCTCAATCTCCTGACCTCGCCATCCGCCCGCCTGGGCCTAAGTTTTTGCTTCTTATGCATAAATCCAAAGTCAGCTTGAAATCCTGTGGGGAAATTGTCTCTTGAGTTGTAAGACCAGCCACACACAAATTTAAGGTTAGTTCCTCTCTTAGCCCTGAAGGCAGCTCAAGACAATGTAAAAGAGAAACAGAATTTGCTCCAGAATTCTTCCCAAATTGAGCAATTAGATCAATTATTTCAACTCCATGAGGACAAAGTAAGTAAAGGGAGTCTGAAAAAATTCACCCCCACCTACCCGTGGAAACACAAGGAGGGATATGGTTCTGAGAACACATTTCACGTTGCTTCTTGGCAAAATTCACTTTGCTTCTTCAGAGGTAACAAACAGAAGGGAGTTGCCACAGGTAAAACATTTGGTAAAATGTCTTCTCGCCTTTTTAGCAGCAGCTGGGAGAAGTGTCTGCACAAAAGCAGTGTAAATAATTGCTATATTGCTTTGAACAACTTCCCAATTTATATTTTCTTTCTTTTAAAAAAAGTAAAAATAAAAACAAAACCAAAAGCAACCCATGGAGATCAACTCCATGTGTGAAATTCACCTTTTCTAAGAAAAATAAAACCCAATTGTCATCCCAGCTTGGGATACGTGCTGGCATGTGGACTGGGAAATACATTTCCTAAAGGGTGAAAGGCTGGAGTCTAATATCTATTATTCTAGTGGTTACCTGAACTATGAAAAGTTTAAGAAAAAAATAAGCTGGAAAAGGTTTTGCTGATGTATCCATCAATGTCTGGCTTGCCTTTGGAGTGGCTGCTGATCAGACCTCTGATGAGCAGGAGTTCACTTGGCATTGCTCACCTGGGGGTAGCAAGGATGCATGTGAACTTGACAGCTTGTGGTGAGAGGCAGTACAGCGGGGTGGCTGAGGCCAGCAACCCTGGAACTACTTAGGTTGGGTCAAATTCTGGACCTTCTACCTATAGACATTTTAACCTTGAGCAAATGACTTAACATCTCTGTGCCTCAGTTTCCTCACATGTAAGACAGTGATAAAACTGTAGGACATGCCTCACTGAGTTGTTATTAAGATTAAATGAATTGCTCTAAGGCACTTAGAACAGTGTTTCTCACCTAATAAGCACCATAACACTGATATGATCAGGTCTACCAAATCTACAGATGACTGGGATGGTGGGAAGAGGTAAGAGGTCAAGTATTGGACACCTGGTGGACCTGCATTACATTCTGTTATGCTCCTACCACTAATGACTACTATGTGCCATTTATTTCTGTGAGCCTTAGCTTTCTCTTTTGTAAAATGTGGAAAACAAAGACTACATCAGAGCATTGTCTTGAAGATTAAAGGAATGAAAAGTTTCCAAAACTCCTATCTTGTATTAAGTCCTCAATATGTCATTCCATTGCCTCTGATTTGCATACTTTTTGTGAAGTCATAAGTGATTTGTTCTTCTAGACCCATTTGATCATTTTTCTTTGGCTACATTTTAGATTTTCTCTTTATCTCTGTTTTTCAGCAATTCAATTATAATGAGTCTTGGTGGATTTTCCTTCCTTCCTTCCTTCCTTCTTTCCTTCCTTCTTCCTTCCTTCTCTCTCTCTTCCCTCTTTCTTTCCTTCTCTCCTCTTTCTTTTCCTTCCTCCCTTTCTTTCTCTTTCTTTCTTTTTATTTCTTTCTTTTCTTTTCTTTCTTTCTCTCCTTTTCTTTCTTTCTCTCTCCCTTTCTCTCTCTTTCCTTCTTTCTCTCTTTCTTTCTTCCTTTCTCTCTCTTTCTCTTTCTTTCTTCCTTTTCACTGACTCCTTTCTTTCTCTCTTTCCTTTCCTTTATTCCCTGCCCCAATCACAATAAAATGCAAATTTAAGTCATTTATTTTAGACCTTTATGGTTTTCAAATGTAAGCATTTAAAGCTATACAATTCTTTAATCATTGCTTCAGTTGCATCCATAAAGTTTGATGTATCTACATTTTCCTCCAGATAAAAATATTTTCTAATATTCTTATAACTTTTTCTTTAACCAAAAAGTTATTTAAAAGTCTATCATTTAGTTTCCAAATGTTTGAATATTTCCAAAATGTATTTTCTAACATCTAATTTAATTTTGTGTGGTCACAAAATATATCTTCTATGATTTTACTTTTGAAAATTTTTGAATGTTTTTTATGACCCAGAATATAATATCTTCGTAAACATTTTGGGTGAATTTAAAAAGAATATATATTCTGCTCTTATTGGATGGAATGTTCTATATTTGTAAATTAGGTCAAGTGGTTTGATAATGTTCAAGTCTTCCATATACTTGCTGAATTTTTGTCTATTTGTTTTATCAGTTGTTGAGAAAGGGATTTTGAAATCTGCAACTATAATTGTGAAACTGCTTATTTTCTTCTTCTGTCAGTTTTTGTTTCATGTATTTTGAAATGTTGTTATTGGCTGCACATGCATTTAAGTTTGCTGTCTTCTTGATGAATTAATGTTTTATTATGCTATGTTCCTTTTATCCTTGATAGCATTCCTTGTTCCACTTTCTTTGATACTAATTTAGCCACTGTAGCTATATTATGAATAGTGTTTGTATCGTATATCTTTCCATTCCTTTTAAACTATCTGTATCTTTATTTTTAAAATAAGTTTTCTATAGACAGCTTATAAAGGGGATTTTGCTTTCTTATCCTCTCCAAATATTTCTCTTTTAATTGGAGCATTAAACAAAATATTTAATCTAATTATCAATATGGTTGAATTTATATCTAGTATCTTGCTATGTTATTTCTATTTGTGCCATTTGTTTTGCTCATTTTTCTGGCTTTCGTACTTTCTTTTGTGTTTATTGAACATTTTTGTGGTTACATTTTATCTCCATGTTGGTTTATTAGCTGTATCTGTTTGTGGGGATGTTTTCAGTTGTTTCTCTGATATTTATAATCTACATCTTTAAGTACAATCTATGTAAAACAATATTACACCACTTCTTGTATAATGTTAGTATCTTGTATTTGTCCCCTCCAATAATAATAGCACAATAATTTGTGCTATTAACAACATGTATTTTATTTATATTCATTATAAGCCACATGATACATTTCATTATATTTTTTACTTTTGACAAGTGTCATTTAAATAATTTCATAATATATTTATCACTTCCTTTACTCTTCATTCATTTTTGTAAATTCAGATTTTCATCTGATATAGTGTTCCTGTTTTCTAAAGAACTTCTTTTAATGTTTCTTGTAGTTCAGGTCTCCTCACATCAGCTTTTGTGTGCCTAAATAAAAAGTCTTTATTTCTGCTTTATTTTTGGAAGCTATTTTCATGGTTATAGAATTTTAGGATAACAGCTATTTTTTAAGTTCAACACTTTAAATATGTCATTCCATTGCCTCTGATTTGCATAATTTTCATAAAGCCTGAAGTGATTCTTATCTTTGCTCTTCAAGATCTATTTGACCTTTCTTCTTTGGCTAATTTTAAGATTTTCTCTTTATCTCTGTTTTTCAGCAATTCAATTATAATTAGTCTTCCTCCACTTTTCTTTCCCTCCACCTCTCCCTCTTTTCCTCCCCCTCCCTTTCTTTCTTTCTGATATTTTTCCTACTTAAAGTTTCTTGAGTTCCTTGGAGCTGTAAGTTTATAATTTTTATGAAATGTGGAACATTTCTGACCATTATTATTTAAGAACATTTTCTGTCCTACCCACCGTTTTACTTGTACTTCAATGATGTCTATGTATTAGACAACTTGGTATTTTCTTTAAAAAATTTCTCTTTTCTTCAATCTTTCTATTCTGTGTATTTAATTTTTGGATAGTTTCTATTATTATGTTTCCAATTTTATTGATTTTTTTTGTAGTGTAAAATTGCTGCAAATCCTATCCAGTAAAATTTTAATTTTACATAATTTATATTTTATTTCTACAAATTTTGTTTTTTTTACATCTTTTATTTCTATCTTTCTTTGTTACATTAACATTTTTCTTTCAAATTTCTGAGCATATTGGGCATATTTAACATCATCATTTGCCAATGTACCATCTCCATCACGCCTGGATCTGTTTACATTGACTTATTTTTTTTCATGTTTCTAGGACTACTTCTTTGTATGTCTATCAATTTTTAAATGGATGATAGGCTTTAGACATTTTAAATGGTTGAGTGTTTTTGAGGTTTTTCTTTTTCGGTTTTTCCTTTATCGAGTGTTGGCCGGCAGTAAGTTACTTGTGGATCACTTTGATCCTTTTGAGACTTGTTTTTAATCGTTTTCATTTTTTTATTGTAAGCGTAGGATTACTTTATTGTCACTAGTATTTTGTGACTGTTCTGAGCTCTCTACTGAATGCCCCATGCACTCAACACAGTTTCACCACTCTGGCTTCTGGAATCATAAATAGTTCCTAGCCCCATGTGAGCTCTGAAAACTTTAGCTTACATGCCCCCAGAATTGTTCTTTCCCTGAAAGTTGTTCTGTCCTTGATTTCATGGAGTTTTTTTCTTATTCATCTGTAAACTGGTATTCAGTCAAAGACTCAAATTGATCCCTCTGTTAATTTTAGGGCTTTTTCTCTTGTCACTCAATTTTTTTCTGATATTCTGCCCTGAACGTTTTAGCTGCCTCAGCCTTCCCAATCTTTGATCTCTGTTTCCTCAACTCTCAGACTCTGTGGGGCTCTGTTTGGATTCCTCCTCTCTGCACCAGAAAAAAAAATTAAGCCAGAGAAATTTTAGGACTCACCTCTGTTGTTTGTCTTTATTAAGGATCACACTCCTGTACTGCCTGTGGTCCAATGTCTGAAAGCAGTTGTTTATATATTTTGTCTACTTTTGTAATTATTTATGGTGGGAGGATGAACCTGGATCCTATTACTCTCTCGTAGCCAGAAGCAGAAGTTATTCAATTTATTTTTCAGTGCTGGGCATGTCAGTCAAATAAAATGTTTATGGCACTAATCTACAGAAGAAGTGTACAGTGGAATTATTTGGCTTTTTAATAACAATAGCTGGTTATTATTAAGAAACTATCAGTATGAAGTATGGTTCCGGATGCTTTATGTATCTTTTCTTATTTTGTTCTCATAATGGCGTTTAAAGAGATGAATTGCTATTTCCACTTAACAAGTGAGGGAACAGTGGTTGTAAACAGAGAGTAAGCGTAGGAGTTAAGATTCAAAGCTTGGGCTGTCTGACCACTAACCCTGATTCATTTCTTCCCTCCATTTGAGTTGCATGAAAGAGTGGGTGGCAGTACATGAGGAATTAGTAGAGTGGAAACAAGATTTTAGGGTTAACAGAGGAACTAGAGATGAAAGAGCATGGCCTGGCAAAGCCACTATAGATGTGTGGCCTCTACTCATGAGTCATAGACTCCTCAGTTGTAGCCCCATCTTAATCTAAAATGATGTGTATATGCTTCACTCTGAAAAGCTCGGTGTAAATTCACTTCCCCTAATTTTCACTGGTCGTCTACACCATTCCTAACTCACAGAAAGTTTGCAGTTTTTCCTCCTGCCACTTGAAGTCTTTGGTTCATGAGGTTTGTGTCGGGACTCTTATTAATTTCCTCTGATTTCTTGCTGCTCAGCTATGTCCCCGCAGGTTTTCTCTTTGGGATTTTTCCATCTCTTTCTGTTGCTATTATAAAATAGACCTTTAGTCTCTGGGGTTCTTTCCACAGAGTTTTAATCATATTTTTGTGATTCCCATTATTTAAAAATAAATTCTTCCTTGATCACCAACTTCTGCCTAAGCATGAGCCAATTTCCTCACTTGTATTTTTGGCATATGTTCCTTGAAAATAGAACTCAGTCTGCCTTTTCTGCAGACACATAATTGCCTCTCCCACCTGGATTCCTGAGGTAGTCACAGCACACAAATAGCACTCAGAGATCTACTTGAAAATCTCTTAGTACCCAAATCCAATAGCTTTTCATCAGCCCTGCTTTTATTTAACCTAGCCTCTGATTTGGGGATTCATTTGGTCATTACAACTCTTTATCAGCTGTAGTTATTCTCCTTTTCTCTTTTAAGACTTACTGTGTATCCCGGCTGGATTTCTTACAGCTGGGCATTACTTCATATTCTTCTCCTCTCTAGGTGGGTGCTAAATTCGGTTTGGAAATCAGGAACCTTCTTTCATCTAAACTTGTTATTTGTATGGTATAACTTGTCCTGGAAATGTGGCTCTCACTTCCTATTACAATACAAATTAAATTCAAGAGTGGCAGATAGGTCGCATTACACATGCCAACTCAAATGGACTCAAAGTGGCTACCAAAAATGCTGAGCTGATAAGGCCTCTGAGGACTTGTTAAGATTAAAGAAGGGAAGTGTAGCTATGAATTAGCAATGGTTACCATGTTTATAGGAGGGGAGAGTGATGACACAGATGTCAAGTGTTTGCCACTCATGGTAGCTTTGCCTTCCCTTGTAACAATTGCTACAGGCTGACTTGCAAAATTTAAGTAAGACTAAAATTTCCGTCAGTACTGTATTTCACCACAGATGCACATTCATGTCTATTTTCTATATTTTGCTGCCTTAATGAGACTATACTCTTCCTCTCTTTTCATTTATTTTGACCCCTAGGGAGGTCTGCTATTGTGGCAACACTGGGACCCATGTTTTTTAATCTGATGTCTGTCATTTCATATTGACCTGGTTTTTGGTCTAATCTCTCCCTATCCCCTAAATATCTCTAGACTAGAATACCTTCTCCCATCAAATGTCTTCCTTCTTATATTAAATTTTGATTTCTACATCTAAATAAATAGCATTGTCATTCTGATTCTAGACCAAGCAAAAGAAACTCAGTATGCTCCTTTAAATTTGGAATTCAAATTCATATTTGGTAGGGCTTTTTTTTCTCGGGATATTGCTCCTTGTTTGGTTGGTTACCTAATGTGCATCTTATGTTTCAGACTTGCTGGCATCTTTTGAAATGAAAGGCAGTGCTTAAAGTTTTGTGCTATGCTTTGTTAAACATGAAAACATTTGTGCTTGTTAACATTCTGTTGCTTTTTTTTGGTAACTGCTATGAGGTATGAAACATATCACAATTTTTTTTTTAGATATTTCCATCATTTACTGACATTTCATGTTTGGAGAAAACCTAGAAAGCACAGAATTGGTGTTAGACATGATGTGATTGTCAAATGCCTATTGGTTTTACCTGAATATTTCCCTCCTCCCATTCATTCTTTGACTGGTCTCCTTGTTGAAAAGAATGGCCTCCCATCGCCAGATGGTCATACATGTTCAACGGTGACTTGTGGATCGAGGCAAGGATTCAGTAGAGATCCTGATAATTCTTTTTGCCTTCATGCTGGTTTACCCCAAAGAGTTCCATCTTAACAGAGGAAACCATGAGGACCATATGGTGAACTTACGGTACAAGCCAAAACATGCTTGGGTATTTGATGTTTGTTTGTTGTGACTGTAAAACGTTATTTCTCCAGAACTTCTTGTTTGTTAAATGCCTTTAAAAGTAGTTTTCCAATTTTTTGAAAAAGTAGAATACACACTATGTAACATTTGAAAAATTTTTTTTGGAGACAGTGTCTCACTCTGTCGCCTAGGCTGGAGTGCAGGCACGATCTCAGCTCACTGCAACCTCTGCCTCTTCGGTTCAAGTGATTCTCGTGCCTCAGTTTCTCGAGTACCTGGGATTACAGACATGCACCACCATGTCCAGCTAATTTTTGTATTATTATTAGAGACAGGGTTTCACCATGTTGGCCAGGCTGGTCTCAAACTCCTGACCTTAAGTGATCTGCACACCCTTGGCCTCCCAAAGTGCTGGGATTTACAGAAGTGAGCCACCGCACCCGGCCAGATTTTTTTTTTTTTTTTTTTTTTGAGATGGAGTTTCACTTTTTTTGCCCAGAGTGCAATGGCAAGATCTTGGCTCAATGCAACCTCCGCCTCCCAGGTTCAAATGATTCTCCTGTCTCTGCCTCCAAAGTAGCTGGGATTACAAGATGCCTGCCACCACGCCCAGCTAATTGTTTTTTTTTGTTTGTTTGCTTTTTTTTTTGTATTTTTAGTAGAGACGGGGTTTCACCATGTTGGCCAGGCTGGTCTGGAACTCCTGACCTTGGATGATCCGACTGCCTCAACCTCCTGAAGTGCTGGGATGACAGGCATGACCCACCACGCCTGGACCAGATTTTCTTTTTTTTTTTTTTAATTGTACTTTAAATTCTAGGGTACATGTGCACAACATGCAGGTTTGTTACATAGGTATGCATGTGCCATGGTGGTTTGCTGCACCCATTAACTAGTCATTTCCATTGGGCATTTCTCCTAATGCCATCCCTCCCCCAGCCCCCCACCCCATGACAGGCCCCAGTGTGTGATGTTCCCCTTCCTGTGTCCATGTGTTCCCATTGTTCAATTCCCACCTATGAGTGAGAACATGCAGTGTTTGGTTTTCTGTCCTTGAAATAGTTTGCTCAGAATGATGGTTTCCAGCTTCATCCATGTCCCTGCAAAGGACATGAACTCATCCTTTTTTATGGCTGCATAGTATTCCATGGTGTATATGTGCCACATTTTCTTAATCCAGTCTATCATTGGTGGACATTTGGGTTGGTTCCAAGTCTTTCCTATTGTGAATAGTGCCACAATAAACATATGTGTGCGTGTGTCTTTATAGTAGCATGATTTATAATCCTTTGGGTATATACCCAGTAATGAGATCACTGGGTCAAATGGTATTTCTCATTCTAGATCCTTGAAGAATCACCACACTGTATTCCACAATGGTTGAACTAATTTATACTCCCACCAACAGTGTAAAAGTGTTCCTATTTCTCCACATCCTCTCCAGCACCTGTTGTTTCCTGACTTTTAATGATCGCCATTCTAACTGGTATGAGATGGTATCTCATTGTGGTTTTGATTTGCATTTCTCTGATGGCCAGTGATGATGAGCATTTTTTCATGTGTTTTTTGGCTGTATAAATGTCTTCTTTTGAGAAGTGTCTGTTCATATCCTTTGCCTACTTTTTGATGGGGTTGTTTTTTTTCTTGTAAATTTGTTTGAGTTCATTGTAGATTCAGGATATTAGCCCTTTGTCAGATGAGTAGGTTGCAAAAATTTTCTCCCATTCTGTAGGTTGCCTGTAGTTTCTTTTGCTGTGCAGAAGCTCTTTAGTTTAATTAGATCTCATTTGTCAATTTTGGCTTTTGTTGCCATTGCTTTTGGTGTTTTAGACATGAAGTCCTTGCCCATGCCTATGTCCTGAATGATATTGCCTAGGTTTTCTTCTAGGGTTTTTATGGTTTTAGGTCTAACATGTAAGTCTTTAATCCATCTTGAGTTAATTTTTGTATAAGGTGTAAGGAAGGGATGCAGTTTCAGCTTTCTACATATGGCTAGCCAGTTTTCCCAGCACCATTTATTAAATAGGGAATCCTTTCCCCATTTCTTGTTTTTGTCAGGTTTGTCAAAGATCAGATGGTTGTAGATCTGTGGTGTTATTTCTGAGGCCTCTGTTGTGTTCCATTGGTCTATATATCTGTTTTGGTACCTGTACCATCCTGTTTTGGTTACTGTAGACTTGTAGTATAGTTTGAAGTCAGGTAGCGTGATGACTCCAGCTTTGTTCTTTTTGCTTAGGATTGTCTTGGCAATGCGGGCTCTTGTTTGGTTCCATATGAACTTTAAAGTAGTTTTTTTCCAATTCTGTGAAGAAAGTCATTGGTAGCTTGATGGGGATGGCATTGAATCTATAAATTACCTTGGGCAGTATTGCCATTTTCACGATATTGATTCTTCCTATCCATGAGCATGGAATATTCTTCCATTTGTTTGTGTCCTCTTATTTCATTGGGCAGTGCTTTGTAGTTCTACTTGAAGAGGTCCTTCACATCCCTTGTAAGTTGGATTCCCAGGTATTTTCTTCTCTTTGTAGCAATTATGAATGGGAGTTCACTCATGATTTGGCTCTCTGTTTGTCTGTGATTGGTGTATAAGAATGCTTGTGATTTCTGCATATTGATTTTGTATCCTGAGACTTTGCTGAAGTTGCTTAACAGCTTAAGGAGATTTTGGGCTGAGACAATGGGGTTTTCTAAATATACAATCATGTCATCTGCAAACAGGGACAATTTGACTTCCTCATTTGCTAATTGAATACCCTTTATTTCTTTATCTTGCCTGATTGCCTTGGCAATCAGAACTTCCAACACTATGTTGAATAGGAGTGGTGAGAGAGGGCATCCCTGTCTTGTGCCAGTTTTCAAAGGGAATGCTTCCAGTTTTTGCCCATTCAGTATGATATTGGCTGTGGGTTTGTCATAAATAACTTTTATTATTTTGAGATATGTTCCATCAATACCTAGTTTATTGAGAGTGTTTAGCATGAAGGGCTGTTGAATTTTGTCAAAGGCCTTTTCTGCATCTATTGAGATAATCATGCGGTTTTTGTCGTTTGTCCTGTTTATGTGATGGATTAGGTTTATTGATTTGCATATGTTGAACCAGACTTGCATCCCAGGGATGAAGCCGACTTGATCGTGGTGGATAAGATTTTTGATGTGCTGCTGGATTCGGCTTGCCAGTATTTTATTGAGGATTTTTGCATCAGTGTTCATCAATGTTCGTCAGGGATATTGGTCTAAAATTCTCTTTTTTGTGTGTGTCTCTGCCAGGCTTTGGTATCAGGATGACGCTGGCCTCCTAAAATGAGTTAGGGAGAATTCCCTCTTTTCATATTGATTGAAATAGTTTCAGAAGGAATGGTACCAGCTCCTCTTTGTACCTCTGGTAGAATTCAGCTGTGAATCCGTCTGGTCCTGGACTTTTTTTACTTGGTAGGCTATTAATTATTGCCTCAATTTCAGAACCTATTATTGGTCTATTCAGAGATTCCACATCTTACTGGTTTAGTCTTGGGAGGGTGTATGTGTCCTATGTGTCCAGGAATTCACCCATTTCTTCTAGATTTTCTAGCTTGTTTGGGTAGAGATATTTATAGCATTCTCTGATGGTAGTTTGTATTTTTGTGGGATCGGTGGTGATATCCCCTTTAACATTTTTTATTGTGTTTATTTGATTTTTCTCTCTTTTCTTCTTTATTAGTCTTGCTAACGGTCTATCAGTTTTGTTGATCTTTTCAAAAAACCAGCTCCTGGATTCGTAGATTTTTTTGAAGGGTTTTTTGTGTCTCTATCTCTTTCCGTTCTGCTCTGATCTTAGTTCTTTCTTGCCTTCTGCTAGCTTTTGAATTTGTTTGCTCTTGCTTCTCTGGTTCTTTTAATTGTGATAGTAGGGTGTCAATTTTAGATCTTTCCTGCTTTCTCTTGTGGGCATTTAGTGCTATAAATTTCTCTCTACACACTTCTTTAAATGTGTCCCAGAGATTCTGGTACATTGTGTCTTTGTTCTTATTGGTTTCAAAGAATATCTATTTCTGCCTTCATTTCATTATTTACCCAGTAGTCATTCAGGAGAAGTTTCCTGAATCACTGTTGTTCAGTTTCCATGTAGTTGTGCTGTGCAGTTGTTTTTTTTTTTTTTTTTTTTTTTTTTTGAGATGGTGTCTTGCTCTGTCACCCAGGCTGGAGCGCAGTGGTGCAATCTCAACTCACTGCAACCTCCACCTCCCTGGCTCATGCCATTCTCCTGCCTCAGCCTCTGAGTAGCTGGGACTACAGTTGCCTGCCACCATGCCTGGCTAATTTTTTTGTATTTTTAGTAGAGATGGGGTTTCACCATGTTAGCCACGATAGTCTGGATCTCCTGACCTTGTGATCCTCCTGCCTTGGCCTCCCAAAGTGCAGGGATTATAGGCATGAGCCACCGCGCCTGGCCAGTTGTGCAGTTTTGAATAGGTTTCTTAATCCTGAGTTCTAATTTGATTGTACTGTGGTCTGAGAGACAAGTTTGTTGTGATTTCTCTTTTTCACATTTGCTTAGGAGTGCTTTACTTACAACTATGTGGTCAATTTTGGAATAAGTGCGATGTGGTGCTGAGAAGAATGTATATTTGTTGATTTGGTGTGGAGAGTTCTGTAGATGTCTATTAGGTCCACTTGGTGCAGAGCTGAGTTCAAGTCTTGGATATCCTTGTTAACCTTCTGTCTCGTTGATCTGTCTAATATTGACAGTGGGGTGTTAAAGTCTCCCATTATTATTGTGTGGGAGTCAGGGTCTCTTTGTAGGTCTCTGTGGACTTGCTTTATGAATCTGGGTGCTCCTGTGTTGGGTGCCTATATATTTAGGATAGTTAGCTCTTCTTGTTGAATTGATCCCTTTACCATTATGTAATGGCCTTCTTTGTCTCTTTTGATCCTTGTTGGTTTAAAGTCTGTTTTATCAGAGACTAGGATTACAACCCCTGCTTTTTTTTGCTTTCCATTTGCTTGGTAGATCTTCCCCCATCCCTTTATTTTGAGCCTATGTGTGTCTTTGCACGTGAGATGGGTTTACGTGCTGAATATAGCACACTGATGGGTTTTGACTCTTTATCCAATTTGCCAGTCTATGTCTTTGAATTGGGGCATTTAGCCCATTTACATTTAAAGTTAATATTGTTATGTGTGAATTTGGTCCTGTCATTATGATGTTAGCTGGTTATTTTTCCCATTAATTGATGCAGTTTCTTCATAGCATTGATGGTCTTTACAATTTGGCATGTTTTTTCAGTGGCTGGTACCAGTTGTTCCTTTCCATGTTTAGTGCTTCCTTCAGGAGCTCTTGTAAGGCAGGCCTGGTGGTTATAAAATCTCTCAGCATTTGCTTGTCTGTAAAGGATTTTATTTCTCCTTCATTTATGAAGCTTAGTTTGGCTGGATATGAAACTCTGGGTTGAAAATTCTTTTCTTTAAGAACGTTGAATATTGGCCCCTACTCTTTTCTGGCTTGTAGAGTTTCTGCTGAGAGATCTGCTGTTAGTCTGATGGGCTTCCCTTTGTGGGTAACCTGATCTTTCTCTCTGGCTGCCCTTAACATTTTTTCCTTCATTTCAACCTTGTTGAATCTGACCATTGTGTGTCTTGGGGTTGCTTTTCTCGAGGAGTATCTTTGTGGTGTTCTTTGTGTTTCCTGAATTTGAATATTGGCCTGCTTCACTCAGTTGGGGAAGTTCTCCTGGATAATATCCTGCAGAGTGTTTTCCAACTTGGTTCCATTCTCCCCATCACTTTCAGGTACACCAATCAAACGTAGATTTGGTCTTTTCACATAGTCCCATATTTCTTGGAGGCTTTGTTCATTTCTTTTTACTCTTTTTTCTCTAAACTTCTCTTCTCACTTTATTTCATTAATTTGATCTTTAATCACTGATACCCTTTCTTCCACTTGATCGAATTGGCTATTGAAGCTTGTGCACACGTCACTTAGTTCTCATGCCATGGTTTTCAGCTTCATCAGGTCATTTAAGGTCTTCTCTACACTGTTTATTCTAGTTAGCCATTCGTCTAATCTTTTTTCAATGTTTTTAGCTTCCTTATAATGGGTTCGAACACCCTCCTTTAGCTCAGAGAAGTTTGTTATTACCGACCTTCTGAAGCCTACTTCTGTCAACTTGTCAAAGTCATTCTCCGTCCTGCTTTGTTCAGTTGCTGGCGAGGAGCTGTGATCCTTTGGAGGAGAAGTGTTCTGGTTTTTAGAATTTTTAGCTTTTCTGCTCTTGTTTCTCCCCATCTTTGTGGTTTTATCTACCTTTGGTCTTTGATGTTGGTGACCTACAGATGGGGTTTTGGTGTGGATGTCTTTTTTGTTAATGTTGATGCTATTCCTTTCTGTTTGTTGGTTTTCCTTCTAACAGTCAGGTCCCTCAGCTGCAGGTCCGTTGAAGTTTGCAGGTGGTCCACTCCAGACCCTTTTTGCCTGGGTATTGCCAGCAGAGGCTGCAGAACAGCAAATATTGCAGAACAGCAAATATTGCTGCCTGATCCTTCCTCTGGAAGTTTTGTCCCAGAGGGGCATCCACCTGTATGAGGTGTCAGTTGGCCCCTAGCCCCTACTTGGAGGTGTCTGCCAGTTAGGCTACACGGGGGTCAGGGACCCACTTGAGGAGGCAGCCTGTACATTCCCAGAGCTCAAACACTGTGCTGGGAGAACCACTGCTTCTTCAGAGCTGTCAGACAAGGACGTTTAAGTCTGCAGAAGTTTCTGCTGCCTTTTGCTCAGCTATGCCCTTCCCCCAGAAGTGGAATCTATAGAGGCAGCAAGCCTTACTGCGCTGTGGTGGACTCTGCCCAGGTTCAAGCTTCCTAGCCACTTTGTTTACCTACTCAAGCCTCAGCAATGGCAGAATCCCCTCTCCTGTCAGGCTGCTGCCTCACAGGTTGATCTCAGACTGCTGCACTAGCAGCGAGCATGGCTCCGTGGGCATGGGACCCACTGAGCCAGGCACAGGATATAATCTTCTGGTGTGCTGTTTGCTAAGACGATTGGAAAAGTGCTGTATTTGAGTGGGAGTGTCTCATTTTTCCAGGTAGTCTCTCTTGGCTTCCCTTGGCTAGGAAAGGGAAATCCTCCGACCCCTTGCACTTCCCAGGTGAGGTGATGCCCTGTCCTGCTTTGACTCACCCTCTGTGGGCTGCACCCATTGTCCAACCAGTCCCAGTAAGATGAACCAGGTATCTCAGTTGGAAATGCAGAAATCACCTGTCTTCTGTGTTGATCACACTGGGAGCCGCAGACTGGAGCTGTTCCTATTCAGCCATCTTGGAATGGACCCTCCATATCACATATGTTTAATAGATGGTATTCTTGTTGATGGAGTCCCTTCATTGTAATTACAGTAGAGATTCCTGATCATAGCAGCAGGAAAGAGCCAATAGGCTTATCAAACCAGTTTGTTGCAAACCAACTGCCCCTTTCTCCAGAAGTATCTGTGGGCAGGCTTGAAGCTGTCTGCCATGCCACCTTGCTGTTAGCCTGGGTGTTCATATGGGGCTCAATTTGCAGCCTTCTCCACAACCCTAGGACACATTTCCACACTCCTACTGAGGTATCTCTGCCTGAAAACCCCATGCATGGAAAGGTGCCCATGAAACTGCCAAAGGGGTTTCAGAGATTAGGACAGTATAAAGAAATTGAGCTAACAGTAATAAAAATAATGATTAGGTTTGTCTGTATCCCCACACAAATCTCATCTTGAATTCCCATGTGTTGTGGGAGAGACCTGGTGGGAAGTAATTGAATCATGGGGGCTGGTCTTTCCCATGCTGTTCTCATGATAGTAAGTAAGTCTCATGAGATCTGATGGTTTTATAAGGGGGAGTTTCCCTGCACAAGCCCTCTCTGCCTGCTGCCATCCATGTAAGATGTGACTTGCTCCTCCTTGCCTTCTGCCATGATAGTGAGGCCTCCCCAGTCATATGGAAATGTAAGTCTATTAAACCTCTTTCTTTTGTAAATTGCTCAGTCTTGGATATGTCTTTATCAGCAGCATGAGAACAGACTAATACAAATAATGTATGTGCATGTATACATATACACACACGTGTATGTATGTGTAGAGTATACCTATATGTGTGTGTATGTATGTACATATGCTTATATGTGTACATGTATTTCATTATATTTCAGCTTTTATTATGAGACTTGATTCTCTAGAGTGCCATTCATGGAAATGCCACTCTAAATGCTTCCTAGAGGAAAGCAAAGAGCAAAAGAACAGGAGGGACACAACAAAAACACTGCCAAAGATGAGACAGATTTTCTTCTGAGATTAGTGAGATGAAACTAATGAGAGGAGGAACATCCCAGAGAAGAAATTGTTCATCCAGGTCAGCATTTCCCAAAACTCATTTTCTGGAATTCCAGTCCTAGGGGGTTAGTAGGTTCTAGCTGACATAGAACAAAGTATTCTATGCTCAAATGAGGTTTTTGAAACCCTGGGTTATCCAAGATAAACTGGTTTCTTTTCTGCAGGACTTCTAAGGTCTTTCAACATGGTAATAAGCCCTTTAACTCCAAGAGTGGGCAAGAGGATGGGGCATTTCTCAACATACTTGATGACAGAACTTTTCTTTGCAGACACAATAAAAGGCTGGTTTTGCAGGAACAACTGGTAAAGGTTGTTTTACTTTGAGTCTTGAAACATGGATATTTATAGCATAAATTTGAGAATACTAGGAATAAACACACATAATTGTAGGAGTAGGCTTAACAAAATAAAAGTTTCATCATACCACCATTCAAAGGTTCAATAGGAAGCAGTTCTTTATGAAATGTCTTGACCCAGAAATTGGGAGACACAGAAAATGTAGAGGCTTTTAAAGAAATTTGATTCATGCTTGTAATGTACAGGCATCAGTTTTATGCTTTTTCTTTGAAGCTGTTTTGGAGATAAATAACTGTTCAGTAACCATACAGAATTTATGAGGGAAAAATTATAAATTCAAGATACTGACTTGATTTATTTTAAATTGTCTTCCCACATTCAAGAGGATGTCAGAGAGGACAAGGAGCCCTGCTTTATCACGTTCCTTCTTCTGTCAGGAAAAAGAGGTCACTGCTGACCATCATTTCTATTCACAACTCACATTCCAGCCATATCCTTACATACCCTTATAACCACTCCCTTCTCTGGAACCTCACCCTATCAATTACCCCTCTTTGAATCTGTCACTTTTCACCGTATCCTTCCTTCCTGTCTATATTTCTCAGTTTTATAAAATGAATCTTCTCTACTGACCTCTTTCTCTTTACTACCCATTCTCTCAAAGAATAATCTGTGCTCTGCCTCCTTTACTTTTTTATTTTGCCTCAATCCTCGAACTTTTTCAAGCTGGTTTTTGTTAAAAAGACCTCTTCAAATAGAAAATATTTGCAAATTATATATCTGGTAAGGATTTAATATCGAGAACATATAAAGAACTCCTAAAGGTCAACAACAAGAAGACAACCAAATTAAAAAATGGGCAAATGACTTAAATGAACATTTCTCCAAAGATATACGTGGCCAACAAGCACATGAAAATATGTTCAACACCTCTAGTCATCAGGGAAATGCAAATCAAAACCACAATGAGGTATTACTTTATACCTGTGAGGATGGCTATACATTTTTCTTTCTTTTTTTTTTTTTTTTTGTGACGGAGTCTCACTCTGTGCCCCAGGCTGGAGTGCAATGGCATGATCTTGGCTCACTGCAACCTCCACCTCCCGGGTTCAAGTGATTCTCCTGCCTCAGCCTCCCAAGTAGCTGGGATTATAGGCACCTGCCACCAAGCCTGGCTAATTTTTGTAGTTTTAATAGAGACGGGGTTTCACCAGGTTGGCCAGGCTGGTCTCGAACTCCTGACCTCAGGTGATACAACCACTTCAGCCTTCCAAATTGCTGGGATTACAGGCATGAGCCACTGCGCCTGGCTGGCTATAATTTTTAAAAAAGGAAAAATAGGCCAGGCATAGTGGCTCAAGCTGTAATCCCAGTACTTTGGGAGGCCGAGGCAGGTGGATCACAAGGTCAGGAGAGAGAGAGCATGCTGGCCAACCTGGTGAAACCCTGTGTCTACTAAAAATACAAAAATTAGCTGGGAGTGGTGGCATGCACCTGTAATCCCAGCTACTCAGGAGGCTGAGGCAGGAGACTCACTTGAACATGGGAGGTGGAGGTTGTAGTGGGCTGAGATCATGCCACTGCACTCCATCCTGCGTGACAGAGCGAGACTCCATCAAAAAAAAAAAAGGAAAAATAACGAGTGTTGTAGAACCCTTGTTGGTTGCCACATTGCTCTTGGAAATGTACAATGTTATAGTCGCTATAGAAAAGTCAGTAGTTTCTCAAAAAACTAAACATAGAACTATCACATGATTCAGCAATTTCATTGGTAGGTACACCCTAAAGAATTGAAAACAACAGCGAATGAACAGATATTTGTACAGCCTTATTCATTACAACATTATTCACAATAATTAAAAGGCGGTGGAAATAACCAATATGTTCATCAACCGATGAATGGATAAACAAAATATGGTACAGTATATGCATACAATAGGATATTATTCATCCATAAAAGGGAATGAAGTATTGACACATGCTATAGCACAGGCAAACCTTGCAAACATTCGTCTAAGTGAAATAAGTTAAACACAGAAAGACACGTATTGTATGATCCCACTTACATGAAAGATCTAGAATAAGCAGAGTCCTAGAGACAGAGAATTAGAAGTTACTAGGGGCCCAACATCGTGAATGGAATGAACACCACTGAATTGTACACATGGGAATAGTTTAAATGACACATTTTGTGTTATATATATTTGACTACCAAAAAAGAGATCTCTTTCAAAAAACTTTCAAAAAACTTTGAAAGAGATCTCTTTCAAAAAACTGAGGCAGGACAGAAATCTGTGGGTTTTGCAGGATCTTTATCAGTTGCTCAGAAGCCACATTCTCAGAGAGAGCATTCCTGATGACTTGATTTAAAGTTACCACCCTCTCCCACCTTAGCATCCTC
Organism: Homo sapiens; assembly: GCF_000001405.40. Classification (NCBI taxonomy): domain Eukaryota; kingdom Metazoa; phylum Chordata; class Mammalia; order Primates; family Hominidae; genus Homo; species Homo sapiens. The sequence continues at coordinate 97,668,843 of NC_000012.12, read as the reverse complement.
TATGCCTCTTCCTTGCTTTATTTGCCGCCATAATACTTATCTAGCTGAAATATTGTGTATTTTAAATTAATTTTGTTTTCTTAGTGTATCTCTCCTAGCTAGAATGTAAGCTTTATGAGAGTAGAGATTTTTACCTGGATTTTTTTCCCCCTCTTCTATATCCTCAGTGTCTAGAGCTGTGGCTGGCATTGTGTTGGCCTCGAAAAAAAAATCTCTGTCGAATGACAGATCAGTGAAAACATTCCTAGAAGAGTCTCAAATAGTCCCCAAATGGATCTAGTCTTTCTTATTTTTTGTGCTTTAGATGCCCTTTGAACAAGACAAGGGTTTATTCCACTATCCTATAATAAAATCAAAGCAAAGACTGAGGAGAATGAGGAATGGTGTGAGGTGAGAACATTGCTTATAATGAAATACGTTAGAAGATGAGGCTAGCAGCTGAAATAGTTTTTTTAAATCTACTTTTTAAAATAAAAATGCCATGATTGCATTTTTAAAATATTTGCAATTCCCTCTGCTAACCTAACCAGAAGCAGTCTGGGCTCCAAGGATCTTCTCTGAGCATGCCTACATTTTCCAAGGATTAAGCAACAACAACAACAACAACAACAACAACAACAACAACGAAACCCCAAAAGTAACCATTTTTATTTGCTAAATGGTAGCATTGAGAAAATGAGAAGAGGAGGTCAAGAAGAAAATCCTCCCCATCTAAGTTTCTGGAGGTTTCCTTTGCTAGAAAAGCCCAGGTGTCTGGACAGTGAGCCAGGTGTACTCCCATTGTTAGGTTCAGCTGCCAGTTCCTGCTCTTGGTGCTACTACTTGAACCCAGAGGAAGCCTCCCAGCTGCTCAGGCCGCCCTGTGTGCCCCTGCCCTGGCCTCCTTCTTCCCTCCTTCCTGGCCTCCCTCTTCGCTCTGCGCTCACCAGCCTTGTTAACCTGCCTTGGCCCCTAGATTCTGAGTCCCTGCGGAATGCAGGCCATGTAAGATGATGCTCCTTCTTTCTCTCCCTCAGTCCTTACCTCAAGCAGATGCTCATTATGTGTCTGTCCAACCATTCCAGTTGAAAAAGGAGTTCCAAATAATGAATTAGGCATGTTGTCAGCACAAATCCACAGGCATTCAAAAGGTCTAAAATTATTAAAACCTTTGTGGTCTGCTGAAAATTGATGTTATAATTCAAGGCTTAATTCAAATATCTCCTCTGGTTTGAAGCCTTTCCTGCACAACCCCCTGTCCTCCCTGAGAACTTTGTGCGCCCCTCTACAGAGCTAAGTTATTGCATGTTGCTGCTCTTTCTATTCTGCAAACCCCTCTAGGATAAAAACAATGTTTATGTGTATCAGTATGCCCTGTTCCTAGCTTCCTGCCTGTGTAAAGCAATATTCAATATGAATTTGTTGAATTTCTCTGATTATCTCTGTCTGCTTGCCTTCCTCACCCTCTATCTCTCCCCCTCTCCTTTCCTCTTTTTGTCTTTCCATCCAGCTTCTCAGCTTCTTTTCCTTCCCTCCCTCCCTCCCTCTTCCCTCCCTTCCTTCCTTCCTTTCCTCCTTCCTTTCTTCCTTCCTCTTCCCTTCTCTTCTGCTTGCCTGCCTGCCTTCCTTACTGCCTTCCTTCCTTCCTTCCTTCCCACCTCCTTTCTTTTCTTCCTTCCCTTTTTCTTTCCTTTCCTCCTTCCTTCTAAGACCTAAATCTGGAACTTTTAATGGACTCTTCAGCAGCTGAGCCATGAAGGTACGTACCAGGATTTGTTCATTTTCCCAGGAATCCTTCTACCTGCCTAAACATCTTACTCCTCACTCTATTTTCATCTCTTTATCAGAATCAATGGTTCTTAACTAGGGAGTTGGATTGCTAAATATCCAGCACAAAATTATGTGTGCACATCTGCATATGTGTATATGCATGTGTGTGCACATGTATGTGTACATGTAAGTGTGCATGCATTCATAGTGTGAAGAGAGGATCCAAAGGAATCTTTGAGCCCTGCCTCCCCCAATCCTCCAAAAGTTAAGAACTTTGATACTTTATTTTATTATGATATAAAAGATAAATTTATTTTTATAAATACAAGGCATGAAAAAGATAAAAACCATTTAAAATGTTTCCACAGTCTTCAAAGCACTCATCTACCCATAGGTGAGGCTTTAAGGAGATTCTTGTAATCAAAAGTGGAATAGTGACCTGAACATTGTATCAGGATAGCAAATCTACACTCTTGATAACTGCACAGAACTGTGATAAGCTGTGTCTTACATTCCAGGAAATGTGCAATACTCTGAACAAGCTGACAGATTTAGGGTTTTATCCAGAAACAAATTATCTTTGTTTGTCACTGACCGGCGGAAGTTCCAGTTTCTTGAGTTGTGCAGCCTTGAAAGGCATTTCCTGTTTGAAAAGGAAGTGCACCATGGCTGCCTCGGATGGATGAGGGCATTTAATGGGTATGTGGTCAATGTATATGTGCCAGTCTGAGAAATCATTGGGAGTAATTATGAATATCTTAGATGCCTAGTATTTGATGGCTTGTGCAGCCACTGGCATCTTATTCGATAGGGACTTGTTCATCCAACCCTCACCCTTGGTAGGCTGGTCATTAGCCATTCAGAGCTTTAATTTAAAAAAAAGAAAGACAAGATCAGAGGCTCTCTTTAGGGGACAGCTCTATTTCAGTGGTTAGCAGAAGAAAGAAAAGAACTGTTCATGCCAAATGAAGATTTTCTTCCCTCTTTAAACATGTGTAGTTGAAGAAGGTCATATAAAAAAGTGTGCATTCACTTTCAGGCAGTGCCAGAGGAATCCTTTCTCACTCAGTGAAATCAGGGGATGGCTCTCTTGCTACAAAAATATTGATGAAATGGGAGGTTCTGGGGCTGAACTGTCAGGAGGCTTGGCTTGAGACCCTATTCTCCCTAACCAATTGCATGGTCTTTGGTAATCATTTGACCTCTTACAATAATATCACCTTTACTGAATAAAAGATTGTCTATGTTATTACATTCTATTCTCAAATGAAAAGAGTGTTTATTGACTCTAATCTATAGAAGAGGAAACTGATATAACATGAGGTTAGATAATTGGTTCAAAATCCTACACTTAATATGTGGGGAGCAGAGTCTCCATCTAACCCCAACGTTTATTTCTTAGTCTGCTACTCCCAACTGCTTCTCCCTCAAGGATAATCAACAAGGTTTATCCTTCTGGGTTTTTCTTTGGGATGTTTTTTCTAAGCAGATGGTGATAATAATAAGACCTATCATCTTTTTTCCATGTGCATATACTTACAATTGGTCAGGTGCTGTGCTAAATAAAACCTTTCCTCAGAAACTCAAATGAAGAAGATATTAGTCAAGGTTCTTCAGAGAATCAGAACCAATAGGAGACATGTAGATATAAATAAAGACATTTATTATCAGGATTTGGCACACATGATTTTGAAAACTAAGTCCCAAGATCTGTAGTTGGCAAGCTGGAGACCCAGGAGAGCTGGTGTTGTAAGCTCTAAATGAAGTCCAAAAGCAGGGGAAAACCAATATCCCAACTTGAAGAAAATCAGGCAGCAAGAGACCAAATTCTCCATTCCTTGGCCTTTTCGTTGTATCCAGGCCTTCAACAGATTGGATAAGGCCCATTTGCATTGGGGAGAGCAATCTACTTTACTCAGTCTACCAATTTGAATGTTAATTTCATCCAGAAACACCATCACAGACACATCTAAAATAATGTTTAACCACATACCTGGGCACCCAGTGGCCTAATCAAGTTGACACGTAAAATTAACCACCACAATCCCCCTAATATTTTTTAAGAGAAGAGAAAGCTGAGACTCTAAAGAGGTTGCCCAGTGTCATCAGTTTATGAGAGGCAGATGTGATATTTAAGAATTATGTCCTATCATGAAATAATATGCACCCATAAAAAAGAATGAGATCATGTATTTTGCAGGAACATGGATGGAGCTGGAGGCCATTACCCTTAGCAAGCTAATGCAGGAAGAGAAAACCAAACACTGCATGTTCTTATCTGCTAGTGGAAGCTAAATGATGAGAACCCATGGACACAAAGAGGGAACAACAGACACTGGGGCCTACTTGAGGATGAAGTGTAGGATGAAGGAGGGGATCAAAAAAAAATAACTACTGGGTACTAGGCTTGGTATTTGGGGATGAAAAAATCTGTACAACAATACCCCATGACACAAGTTTACCTGCGTAACAAACCTGTACATGTACCCCTGAAATTAAAATAAAAGTTAACAAAAAAAAAAACAGAAAAAAGAAAGACAAAAGCACAAACTAAGGAAGCGTTATCCAGAATTATACTGTTCAAAGTAAAAACAGATACAAATTATGCTTACACTATTATTGAAAGGTTGCAAAACCAACAGCAAATTAAAGATAAATATTATACCAGGGAAAAAAAAGAATTTTATTTTATGTTGCTAAAGCCCAGTTTCTCATCAGCTCCTCCTTTCTCTTATCCATACTTGTTTAAGTAGGCTTTATCCTTCTAGACAGTGACAATAAATGGGAAAGGTAATTGGGTAAGGCAGTTGTGATAATTCCTAGTAAACCAAGTTAATTTACAAAGCCATGAGGTGTGAGTTATGAGCTCTATTATCTACATGTCCTAGAGTTTCCTTGCCTGAAGTGATGGCTCCAGGTGGAACAGGTAAGATACTGAAGAATCACTAACATACACCTACTTCAATGATATCAGAAAGAAATGGAACAGGTCAGCAACCAAGAGAGTCTCCAGCCCACATTTATTTATGACTCAAGCCCATCTCCTAATGATTTCATCCTTTATTGCACATACACCTCAACCCTACAAATTTAATTCCAATACCTCCTCTCAGATGGAGCTAACTAGCCACATGGTACTCTGAACCTAATTATTTTTGCACCATTTGCATTTTTTATTGCATCATTAACATGAGGAGGGTACTCATTGCTAGGGCAACTAGGAGTGATGCCAGCATCACTTGGTCTTAGCCAAAATCTTCATCTCAGTTGGAATTGTTGGTATCCAACAATATCCTTGGCTCCCATTTGTGGTCACAAAAGTTTAAACACTCTGTAGTGCTCTCTGTATATGTGAATTTCTACCAATACTTTCCACTAATTAACTGATAACTTTTTCTACTCATACCAACTAAGTCCAATATATTTCCCTTCTTTGAAGCAACAGTTTCTCCTCTGTTATTCAGCTTTGGAGTTTGACTTTTCAGCCTCTTTATTTGGAAAAGCAGGATAGTAATATCTACATTGATGACTCCATGGGCTCATGAAACATGCATGCAATACCTTGAATTCTTCTACAGTTACTTTTTCTTATTTCAATTTTAATTTTATCCAAATAATATATGCAACATTTTCATACTGATAAAGTGATTCACTTGTGATTCTCACTTCTCTTGGGCAATCACTTTCAGTTTTCCTTTAGTGTTTCTTTTGTTATTTGCCTCCATATTTCCAAAATATATCCTTTGTAAAAGTCATGCTAGGTTTGGTCTCTATGGGTCACATGGCTTGGTTTTCATGTTTATATATAGTTTCTCAATTTTCTATAGAAATTTTCACTCCATATCCAAACCCCAGCTATGTCTGGCATCCTCAACTAAATAATATCTTTATTTCAACCTTTCCAGAGAGTAAACTTTTTGTCTTATCCTGAGTGGGCAGACCTATGCACTCTGATGAAAGGTTTTAACAGTCCAAACAGGAGTTAGTAAAACTATGGCCTATGGGCCAATCTGATCTGCTTCTTATTTTGTAAATAAAATCTTATTGGAGTACAGTTAAGCCCTTTCATTTAAGCATTGTCTACAGCTCCTTTCACACTGCAACAACAGAATCAAATAGTTGTGACAGAGACCATAGGATGCATAATATGGGTTGTCTGTGTCTCCATCCAAATCTCATCTTGAAATGTAGCTCCCATAATCCCCACGTCATGGGAGGGACCTGGTTGGAGGTAATTGAATCATAGGGGTGGGTTTTCCTATGCTGTTCTCATGATAGTGAATAAGTCTCATGAGATCTGCTGGTTTTAAAAAGGGCAGTTCCCCTGCACATGCTCTCCAGCCTGTCACCATGTAAGATGTGCCTTTGCTCCTCCTTTGCCTCCCGCCACGATTGTGAGACCTCCCCAGCCATGTGGAACTTTGGGTCCATTAAACCTTTTTTTCTTTATAAATTACTCACTCTCAAGTATTTCTTCATAGCAGTATGAAAATGAACTAACACAGTAAATTAGTTCCAGTAGAGTGGGGTACTGCTATTAAGATACTCAAAAATGCGGAAGTGACTTTGGAACTGGCTAACGGGCAGAGGTTGGAACAGTTTGGAGGGCTCAGAAGAAGACAGGAAGATGTAGGAATGTTTGAGGCTTCCTAGAGACTTGTTTAATGGTTTTGACCAACATGCTGATAGTGATAGGGACAATGAAGTCCAGGCTGAGGTGGTCTCAGATGGAGATGAGGAACTTATTGGGAACCGGAGCAAAGGTGATTCTTGTTATGCTTTAGCAAAGAGACTTGCATCATTTTGCCCCTGACCTAGAGATCTGTGGAACATTGAACTTGAGAGAGATGATTTAGCGTATCTGGGGGAAGAAATTTCTAAGCAGCAAAGCTTTCAAGGGGAAGCAGAGCATAAAAGTTCGGAAAATTTGCAGCCTGACTATGCCATAGAAAAGAAAACCCCATTTTCTGGGGAGAAAATCAAGCCAGCTGCAGAAATTTGCATAAGTAATGAGGAGCCTAATGTTAATCACCAAGACAATGGAAAAATGTCTCCAGGGCATGTCAGAGACCTTCAAGACAGCCCCTCCCATCACAGGCCTGGAAGCCTAGGAGGAAAAAAAATGGTTTCCTTGACCAGGTCCAAGGCCTCCCTGCTGTGTGCAGCCTTGGACTTGATGCCCTGTGTTCCAGCCACTCCAGCCATGGCTAAAAGGGGCCAAGGTACAGCTTAGGCAGTGGCTTTGGAGGGTGCAAGCCCCAAGCCTTGAAAGCTTCCAAGTGATGTTGGTCCTGTGGATATGTAGAGGCAAGAATTGAGGTTTGAGAACCTCTTCCTAGATTTCAGAGGATGTATGAAAATGCCCAGATGTACAGGCAGAGGTGTGTTGCAGGGGTGGAGCCCTCATGGAAAACCTCTGCTAGGGCAGTGCAGAAAGGAAACAGGGAGTCAGAGCCCCTACACAAAGTACCCACTGGGGCATTGCCTAGTAGAGTTGTGAGAAGAGGCCACCATCCTCCAGACCCCAGAATGGTAGATCCACTGACAGCTTGCACCGCGTGCCTGGAAAAGCCACAGACACTCAATGCTAGCCCATGAAAGCAGCCAGGATGGGGGCTGTACCCTGCAAAGCCACAGGGGTAGAGCTGCCCAAGGCCCTGGGAGTCTACCTCTTGCATCAGTGTGACCTGGATTTGAGACTTGGAGTCAAAGGAGATCATTTGGGAACTTTAAGGTTTAATGACTGCCCTATTGGATTTTGGACTTGTGTGGCCTGCAGCACCCTTTTTTTGGCCAATTTCTCCCATTTGGAATGGCTGTATTTACCCAATGCCTATACCCCCACTATATCTAGGAAGTAACTAACTTGCTTTTGATTTTGCAGGCTCAAGGTGTAAGGGACTTGCCTCGTCTCAGGTGAGACTTTAGGCTTGGACTTTTGAGTTAATGCTGGAATGAGTTAAGACTTTGGGGGACAGTTGGGAAGGCATGATTTATTTTGAAATGGGAGGACATGAGATTTGCGAGGGGCCAGGGCAGAATGATGTGGTTTGACTACGTCCCCGCCCAAATCTCCTCTTGAATTATAGTTGCTATAATCCCCAGGTATTGTGGGAGGGGTCTGGTGGGAGCTAATTGAATCATGAGGACGGTTACCTCCATGCTATTCCTGTGATAGTGAGTGAGTTCTTATGAAATCTGATGGTTTTGTAAGGGGCTTTCCCCACCCCGTGCCCCTTTGCTTGTTCTTCTCCTCATTACTGCCCGTGAAGAAGGATGTGTTTGCTTCCCCTTCAACCATGATCGTAAGTTTCCTGAGGCCTCCCAGGCCATGCAGAACTGTGAGTCAATTAAACCTTTTTCCTTTATAAACTACACAGTCTCGGGTATATCTTTATTAGTAACGTGAGAACAGACTAATACAATGCACAATACCTAAAATATTTACTATCTGGTCTTCTATAGACTGAATGTTTATGTCCCCACAAAACTCATATGTTGAAAACCTAATGACATACATGATGGTATTAGAAGGTAGAGGCCTTTGGGAAATAATTAGATCGTGAAGGCAGAACCCTTATCAATGGGATTAGTGTCCTTATAAAAGAGGCCCCAGAGAGCTTCCTTGACCCTTTTCTACCAGGTGATATTACAAAAGAAGACATCTCTCACCAGACACCAAATCTATTGCTGCCTTGATCTTGGACTTCCCAGCATCTGGAACTGTGAGAAATAGATTTCTGTTGTTTATAAGCCACCCAGTTTATGGTGTTTTGTTGTAGTGCCATGAACAGACTAATACATGGCTCTTTACAGAAAAATTTTGTCAGCCCACAAACTATACTTATATACTTTCAATAAATACATCTATTTCTAACTTATCCTGCACTACCAACTTCAAAATTATCTGGTGCCTTCTACTCTTGAAACCTTCCAGGAATCTGTGTTACAGTATTAATCAGGTTCCTTCTTAACAGCATTTCCCCACTACCTGCAGTTGAGTTTCAGTGTTCTACTCCCTGATATATCAGTTACCATTTGAATCAATTGCTCATCTGAATCCTATCTTCTAAAAAATAAATTGCTGTCTCTGCAGTTGTTTTAACTCACATTCTTGTCCTTGAAGATTTATGCCACTTTTCTTGCCTCAGTGTTCTTTTAGTGGGGTTGAGAAATTTATCAATTAGTACTTTTCAGAAAATGATAAGCCGCACAAGGTATTTCAAGCAGGAAATAATTTAATTTAGGCAATGTAAACGTTTAGGACACTGTGGAAAGGGCAGGAGTTTCAAAGATTAAACAAACCCTCTACTTGTTCTCAGGTTCACCATTAGCTGTCAGAGTTGGAAAGTTGCAGAAATCACAGGAAACCACAAGTGACCATCAATAACATTTGTGACACTGAGTCAGGTGCAAAACTGCAAACCACCTGGAGGCAGCTGCAAACCTCACATCCACTGAGACTACACTTCTGCACATTCTTGCCAAAAGATCAACAATATCATGTCTACCTCCCTTCTACCTTTGCCCTAACCTGGAAACACTCTGGCAAGGGATTTTGGGAATGTGCTCCCAGGCATCTAGTCCCTGGAATACAGGGGAGGAACACAGAAGGGGCATGGTGTTGTGTTGCCAACAGCCTAGCGCAAGCAGAGATGAATAAGGAATTTCATTCTACCATATTTAACTTTTCAACTTCCACTTTTTCCTCTGTACCGTCAAGGTTTCCCTGAAGCCACAAGCTGCTCACTAGATGGAACATTGCACTCTGGGTACACAGACATGGGTTGGATACTTACAGTAGTGTGACCTTGGGCAAATCATTCAGCCTTGACTTCCTTTGGTCAAATGAAGAGAGAGAGAAAAACAAAAACCCAAAGACCTACTTTGGGAATGTTGTGAAGAGAATAAGATAGTGCATGCTAAATGTTTAATAAATTCTAAAATGCCACAAAAATGGAAAGTATAACTATGTAGACAAATTAAGTCTGGCTTATTTTTCCGACTCCAAAGAATAGCAATGTATATCTCCAGGGAATACGTCTACCTGTCAATCTCATCTTGGACTTCTTTTCATCTGTCCTTCATTAAAAAAAAAAAAAGCTATTTCAAATCCTAAATGTAGGAAAGTGTCACCATTATGCTATATCTATATCATTCTTCATCAGCCTATGGCAGATGTTCTGACAGATGAAACCATGGGCAGCTCTAAGACTTGAGGAAAAGGGGCTCAGAATCTTCTTTCTATTACACAGCCTTGTTTTCATGCACAAGCCTCAAGGTTACAAGACGTCATTTTTATTTTTATAATTCTAACTGTGGTTTCTTCTTGGAAATACCAATCTCAAATATTAAGTACATGTTACAGCAAAAATGAAATCTGTCAATATCTGTGGTATAATAATAAAAATTGTGCTTTCACTAATTTGAAAATGCTCCCTTTCTTCTCTTATTCAACGCTAGTCTTCTACCTTGATTATGGCTATTAGGAAATTAATGTGTATTGAAATGTGTGCTAGGGTTGTGACTCAATGGAGATTAGATTTGTATTTTGTGTTCACTCGTCTTTAGGATGAAGGGGCAGAACACATTATTGGAATTGTAAAAGGTGGGTTCTTTTAGAAGGATGAAGATGGAGGACTTTCAAATCACTGAAAGCAACTTTATTTAGATGTGTAGGCATAGGGTCATTGTTTTATTGTCAAAAAGAGGGTATATTCAAAGCTTATGTCATTTGAGAATTTAAAAGGAAAAACTTCTTATACTCTGGGAACATCCTTGGAGAGAAGGAAAAGAGTATGGTAATTCTGGGTTCACAAGAGGACAAATGTCAGAACCAATTCTGACACTTAGAGAACCTCCTGGAAGACCTATGCCCCAGGATAGGGCCTCCAAAGTATGATTCATAGACCCTTTGGGATAGTGAGTACATGAGGTTAAAACTATTTTCATAATACAGTAAAGCATTATTCACCTTTTTTTCTTAAGCTGTGTTGGCATTTGCTCCAATAATGTAAAAGCAAAACCAATGGTGGGTCAAACTTAGCACAAATCAAGACAGTGGCACCAAACTACTGGTAGCTATGATATTCTTCACAGCCCCACATTTACATTTTTTAAAAACCAGTTTTATTTAAGAATTCCTTTGATGAAGCAACAAAAATTAATCTCTTTATTAAACATTGGCCCTTGAGTTGCCTTGTCCTTTTAGGACACTTTGTGACTAAATTAGAAACACCTACAGAGCAAAACTGCTGCATGCTGAGGAGTTATCGGGGGGAGAAGCACTCGTGTGATTATTGGAGTTGCCAGCTGAACTAGTTACTTTTGTCATAGAATACCATTTTTACTTAAAAGAATGACTGACAGATGAATTACAGTTATTCTGACTTGGGTATTCAATGGATATTTTCTAAAAAATTAATGCCTCTAAGGACTTTCTCAGTTTTAGCATTGAAACTCTAGCATTTCCCCAGGAGCCCCTTAGTCTTGGGTGAATAGGGTGGTTGGTCGTCCTAAGTGAATCTGTCATTTTGAGAAAAACACTGACAGTATCTGTTGTCAATGATAATATTTGAGCTTTCAAGCAAAAATTAGAAATTTGGAAAACTTGTATTGACCACCATAAGACTGACAGCTTTCCAAATCTTAAAGACTTTTCTGACAAGATGAAGGTGATATTAGTAAATATAATATTTTATGTTGCATAATAAAATGTATCAACATTTGGAAGATCTGCATATCTCAGTGAACCAATATTTTCAATATTTTCCAAAAGGCAAATGCATGATATTACAGTTTTGCATGGATAAAAGACTGATTAAAATACAAGACAAGCAGATGAATTTAATATAACAGAGCCTGAAGAGTTTACTGATATGGTTTCAGTTTCTACATGACAACTAACCATTAAGAAACTACTACTTTGGGAGGAGCCAAGATGGCCGAATAGGAACAGCTCCAGTCTACAGCTCCCAGCATGAGAGACACAGAAGATGGGTGATTTCTGCATTTCCATCTGAGGTACCGGGTTCATCTCACTAGGGAGTGCCAGACAGTGGGCACAAGTCAGTGGTTGCATGCACCGTGCACGAGCCAAAGCAGGGCGAGGCATTGCCTCACTTGGGAAGCGCAAGGGGTCAGGGAGTTCCCTTTCCGAGTCAAAGAAAGAGGTGACAGATGCACCTGGAAAATCGGGTCACTCCCACCCGAATATTGCGCTTTTCGGACCGGCTTAAAAAACGGCACACCACGAGATTATATCCCGCACCTAGCTCGGAGGGTCCTACGCCCACGGAGTCTCACTGATCGCTAGCACAGCAGTCTGAGATCAAACTGCAAGGCGGCAGCAAGGCTGGGGGAGGGGCGCCTGCGATTGCCTAGGCTTGCTTAGGTAAACAAAGCAGCCGGGAAGCTCGAACTGGGTGGAGCCCACCACAGCTCAAGGAGGCCTGCGTGCCTCTGTAGGCTCCACCTCTGGGGGCAGGGCACAGACAAACAAAAAGACAGCAGTAACCTCTGCAGACTTAAATGTCCCTGTCTGACAGCTTTGAAGAGAGCAGTGGTTCTCCCAGCATGCAGCTGGAGATCTGGGAACGGGCAGACTGCCTCCTCAAGTAGGTCCCTGACCGCTGACCCCCGAGCAGCCTAACTGGGAGGCACTCCCCAGCAGGGGCACACTGACACCTCACACGGCAGGGTATTCCAACAGACCTGCAGCTGAGGGTCCTGTCTGTTAGAAGGAAAACTAACAAACAGAAAGGACATCCACACCAAAAACCCATCTGTACATCACCATCATCAAAGACCAAAAGTAGACAAAACCACAAAGATGGGGAAAAAACAGAACAGAAAAACTGGAAACTCTAAAACGCAGAGCGCCTCTCCTCCTCCAAAGGAACGCAGTTCCTCACCAGCAATGGAACAAAGCTGGATGGAGAATGACTTTGACGAGCTGAGAGAAGAAGGCTTCAGACGATCAAATTACTCTGAGCTACGGGAGGACATTCAAACCAAAGGCAAAGAAGTTAAAAACTTTGAAAAAAATTTAGAAGAATGTATAACTAGAATAACCAATACAGAGAAGTGCTTAAAGGAGCTGATGGAGCTGAAAACCAAGGCTCGAGAACTACGTGAAGAATGCAGAAGCCTCAGGAGCTGATGCGATCAACTGGAAGAAAGGGTATCAGCAATGGAAGATGAAATGAATGAAATGAAGCGAGAAGGGAAGTTTAGAGAAAAAAGAATAAAAAGAAATGAGCAAAGCCTCCAAGAAATATGGGACTATGTGAAAAGACCAAATCTACGTCTGATTGGTGTACCTGAAAGTGATGGGGAGAATGGAACCAAGTTGGAAAACACTCTGCAGGATATTATCCAGGAGAACTTCCCCAATCTAGCAAGGCAGGCCAATGTTCAGATTCAGGAAATACAGAGAATGACACAAAGATACTCCTCGAGAAGAGCAACTCCAAGACACATAATTGTCAGATTCACCAAAGTTGAAATGAAGGAAAAAATGTTAAGGGCAGCAAGAGAGAAAGGTCGGGTTACCCACAAAGGGAAGCCCATCAGACTAACAGCGGATCTCTGGGCAGAAACCCTACAAGCCAGAAGAGAGTGGGGGCCAATATTCAACATTCTTAAAGAAAAGAATTTTCAACCCAGAATTTCACATCCAGCCAAACTAAGCTTCATAAGTGAAGGAGAAATAAAATCCTTTACAGACAAGCAAATGCTGAGAGATTTTGTCACCACCAGGCCTGCCCTAAAAGAGCTCCTGAAGGAAGCGCTAAACATGGAAAGGAAAAACTGGTACCAGCTGCTGCAAAATCATGCCAAAATGTAAAGACCATCGAGACTAGGAAGAAACTGCATTAACTAATGAGCAAAATCACCAGCTAACATCATAATGACAGGATCAAATTCACACATAACACTATTAACTTTAAATGTACATGGACTAAATGCTCCAATTAAAAGACACAGACTGGCAAATTGGATAAAGAGTCAAGACCCATCAGTGTGCTGTATTCAGGAAACCCATCTCACGTGCAGAGACACACATAGGCTCAAAATAAAAGGATGGAGGAAGATCTACCAAGCAAATGGAAAACAAAAAAAGGCAGGGGTTGCAATCCTAGTCTCGGATAAAACAGACTTTAAACCAACAAAGATCAAAAGACACAAAGAAGGCCATTACATAATGGTAAAGGGATCAATTCAACAAGAAGAGCTAACTATCCTAAATATATATGCACCCAATACAGGAGCACCCAGATTCATAAAGCAAGTCCTGACTGACCTACAAAGAGACTTAGACTCCCACACATTAATAATGGGAGACTTTAACACCCCACTGTCAACATTAGACAGATCAACGAGACAGAAAGTCAACAAGGATACCCAGAAATTGAACTCAGCTCTGCACCAAGCGGACCTAATAGACATCTACAGAACTCTCCACCCCAAATCAACAGAATATACATTTTTTTCAGCACCACAGCACACCTATTCCAAAATTGACCACATACTTGGAAGTAAAGCACTCCTCAGCAAATGTAAAAGAACAGAAATTATAACAAACAATCTCTCAGACCACACTGCAATCAAAGTAGAACTCAGGATTAAGAATCTCACTCAAAACTGCTCAACTACATGGAAACTGAACAACCTGCTCCTGAATGACTACTGGGTACATAACGAAATGAAGGCAGAAATAAAGATGTTCTTTGAAACCAACGAGAACAAAGACACAACATACCAGAATCTCTGGGACGCATTCAAAGCAGTGTGTAGAGGGAAATTTATAGCACTAAATGCCCACAAGGGAAAGCAGGAAATATCCAAAATTGACACCCTAACATCACAATTAAAAGAACTAGAAAAGCAAGAGCAAACACATTCAAAAGCTAGCAGAAGGTAAGAAATAACTAAAATCAGAGCAGAACTGAAGGAAATAGAGACACAAAAAATGCTTCAAAAAATTAATGAATCCATGAGATCCATGAGCTGGTTTTTTGAAAGGATCGACAAAATTGATAGACCACTAGAAAGACTAATAAAGAAAAAAAGAGAGAAGAATCAAATAGACGCAATAAAAAATGATAAAGGGGATATCGCCACTGATCCCACAGAAATACAAACTACCATCAGAGAATACTACAAACACCTCTATGCAAATAAACTAGAAAATCTAGAAGAAATGGATAAATTCCTCGACACATACACTCTCCCAAGACTAAGCCAGGAAGAAGTTGAATCTCTGAATAGACCAATAACAGGAGCTGAAATTGTGGCAATAATCAATAGTTTACCAACCAAAAAGAGTCCAGGACCAGATGGATTCACAGCCGAATTCTACCAGAGGTACAAGGAGGAACTGGTACCATTCCTTCTGAAACTATTCCAATCAATAGAAAAAGAGGGAATCCTCCCTAACTCATTTTATGAGGCCAGCATCATTCTGATACCAAAGCCGGGCAGAGACACAACCAAAAAAGAGAATTTTAGACCAATATCCTTGATGAACATTGATGCAAAAATCCTCAATAAAATACTGGCAAAACGAATCCAGCAGCACATCAAAAAGCTTATCCACCATGATCAAGTGGGCTTCATCCCTGGGATGCAAGGCTGGTTCAATATACGCAAATCAGTAAATGTAATCCAGCATATAAACAGAGCCAAAGACAAAAACCACATGATAATCTCAATAGATGCAGAAAAAGCCTTTGACAAAATTCAACAACCCTTCATGCTAAAAACTCTCAATAAATTAGGTATTGATGGGACGTATTTCAAAATAATAAGAGCCATCTATGACAAACCCACAGCCAATATCATACTGAATGGGCAAAAACTGGAAGCATTCCTTTTGAAAACTGGCACAAGACAGGGATGCCCTCTCTCACCACTCCTATTCAACATAGTGTTGGAAGTTCTGGCCAGGGCAATTAGGCAGGAGAAGGAAATAAAGGGTATTCAATTAGGAAAAGAGGAAGTCAAATTTTCCCTGTTTGCAGACAACATGATTGTATATCTAGAAAACCCCATCGTCCCAGCCCAAAATCTCCTTAAGCTGATAAGCAACTTCAGCAAAGTCTCAGGATACAAAATCAATGTACAAAAATCACAAGCATTCTTATACATCAATAACAGACAAACAGAGAGCCAAATCATGAGTGAACTCCCATTCACAATTGCTTCAAAGAGAATAAAATAGCTAGGAATCCAACTTACAAGGGATGTGAAGGACCTCTTCAAGGAGAACTACAAACCACTGCTCAACGAAATAAAAGAGGATACAAACAAATGGAAGAACATTCCATGCTCATGGGTAGGAAGAATCAATATCGTGAAAATGGCCATACTGCCCAAGGTAATTTACAGATTCAATGCCATCCCCATCAAGCTACCAATGACTTTCTTCACAGAATTGGAAAAAACTACTTTAAAGTTCATATGGAACCAAAAAAGAGCCTGCATCGCCAAGGCAATACTAAGCCAAAAGAACAAAGCTGGAGGCATCACACTACCTGACTTCAAACTATACTACAAGGCTACAGTAAACAAAACAGCATGGTACTGGTACCAAAACAGAGATATAGATCAATGGAACAGAACAGAGCCCTCAGAAATAATGCCACATATCTACAACTATCTGATCTTTGACAAACCGGAGAAAAACAAGCAATGGGGAAAGGATTCCCTATTTAATAAATGGTGCTGGGAAAACTGGCTAGCCATACGTAGAAAGCTGAAACTGGATCCCTTCCTTACACCTTATACAAAAATCAATTCAAGATGGATTAAAGACTTAAATGTTAGACTTAAAACCATAAAAACCGTAGAAGAAAACCTAGGCATTACCATTCAGGACATAGGCATGGGCAAGGACTTCATGTCCAAAACACCAAAAGCAATGGCAACAAAAGACAAAATTGACAAATGGGATCTAATTAAACTAAGGAGCTTCTGCACAGCAAAAGAAACTACCATCAGAGTGAACAGGCAACCTGCAACATGGGAGAAAATTTTCGCAACCTACTCATCTGACAAAGGGCTAATATCCAGAATCTACAATGAACTCAAACAAATTTACAAGAAAAAAACAACCCCATCAAAAAGAGGGCGAAGGACATGAACAGACACTTCTCAAAAGAAGACATTTATGCAGCCAAAAGACACATGAAAAAATGCTCACCATCACTGGCCATCAGAGAAATGCAAATCAAAACCACAATGAGATACCATTTCACACCAGTTAGAATGGCAATCATTAAAAAGTCAGGAAACAACAGCTGCTGGAGAGGATGTGGAGAAATAGGAACACTTTTACACTGTTGGTGGGACTGTAAACTAGTTCAACCATTGTGGAAGTCAGTGTGACGATTCCTCAGGGATCTAGGACTAGAAGTGCCATTTGACCCAGCCATCCCATTACTGGGTATATACCCAAAGGACTATAAATCATGCTGTTATAAAGACACATGCACACGTATGTTTATTGCAGCATTTTTCACAATAGCAAAGACTTGGAACCAACCCAAATGTCCAACAATGATAGACTGGATTAAGAAAATGTGGCACATATACACCATGGAATACTATGCAGCCATAAAAAATGATGAGTTCATGTCCTTTGTAGGGAGATGGATGAAATTGGAAATCATCATTCTCAGTAAACTATCGCAAGAACAAAAAACCAAACACCGCATATTCTCACTCATAGGTGGGAATTGAACAATGAGATCACATGGACACAGGAAGGGGAATATCACACTCTGGGGACTGTGGTGGGGTGGGGTGAGGGGGGAGGGATAGCATTGGGAGATATACCTAATGCTAGATGATGATTTAGTGGGTGCAGCACACCAGCATGGCACACGTATACATATGTAGCTAACCTGCACAATGTGCACATGTACCCTAAAACCTAAAGTATAATAATAAAAAAAAAAAGAAACTACTACTTTTTAAGTTTCGGTATAGTATCATAAAACAATATCCATCATTGTCTGAAAAAGCAATTACATGCCCCTCCCTTTTCCAATGATGTGCCTGTGTCAGGCAAGGTTTTCTTCAACCAAAATAACAAATCGTGGCAAAATGAATGGAAGAAGATAGGAGAATCCAACTGTCTCTTATCAAGCCAATGATTAAAGAGTTTTGCAAAAATGCAAAAACATAATACATTTCTCACTAGAAATTTTTTACTTTGGAAAATATACTTTTTTACAGAAATGTATTATTTCTGTTAACATACAGTGGGTTTGCTATTTTCTATTTTTCAATAAATTAATAAATATTCTAAATGTATCCATTTTTCATTTTAAATGTGATAAGTATCAATAGGTGTAACCCACATAAACAAAAGCTCTTTGGGGACCTTAATAATTTTTAAGAATGTAAAGAAATCCTATAACCCACGTGTTTAAGAACCACAGCTCTAGGAAGAAGTGTGCTCACTAAATGGACCAAGACCTGATGCTAGAAGGCATTCTTCCTCTGGGAGTAGCAATTGGGAGAAGCAGGCCCTACCATTGCTTTCTGAGCTCTACCCACTCCTTTCTCTCTTTCAAGACATCCATACTCAAACATTTCTCAGTTGCTATGTGAATCGCCTTCCTTAGGCAGCTTCTGTGCATTAGTCATGATGGATTAAGGTCATCTGCTCAGCCACAGAAGCTGAGATAACAGGAAGCCAAACTGGAACCTCTCCACATCCAGTCTAGCTTTCTGTTATCCCAGCTTCTGACATGTCCCTCGGGTATATCTGTGATATTCAGAGGTTCCCTAGGTATGAAACCCCTGAATTCACTGTAAGTGTAGAGAATAATGGCAGAGGTGTTGGAGCATTAGTGCTTTGGAAGTCTTGGCCACATCCCTAATGGAATGTGTAAGGGACACCAAGGTCACAAAGGGAGAGGGTGATCTTTCCCTTAAAATTGAGAAAAGATGTTTCTCTGTTTTGTCAAATTACATATACAATAACATTTCTGAGGGCAATACATTACATTTCACATAATACATTAAAGATTATAGGCTGTGGAAGAAAATAACATCATTTTTTACTTTTCCTTCTTAAATATTAGTAAATTCATTTTCTTCTCATCTTTTACTTCATCTGCTTTTCCAGTCCCCAGTCCTGGATCAATTCAAATTTCCACTTCCTCTACCACTCTTCTCCACCATTTTTCTCCAACTATTAAGCACAGCTACAGATAATGCCATAGTGGTGCCAACTGGCACGATCATCAATGGATAGATGGTTTTCAAGACCAGCGGCACTCACAAGCTCTTCAGCAATTCTTTACTTTGCCCCTGGTGAGAGCCTTTTGTCTCTCCTATTTAGCTATTTCAACTTACTATCCTCCTCCATGCCAAGTCTCTTCAAAATTCTGCACCAGTGTTTTAGGGCAGGGATCCCCAACCCCTGGGCCACAGACAAGTACCAGTTGGCAGTCTGTTAAGAACTGAGCTGCACAGCAGGAGGTGAGCAGTGGGTGAGTGAGCAAAGCTTCTTCTGTATTTACAGCCACTCTTTATTGCTCCCATTACCACTGGAGCTCCACCTCCTGTCAGATCAATGGCAGAATTAGAGTCTCATAGAAGTGCAAATTTTATTGTGAACTGTGCAGGTGAGGGATCTGGGTTGTGTGCTTCTTATGAGAATCTAATGCCTGATGATCTGTCACTGTCTCCCATCACCTCCAGATGAAACCATGTAGTTGCAGGAAAACAAGCTCAGGGCTCCCACTGATTCTATGTTATGGTGAGTTGTTTTATTTATTATATATTACAATGTTATATTAATAGAAATAAAGTGCATAGTAAATGCAATGCCCTTGAATCATCCCGAAACCATCCCTCCCCAAGAGTCTGTGAAAAAATCGTCTTCCATGAAATCAGTCCCTGGTGCTAAAAAAGTTGGGGACCGCTATTTGAGAGAGACACTATGTTCAACAGAGCTCAGTTAACAGCATTAGTGAAAAAGATCCCTAGGACAATACCTGTGGAAAACACTGGGCCAAACAAAGTGAGAGAGATTTGTTTTCTGCAGAACTTCTAAGCAGGATTTTACCAGGCTAACATACGTCGTAACTCTCTGAGGAGAATCAGGATGTTTTGCAAACATCTGCCCACGTAATTATTTTTTTTCACATAGCCAGACTTAGGGGACTTGTTTCCATGAGACACCCTTAGGAAAATACTTATTCCTTCTGGCCATCTCTACTTTCATTTGTTTTAGATTATTTACTTCCTGAAATCAGTAATGACCTTCTTACTACTTCCACTTAAATATTCATAGACCTAATATTCAATACAGCATAATAGTGAAGCAAATATTTGGTAGAATCAAACATCCTAGGTTGGAATCCCGGCCCAGCCATTTACTAGATGTGTCACTTGGGGACTTAACCTCAAATAATTCTTAATCTTAAGAAATGTTTATTCTTCTTGTTTAAAATGATTCTGATTCTAGATGGTCCTTCTATCTTGGGAGAACAATACACATTTAAGAAATCAAAAGATTAGCTTTCCCATTAAAATATTTTTGTTTTAGGCAGAACACTGCTTTGTTAAAAATTGAAATATTTCAATGCTTTCTATGATTTTGTTTTTTAGATTATGCTACATGGAATGCTAGGTGATTGCAATATCAGAGTCCTAGTTCCAACTCTGCTATTTATTAACTTGTATAAGCTTGGGAAAATTTTCTAATTTCCCCTCAACCTTTGTGACAATATTCTCATCTTAAAATGGGAGTAATTGTCCTCATTTATACTGTAAAGATTAAATAAAATATATAGAGAGAATGCTTAGAACACTGTGAGTGCTATAAAAAGTTAGCTAATATAATTATTAACTCTTTGATATAATTAATATTTGGAAGGAAGAGACAGTTCTTACTCATTTTTGTAACCCTTGTCCATTGCACAGTACCTGGTATAAAATAAGATCAAATAAATGCTTGATGAATAACAATACCTACCATTTTTATAAAGTTTTATAATTTATAGCATATGTTGACATATATTAACTCATCAGATTCTTCCAAAATCTTACTAGGAAGCCAGAGCAGGAATGAGTATCTCTTTTCCTCTCTAAAGATGAGAGAGAAAAACAATAAAGTGAAATAAAGCAAAATGAATTTAGATAACTTTCCCAAGATTACACGGGCTAATAAGCAGCAGAGTTGGAACTAGGACTCTGATTTTGGACAATCACCTAATATCCCATCCAGCATTCTCTGAAAAAAATATATTATAGAAAGTATTGAGACATCCCAATTTTTGACAAAGCAATGTTCTGCCTAAAAGAAAGATATTTTAATGGGAAAACTAATCTTTTAATTTTTTAAATGTGTGTTGTTCTCCCAAGATAGAAGAGCCATCTAGAATCAGAATTATTTTAAACAATAAGAATAAACAATTTCAAGATGGTGTTTAGTTCAGAACAAAGAATGACAATTTGAATTTCATTTGGCATGCAAGACAGAAATGCATAAAAGATGAATTACAGTCTTATTCTCTGAGTCTAAAGGGAGTGTCCCAAATCAAACTGCTCTTTTGAATTATATGAAGAAATGTAGAAACAAATTACCCATGTGGAGTATAAAAAAATGCACTTTTGGTGAGGGGGCTGAACTCCAGGGTTGAGATAAATGAAGATGTACAAGAAACTGCTGCTTGTTATAGAATGGGCAGGCTGCACATTTCTGTACAAGCGCCATTTTGCTTGGAGGCAGCATCTAGCCAATATCCTGTCCCTATCTGTCCATAAAGAAGGGTACTTAACATAAGCTTAGCAGTTTGCTTGTTCATATGCTGTTTTCTCTTTGAACCCAAGTTAGTCTTTTCTCCTTCTTACCAGCTCTTTATGTATTCAGCTCCAGATTCTCTCTGGTCTTCATCCTCACCCATCTTTTCTTGGCCTGTCTGAACTCTGACCAAGGAGTTCTACCAAAGATCAGACACAGTAGCTGCCTGGGCCATCCTACTGATCTTGATTCTGAACTCTTCACCTTACCTATACCTACTTGGTTGGCTTGGATATGCTGGCCCTGGCCTCAATTCCACTTTTTGGATTTATTATACCTGTAGAATACCTTGTTCTATATCAGGGATTGGCAAACTATGGCTTGTGGGCCAAATCTGGCCTGCAGCCTACTCTTGCAAGTTGTCTTATAGGAACTCAGACATGCTCATTCACTTTTGTGTTGTCTTTGTCTGCTTTTACACTACAACAGCAGAGACCATATGTCCCACAAAACTTAAAATATTTAATATCTGTTTCTTGAAAGCAAAACGTTTCTGAACACCGTTCTATACTAACAGTAGCCTCAGATGTGGCATATTGCTTTTATTGCTACACTCTGTCCTAACCTTCCAGCCAGATTCCCTGCCCTCCACACCTCTCCTGGCTTACCCTCTCCTGAGATGATAGTCTTTCAGTTGACAATTGCTGATTACCAGGTAGCAGAGGCCAATTAGCAACATGCATGTTGGCTTTTCTTTCAGGACTATTATTCTAAGAGGAGAGGCATCTTCGCTATTGCTTCCTCTATGTTTCTGTAGTCTAGATTTTTCTGCAAACTTTGGGTTATCATCTCTTGCTTGCATTTTTCTCTAACTTTCTCATCCACTCCTGCCCAGTAATTTGCGTTTAAGGATATGTTGATTTTGCATAATGGTTTTCTCTTGTATTACACACATGACAACATTCTGTTTACGTAACCTGGACAAAATTCCGGTTGGCTAATGTGCAGAAACTCTTGCTCTTGTCTTGTCTGTGTGCCCAGCCATAGACAAGATTGTTGTGGTTGCTGCTTTCATCCTTTAAAAAGAGAAATATTGAGGCTTGAGCCATTCCAGAAATGATGCATGATTTGATAGAATTTTCAGTTTTCCACGGTATTCATTATCTATATTTGGGTAAAAAATGTACCCCAAAACTTAATGACTTTGGACAACTGCACATATTATCTCACCGTGTCTGTGAGCCAGGAATTCTGGTGTGGCTTAGCTGGGTCCTCTGGCTCAGGATCTCTCACAGGCAGCAACCAAAGTGTCAGCCTGAGTTGTACTCATCTCAAGACTCTCTACTGGGGAAAGAGCTGCTTCCAAGCTCACTCCTGTGGTGTTGGCAGCATCCAGTCACTCCTTGGCTGTTGGCTGGAGGCCACTCTAATTTCTTGTCACCCAAGCCTCTCCATAGGCAGCTCTCAACATGGAAGCTGGCTTCATCAAAGCATGCAGGAAATACCAGAGAGAGTGCAAGCAAGACAGAAGTTACTGCCTCTTTGTTAACCAATCTTGGAAGTAACATTCTGTCTTTCCTGCCATATTATATTCATTAGAATTGAGCCACTATACCTAAGGGGAGGAAATTACACAAGGATGTGAAAACCAGGAGGTAGGGACAGAGAAGGACCATTTCAGAAGCTGCTTATCATACTACCTTCCAGAATACATATGTGCCTACAGCATTTAGCCTTCCTCCAGTCTCCTGTCTCTCTCTCTTGTTCTTCTTATGCTATTCAGGGCCAAGATGAAATACCTGGCCCTTTTCATATCCATGCTTTTTCTACTTTCTACGTTCACAATCTATAGTCAGGCTAACATTTCATTTTATCAACCGAACCATTATGCCAAGGAGCTATCGTGCATTATTTCCCTTTGGATTTGGGAGAACTTTAAATGTTTGAGCAAGTTATGGCTCCAGCTAAAAGCACATTTATTGTTCCCATTGGAGAACAGAGTTACAAATGCTGCTAAAATATGTGCTTTAACATCAGTATCATTTTTATTAGGTTTTCCTTCATGAGCAAGACTATGTAATAATGGTCTTCTGTTATGTGTATCTTTTTGCATCTTTTTGGTTACACATATTGGATTGCTTTTCACCCATAGCAAAAACTCAAAGATTGCTCCGTGCACAAACATCTCTGTCAAAACAAAGATTTTATTCCACAGTGGTATCATGTAGAAAGTAATACTTCTGATAGAGGCATTTGTGTTTGCTGGCTATGTTTAGCATGATGAAATTAAGGTTAATTTTTTCTGTAGCCTAAGCCAAAAATAATACCAATGTTCCTTCCCTGCCTCACTTGCCACAGAACCAGGCAATAAACACCCCCAGGCCACACACCCTCCATGCTTTAAGGGCCATCGTGGACTCATATTAATGCTGGCTTCTAATTCCTAGGCTACCTCTAACAGTTTTTTAATGAACATTAGTCCTTCTGCTGCAGCCCAGATAGCAGAAGTGTAAAAGGAAGTCAGCTCTGGGGTATAAGGAAGAGTTTCCAAAATGCCTTGAACCACCTAACTAAAGATTATTTTTAAAAAATAAATAATTATTGCAATAAGCTAGTTTATTTCTTCATGGATCAGTTCCTCCACTGTCCCAACCTAATTAGAGTAATTTGTATTTAAGGGATATTGATTTTGCATAATGGTTTTCTCTTGTATTACACACAGGACAACATTTTCCTTGCTTAACCTGGACAACGATCTGGTTGGCTGATATGCAAAAACTCTTGTTCAGACGTCCACCCTGGCATCGATGTCTCAAGAAGAGAAGAGTTCAAATTGCTGTTGATGGTGTTGTTACTGAATATATAAATAAACCACAAAAATAACAGAGGACTAGGAAGGGAAGAGCTGTTTTGTTTGACCTTGTTAAAACTGTTGTGCTGTGGGACTTGACTGCTACAATTAAAATGAGTTTTTTGGTTTTCCTATTGGCTGGGGCCCTTGTGTGCTCTCTGAATGATAACTCGGGCCCATCCCAGGGACAGGTAGAATTGAAAAGTCTTTTTATTTCCATAGGCCTAAGCCAAGCTCCTCAAAACAAGCTATTCCAGGGCTGAGCTGGAGCAAGGCTAATGCCGCGGTTGGCAGCCCATGCGCAGCCTCCTCCTTGGTGAGCCCAGACGCCGCGCTTATCCACTTCAGCTGTCTTTTAAAAGCCTCCTTCTCACAAAAGACAGAGCTGATCTCAAGGGCCTGGGAAAATAGAAAATTCTCACACTGTGATGGGAAACACTGTCAAGACCTGAAACTCTATAGCAAAGTATCAGATGCCAGTGTGTAGTCACAGATAAGGTGAGGGAACAGGGCAGTGTGGAATAAACAACTACAAAAAAATTAAAATTGGTGAGTACGCTGGAATTGTTACATTTAAGAAACAAGCAAGACCAATTCACTCTTCAGAGAGCGTGCCGCCAATGTTCTTGTCATTTATTAACTATGGTATATATTTGTTACCCTCCATATGTCCTTAAATGAGGTCTTAGGATGAGTGTGGACATTTCAGGCTGCTGACACCCTGGACATTTTTGCTTGGGGTCAACATAGGAGATTGACTTGCTCACTTGGAAAATTAATATTAAATGTTGCTCTTCTTCTATTGCTTGTTCCTGGTGTTTAGTTGTCTGGTTTTAGTGGGTCCTGCATCCTATCAAAGCCAAAGCTCTAAAAAAGCATGTCAGTTGGAATCATCGTATAGTATTTTTTAGGTATTCATATGTATATCCCTCTTGAGAGACTGACAGTTCACATCTATCCAGCCATATATTTCTGTAGTTCTTATCACCAAGGTACTTGAAACTCAAAGGATAAAGACCATGTACTCTCCCCTCACTAGGTGATTAGGATGAGCTCCCCCGCTAATGATGAGAAAAGTGAGAAAAGTCAGAGACTGCTTATTTTTTGATGAATGCTCTTCAAATTGATATTAACTTATATAAAAAAGCAGGTTTCACAAGGGTATTAATATACATGACAATATACCACACAGCAAAGAGAGTTTTTGCGCTTTCAAATATTCTGGGACTGCATCTTCCAACAGAAATTGCAATTTCATTAGCATTTATGACTAGCCTTCCAGGGATGTTTGCCAAAGGGATGAAAGCAGAAATAAAACAAAACAAAACAAAAAACCGCAGCAGCCCTTTCACAGGCCCACACAAAGGTGCTAATTAGTTAGTGATGGTTTTCCTCTGTGGGCAATGGCCCAGAATGCTGGGACTTGTGACCGTAGACCTATTTCCATTATGCCTAGCAGAACAACAAACACGTTAAATGAAATGAAAATTTTCCTTTGTGGAGTTTTATGTCAACGAATGGCCTCCAAGCATATAAGGAGTTGTTATGCAGAGGATTATGAGAAGTTGTTTTATACAAAGGAAGTTTGCCACTGCCTAGGAAAGGTGAGTCTGGATTTTCCAATTGTAAGACTGTTTCAGTATAAAACAGATGAGTTACAGACAGAGGTGGGAGGAACGTTCTTGTAATACAGAAATGTTTTAATTAAAAAAATTGTTTCCCTTAAAATGAACCCATGGTAACTTGACTCAATTTACTACTTAATATTCTAGAGTACAGTCTTCAGTGAATGAATACCAGCAGTAACTATTTATTGAATATGTACCAGGTGCCACATTCTGTGACTTCTAATCTCCTTTTATTTTCACATAACTTTGTGAGAAAGGCGTTGTTGCCTTCATTTTTCAGATGGGGACAATAAGGATCAGTAAGGTTGCATCACCTCCCTAAAGTCACATAGGTAAGATGTGGTAGAACCAGAATTTAAACCAGTCTTTGAGTCATCCAAACCCAACTTCTTCATCCATCTGAAAGAGGCAAAGAGTTAATACCAGGGTCTTCGACCTTGCCCTGTAGCCTAGGCAGGATTCTCATTGTCTGAGTGAATAAAACCCTATTCAGTTCCGTTGAGCACCTTATAAGTGGGTTAATTTAATAACTTAATTCTCCACTCCACCTGATACTGTGAGAACTCAGTCCCACAAATCTTTGAAGTAGAACCATTCATTCAATAAACACTTAATGGGCATCTACTATGTGTGACATACTGTGATAGTTGCTGAACCATGGAAAGGGAAGCTTCTCTGCTGATTTGCTCTTCTTTGCCTTAGGCAGGGCTCCTGGGAAAGACAAGGAATGGTAGATTCCATGCTTATAGGTGAAAAGGGAAGGAGAAAATGAACAGAATTTGGGAAAGGAGGAAGAGCTGTGCCATTGAAGAAGACAGGAGTGGGGCTTCCATGTTCGTTGTGGCATTATTCACATTAGCCAAGAGATGGAATCAACTTGGGTATCCATTAATGGCTCAATGGAAAAAACGTGGTACACATACACAATGGAATACTATTCAGCTTTTTTAAAAAAGGAAACCTGCTATTTACAACAACACAGATGAACTGGAAGACATTAAGCTAAGTAAACTAGCCAATCACAGAAGAAAACCTCTGTGATCTCACTCAGTTGTGGAATCTAGAAAAGATGAACTCACAGAAACAGAGAGTAGAGTGGTGGTTACCAGGGACTGGGGGAGGGGGTGTTGGGGAGATATTGATCAAAGATACAACATTTCATTTAAGTAGGAGGAATAAGTCCGAGAGATCTATTGTACCACATGGTGACTATTCTTAATAACAACATATTGTATACTTGAAAATTGCTAAGACAGTAGAGTTTAAGTATTCTTGCCACACACACAAAAAAGTGAGGTAATGCATATGTTAATTACTTCATTTAACCATTCCATAAAGCATACATAAAATCATCATATTGTGCACTGAAATACACATAATATTTATTTGTCTATTAAATAAATAATATTTTGTCTTTTTTTAAAAAAAAGACAGGAGTGAGGTGAGACCTGTAAAGAATATATGTGCAAATTAACTATCGTCTGAATTTTGGAATGGAAACATTTAGGAAAGGGCACAAGACATGCTGTACACTAGACTGGAAACACACTTCATTCTAAGTGATGATTTGGGGTGGAGAAGTACAGGGTTATTGAGGCAAGTCCATGAGGTTCCTATGAAGCAGCCTTTAAGAACGAGAACCCTGCCAAGGCGGGTGGATCACGAGGTCAGGAGTTTGAGACTAGCCTGGCCAAGGTGGTGAAACCCCTTCTCTACCAAAAACACACACACACAAAAAAAAAAATTTAACCAGGCATGGTGGCAGGCGCCTGTAATCCCAACTACTCAGGAGGCTGAGGCAGGAGAATTACTTAAACCTGCGAGGCAGAGGTTGCAGTGAGTCAAGATCATGCCACTGAACTCTAGCTTGGGTGACAGAGCAAGACTCTGCCTGAAAAAAAAAAAAAAAACGAAGAAAAAAAGAACAAGAACCATGGACTTCCCAGTGTACCTCCTAGGGCCCAAGTCAGATGGAGACCCCTTGGCTAGTCAGCAGCAGCCTGATCTTATATCACAAGATGTGGTTTGCAAGTTATTTATTCATAAGGAGGAGTGAGAGAGGGTGCACAGACAGGATGTTGTCAATGTAGATCCCACTGTCATCTCGGATTACGGGTGAATTCCCTACCTGCAGCACCCCAAGCGAAGTAACACATTCTAAACAGAATTTCCAAATATCCTATGTCTCTTGAAAAGCATAAAACACACTGCTGTACATAACTCATGGAAACTGTTACTAGCGACTCTAATCATCATCTACTTTTTCAGTATCTTGTCATTTCCAGGAATGTCCCATTCATTTCCTCATTGCATATTTCATCTCTCTTTGTACTTCCATTCCACACCGTAAGGCATGTGAGAAAGCAGGAAGGTGCTTTCTACACATCACACTCTTTGTCCCTCAATATCAATTCCTCTGAGGAGTACACTTTGATTTAGCCCCTTTTTAAAGCCATAAACACTTCCCAGATTTCGCTCTATGTTTCAGACTGTGCAATATAGAAACTTAAGGAACCCCTCTGGGAATTATTAGAATGGAAGAGGGGAAAAGCTGATCCCACAAGTCAGTACTGACTTTGTGGGAAAGAGTTGCAGAGGGCCAAGCTGGGAATAGCCATAAGTTAATAATTGTGTCCCTGTATAATGGTATGCAAGTGAAAGCCCCAAACAGAAAGCGCAGTATTAGATGTTACCCTTCTAGGCTCACTTGATCCTAGTGAATCCCTGAGAAATGCAATGTGTTGACTCCAAGAACTGCCTGTGGAGCCAATGGAACATGTGATTTCCATCTCTAGGTCCCATGGAAATATCAGTGGAGTCACAGAATGCTCAAACCTGAAATCACTGTCATTAGAGTGCTCAGCTTGATGATGTTGGGATAGCCATTGTTGACATTCATACAAAGGTCTTCCACCTTCTAAAACAAAGCCTGATGCACAGGAATTTATAGAAGTTAGCAGTCCTGGAGTTCACAGGAAAGCTTCCCTGTGGTTAAACAGTCAATGATGTCATCACAGAAAAATGTGGTGGATCACCAAGGAACACTATTCTGTTTTTAAAGGAAATTGCTTCCCTGTTATCAAATTAGTGATATGGTTCTCTATCACTAATCTGTAAGCATAACAATTTAAATGAAGCCTCGCTCATCCTTGAAAAGAAAGAAAGGAATCAGTGTTTATGCCACAACTCAAAAGGCAGACATTGAAATGATTAAAAAGCCATTCATTCATTCATTCATTCACTCATGCATTCATTCAATAAATATTTGAAAGTGCCTACTATAAATCTCACATCCTGTGCTCAGCACATGTGATGTAGTGAGTGATAAGCAGATACACCTGTCCCTGAGTATCATCAAACTTAGAGTTTAGCCAGGAAGTCACAAAGTAAGAATTTATAGGTTCTTTGATTATCCTTACGTGGAGGCCAAAGGGCAGAACTTATAGTATTAGTGTAGGGACTTACAAAACCTCTCACCTTCCTAAGGATGGTTCATTTGAATTGAGCTTCAAATGAAGACTATAATGTACAGGCAAGAGAGTTCCAGGAGGAGGGTCCAGCATGCTGCCTTTTTGTGAATTTCACCCCTCTGTAATGCTTCCTCACCAGTAACACAGAAGGTTAATCAGTAAGTGGTAGGAAATTTGGGGGAGATGGGTAACTTTTTCAGGGCTGCCAGGATGCATAATTCAAATAAAATTCCCGTCAATAGCTTCCCGCTTTGTACTTTAATTGATGTGTGTCAAACAGTCTCTATCTTCTTCTCAGATCTGTACCCATGTTTAATATTTCTGGGCTCCTTCCAAAATGGTGATAGGCAGCCTTCTGACAAAAATAGGTTTTTGTTTTGTTTTGTTTTGTTTTTCTCCCCTCTTCCATTAGCCATGGCCTCTTGCCATGTAGAGTCTCACAAATGGACACAAACCAATCACCCTTATAAAAATGTCAAAATTCATCCTTCCCTACTGTGAAGTGAATACACTGACCTTAACACAAATGTAGAAATGAATTTGAAAAAAAAAAAAAAATCTATCCCCACCACGGACTCCTGGCTGCCACACTCAGGTTTCCAGACTTTTCAGTTTAACAGAGCTGACATTGCTGAGAAGAATTTCTCACTTCTTTAAAAATAAAAATAAAAAAAGCTGGAAGCGATAAATATACCCCAAATTTACTAATAAGAATTTATTTGCATCCAGGCTTTGCCTGTCAAGATAGGAAGAGACATTATCTGTTCAGAAGGAAGAAATGAGACAGAGAGACATTCATTTCAGACTGTCTTTAAAAAGAAACAAAAATGAATTTTCTCAGTCTAAAGACCTTCTTCTAACACTTCACCAGGATGCCTGCTTCATGCAGTGTCAAGTTCTAGTTTGTGTGGCATAGCACTGGATAAAAGTGGGAACCTTGAAATTGGCAAAGATGTCAGCTCAGGTCCTGGCTCTGTAATTTGTCAGCTCTGTGATTCTGAGTAGATCACTTAAGCTCTTTAACCCTCAGTTTCTTCATTTATAAAACAAGACAATAATATCTACCTCTTAGAATTTTGCAGCGGTCATCTCTTGTTTTCACCAGCTTGGGCACCATTTCCACTCTTTTGGTATCAGCTCTTTAATTATCTTTGGAAGGACACACTTTCTACTCTCAAGGCATAAGGTTCTGGGGGATAACCCCACCTCTGGCTCCTGGGAAGAAACATCTGTTACACAACTGGACAATCAGAGCATTCTAACCCCTTGGCCATGGATCTGTTTCAAAGTCCTGTATGTGACACAGGGTGGGACAATGAGAGTCCTACTAAAGATGTTTTAGGAAATTATTGGGAAAGATGATCTCTGGGAGCTGGAGTTACTAAGCGTATAGGAATTAGACCTGAAGCTGCTGGAAACCTTGCAAAGAGCCTGCTGAAGCGTGAACCTAACAGAGAAAAACAAAAGGAGATTGAGGGAGATAGAGTTAAGTCCCTGGATCCTGCTGCGTCTCTGGAGTTGTGGGTTCCATATGTCAATAAATTCTCCTTTTTTGTATTGGGTTGTTTGAATTCAGTTTCTGAAAATTTTAATTGAAGTAAACTCAATTTATACATGAATTTGAAGAATTAAACTATAATGTGCATAAGATACTTAGTACCTGGTATATAATAAGTCAATAAATGAAGCCACACATTGTGTCGTGTGCACATGTGTGTTTATGTATGTTTCTTTCTTTAGCACTTGAAAATTGCTCAAAGAGTTGAGATACAAAAAATACCCAAGGTAGTAAGCTATGGCTCTGTCCACAGCTACTTGTAATCCCAGGACACTTTTAATTCTGTGTTTAAGAAACGGATCACTTTTTTGGACTTCTCATGAATTTCTTTGGACAATACTACCACCATCATTTGCAACATCAAAATTGGAAAAGAGAAAGAATGAAAAGAAGAAGGAAGGAAGGAAGGAAGGGATCAGATATTGATGAGCTTTTAAAGGAGGTATGATGTCGTAAAACTCCAACTCTCCTGATTCTGTAATTCTTCCACACTCAGGAGTTACCTTCTCCAGGGATCCCATGCATTCCATTTGCCCTTTCACCTTCTCTATAAAGGCCTGTGCTTATTCAGGAAAAAAATAATCTGAAATCTATTCAGGAGCAAATGACTGCTAACAGCTAGAAAAAAAAAGTTACCCTTTTTATGGATATTTGCATTTTAACAGGAATCAAAACAAAAACAAAAGTAACATGCCTCAGGCATCAAGGAGAAAGGAAGGATTATTTGTGGAGCACCTACTATGTGCAGGGCAATTAATATACTGTATCTTACGGAATCCTCATAATTACATTGTGAGGTAGGTATTATACTCATTCTACAGATGGTGAAACATGCTCAGAGTTCAACACTGGCCAAAGCCACGCAACTCAAAATGGATGAATCTGAAATAAACCGAGTTGTAGTTGAACAAAAGCCCATGTTTTGGGTTAAGATTCTTCCTAATGGCCCTGGAACTGCGACTGTCACTAGCTGAGCATCACACTGACTCTGGACATGGAAATAGGAGGCACATTTCTGACTACTGACCCAGCATTAGGGTGACTTGGAGACAGGACAGAGGGCAGCAGAGTGACAAAGCAAATTTTATTTGAGAAGATAAATTTTCAAATTCAGTAGCAGGAACCACCCCAGCACTTTTTTAAAACTTCAGTTAAACAGGTTTTCTAAACTGCATACCAGCACCTAATCAGTTTGGTCTTTCTTTCTCTTTTCTTTCAATTTTACTTTAGCTTCTAGCCTTATGCAGTTGGCCGTGTAAGGAGGCGAAAAGAATTCTCTGTGCTTTGTCGTCTTTTTTCTGTTATCCTCTACTTTCTCACATGGTAGTCTTAATTTGATCAGCAGTTATGAAAAAGAAACACTAATCCTGGGACAAAGGACATTGTTCATAGCCAGACAGTTTCAGTATTGCTTCTAAAATGAAGTGTTTTGTGCTTGGATATGAGTTTTGCCCGCTGGGACACTGTAATTCTTTCATGTGAGAATAGAAAGGGTACAAAGTTGCTTAGTATCGGACAGAGGACATCTGGTACCTGGAGGGCCTGGCAGAGATCATGGTAAATTCTGTACCCCAGCTGAGTTTTGGGGTAAGAGGGTCCCAGAAGATGCTGCTGTATATGTCTGTAATCATCAGGGCACTGGCGATGGGAGGCAAGAGGGGGAGGAATGAGAGAAAAGAGAAAAAGAAAGGATGAGCTCCCTCTATCCATTGTGACAGGACAATCTCCTATGTCTAGGAATGTAAACCTAAGTAGTTGCTTTATTATGATTATAGCTGTCATTTATATAGCACTTACTGGATCTCAGGTACCTTGCTAAGTGCTTTATATGAGTATCTCACTTTTATTTTTACAGTAAACATTAGGGGTAGGTACTATTGTAACAGTTGAGGAAAATTAGGTTTAAGTTTTCAGCAACTTGTGCAGGACTTGCCATGCTTTTCATCACTACACTGTACTGTCTCCTGAATGTTTACTATGTACCAGGCCCTGGAAGGAATATGTGAACAGGTGAATGAGCCAACTGTGATAACCTCAGCACTTAGCACAGTGCCTGGCCCATGGGAGACATTCAATAGATATTTATTGAGTAATGGATGGATGGATGGATGGATGGATGGATGGATGGATATGTAGATAAATGGATGGATAGATGAATAGATGGAAGAATGGAGGAACAGATGAATGAATGGATCAATGGATGGATGAATGGAAGAAGGGGCAGATGGACAGACAGATGGATAGATGGATGGATATGTAGATGAATGGATGGATAGATAAATAGATGGAAGAATGGATGAACAGATGAAAGGATGGATGGATGGATGGATGGACGGATGGATGGAAGAATGGGCAGATAGATGGATTGATGGATGGATACATATATGGATGGATGAGTGGACGAATGAACAGATGGATGGATAGGTGGATGGATGGATGAATGGATGAAATATAATGTAGTATCATAACTGCACTAATAGAGGTAATCATGGGGTGCTGCAGGAACATAGAGAAGAAGGAATCAAATCTATTTAAAATAGGTGGTGTTTGAGCTGAGATTTGAAGTAGGGGTAGAAGTTCACCAGGCAGTGGCTACCATCCATATAAGACTGACTCCAATTGTACTCTCACCATTACTCTGCTCCAGCAAAACAGCTCTGAGTTTTCTTCTGTCATCCAGAGAGCCAGAGACTGTAGAGTAAAGAGCAAAGATCCCAACCTGCTCAGTCTCCATTCACTCTTCTCCCTGGGGCATTCCCAAGCCTTTCTCTGGCATTAATTTTCTTCCTTGTCTCTAATATGGGCAGGCCAGCCCCCAGCAATGACATGTATTGCCTACAAACCTGGTATCTGCATTTCTTAGGCTAGGGATCATTAACGTTTTTAAGAGCAGTGTATTACACTTCAGGTCTTCATAAATAATCATTACAAGAATTATAACAATAATTAACAAAGCAGCAGCGGCAACAAAAATAGCCTACTTACATTATACAGTGCTTTATGATGTACAAAGGTATTTCACTGTACATTACTTAATGATACATCATAGCTGCCCCATGAGAGAGACAAAGCACATAATCCTTCTACCATTTGACATATTGGAACTGATAGGAGAGATGAGATAAAGTATCTGGTGAACACCTCTATGTACTGGTTTAACACTGGTGATTGGACATCCTTATCTCATTGAGACTCTTGGTAGCTTGGTAAGTAGGTGCTCATGTTTGTCATTGAATAAAATGAGGTTCAGCAAGTGACTTTTCCAGGGGCACCAGGGAAGTAAATGGGAAAGCTGGGACTGAAAGACAAATGTTCTTTTTCTCAGTGCAATGCTCTTTGTATTTCAATATCTTGCTTCCTCATTCCTCAAAAGATTCAGAGAAAGAGGACTAGTGACCAAGAAGCCTACCTTTTTAAGAGAGTTTTGGGCTATTACAAATATTAGGAGTCTTGGCAGTCATTGATCCACCCAAACTCAGCCAACCCTGGCTATAGATCACAGACAATTGGGTCCAGGGCCAGATCTTAACAAAACTGTGAAGTATTTGAGGTTTCAAAGTTTGTCTTGGCCTCTTCAATTGCCTTTGAGAGCCATTGCCTTCCATATTCTTTTTTGCCATTCCCCCACTCACTCCATTAAATTTTCTTTTGTTCTCTATTGCTGCCCTTGGTGTTTTAAATGATGTTTTGGTTCTTAGGAATGAGAGATGTGTGTGCATGTGTGTATGTCAGTGAGTGTGTGTGTGTGTGTGTGTGTATATTGGGAGGAGACTTATTAATGCTTCTTAGAATCTCATCACATGTGAAAGTAGCGTCCACTGCCTCTTGCTCATTATTTCATAAGAACCATCCACAGGCAATCTGCTCTCTTACTCTGAGAGCAGAAGCAACTTGAATGGTGAGAACACAGTTACAAGGACAGCAAATGCAACCGGATTCTTTGGCTGCATCTACCATGCAGACTGAGGCTCCCCAGGAGCTGGGGCAAATGAGAGAAGGGTAGAAAATCCAGACTTAGAGATGCTCTGAGGGGCTAAAGTATCTCCCTTACTCCCTCTGCCCTCACCAATGAAAATGGTGCACCCACTTCCAGAGGCAGTGGGAAGCAATGCATCTGCCAGAGTAGGAAAAGAAGAATGAGGAGTGAGATCAGAGAAATTATCAAGGAGTTGGCAGATGTGGTCCAATAAGAATCCTGCAGGCAAAGGCATTGTGGGGCTTCCTGCAAAGAGCAGCGAGATATGAGATTAGAGTGGAGAAGACCAAGGGAGGATGGAAGACTAGTTAGGAGCCGACTGCTGCAGTGCCCCAAATGAAAGCTGATGGGGAACACTAACCAAGGCAGCAGCAGGGAGACTGGAAGAATAGGAGCCTTAGTGATGGGAAGGAGAGAATCTCCAGCTGAGACACAGTCTTGAGGCAGGACTGAATGAAGGCACTCAGCCCTGAAGAAATGAAAGTGGAAGCCAACATCAGTTGGGAAGACAGACCCCACAACACACCAGACCCCTTTCACTAGTTGCCAAATGTTTGCAAGCAGATCTATACATGACGTATGGTGAAGCAGAAGGAAGATCTCTGGCATATAAATCAGTTATCTTGGCTGTTTTGCCTTGACAATGTTAAGTTGAACACTTCTGGTCTCGTAGGACCACCAGGGGCATTTTCGTGGTCACGTCTGGTCAGCGCTTCTGATTTATGTCCTGTTGGGAAGATCTATTTTTGCAGTAACAGTTATGTTTCCATTGGTAATTTCCTTCCCCTTAGGATCTGAGATTGTAGCTAGCTCTGTAGTCTTCTGAGTCATATCACCTAAATGTTCCCCTTAGAAATTGCTTCTTTGAATATTCTCTATCAAAACCCAGTAAAGTGTCTGAGAGCTTGTACTACCCTAGAGACTGGGAATTGCACACTAAAATCATATCCCAGCATATTAAATAAAAGGCCAGTTCCAGCCCCACCCCAACAATACAGATCTTTGGAATTACAACTAGGCCTTAATCAATCAAAAGAAAACTTAATTATTGAATTAAGAAATTTTCTCTATAATCGTGAGACATTTGAAAACTGGCACATGAGACACATTCAAACTGTATTGAGGGGCAGAGGTAGTTTACTAAAAACTGTAATTCAGAGAAATTTTTTCTTTACTAGGACTTTTTAAAAATTGCATGTTTCTATGACAGAACTTCACAAAAGCGGATATTTATACAGGCCACCCCTCCGAGAAGAGTGATGTTTTCTTCCTAAGAAAGTAAACTGCTAGTGGTTACTTAATTCTAGTGGTGTATTAATTAGAGAACCGTCTATACTGCTGTGACAAGGAGTATTAAACAGTTGCTCGAGCAGGTCAAAGTTTTATTTCTTTCTTGGGGTATAAGTCAGAGCAGGTGGGTGATCCAGGTATCATTCTGAGAAGGGATTTCTCCTGTTTTTTTGACCTCTCATTCCTCTCATGCTGTTCACCAGCATGATTGAAGCTGAGTCACCAGCATCATTTTTGTATTTCAGCTCATGGGAAGGGAGAAAGAAGAAATGGAGGCAGGCAGTTTTCTCCTGGAGATGAGACCTAGAAGTTGCTCGCTTAATTTCTATTCACAACCTGATCGGCCAGAACTTAGTTACATGGCAATACCTAGTTGCCAGGGAGCTGGGGAATGTGGTTGTTAGTTGGGTGTCTATACACACCCCCTTCCAAAACTCGGGGATAATGGGAAACCATTAGCAGTCTCTGCCATAGTGTTTTGTTCCTAAACTTGGTCTTGCGAGCTGTTTTCTCTGTGCTCTGGCCAGGCTGACCTTCTCG
Source organism: Homo sapiens (assembly GCF_000001405.40). Taxonomy (NCBI): domain Eukaryota; kingdom Metazoa; phylum Chordata; class Mammalia; order Primates; family Hominidae; genus Homo; species Homo sapiens. Next base: position 97,632,016 of record NC_000012.12, on the reverse strand, counting down.
AGATTCTGAACTTTCCCATCCTATCTTACGTCACTGCACCTGTGTATGCTGCACTCTCTTCCTGGGATATTTTGCTTTCCCTCTCAGCCAGCTCCACTCTTGCTCATCTTCTAAAATTGATCTCAGTGCTGCTTCTTGCAGAAGAGCTTCCTTTGTATCCTTCTATTTCTCTCATTGAGTGCAATGCTCTTTGTGTGCATATATATATGTAGAAGCAATACATCTGCCAGTGTAGGAATGAGGAGTGAAATCAGAGAAACTATCAAGGAGTTGGCAGACATGGTCCAATAAGGATCCTGCAGGCAAAGGGTGCAAGGTGTTCCTTTAAGAAAAGCCACATTTCACTACAGTAGAACATACTATGATTTTTGTATCTTCCACTAGATCAGAAGTTTCTCAAACCAGGAAGCACTTTAGAATGGGGCCTTATTGCAAACTATTTAGTTAGACTCTCTGGGGCCAGGGGCCAGGCATCAGAGTTTTAAAATGTTTCCTCAGCTGATCCAATGTGCAGCTAGGATGTGGAATCACAGAACTAGCTTAAGAGCAGAATTTTTATCTCTGGACCATTAACACTTGTACCTGGCATTCTATGAATACTTCAATGAACCCTTAGTGAATGAACAAATGAATGAATGAAAAATGGCTTTCTGCATATCAGTTAAACTAGACCCCAAATAAGAATTAACAATTCATATCATTTTCTTGAACACAGCATATTAGCACCAGAAGGGACCTTTGAGATGACAGAAATTCATCACATTTGACAGATGAGGAAACTGTAATTTGGAAAGGCCTCGTGGTGAGTTCACGGCAGAGATCAAGTTAGTAGATGCCAAGTTTATAGGACGTCACACTACAAGACACCTTGATTTTATGTATCTATCCACAATTGTAAACATAGATGAATTCCTTTTGCATTGCCTTTTAAAGCAAGGCTAAGCTCCAGCTGCCAGACCACACTGAATGGAAATGAAAATGTTTCTCATTCTTCAGACTTGTGATCATTTCAGAGCATTTATTCATTGTTTGGAACCTGCTCATTATACCATTTTACTATATAATGAAGACAAATGCTCACAGTTTAGCTACAGATTTGGTTAATGACAAGATGTATAATAATACAAGATAATAGGGCCGGGCCATTGCATTCTAATTAAATATTTTTGTCAGATTTTTTTCCTCATGAATCTTCTTTTATTTGCCATGCTTTATGGCTATTTTTCTTTCTACCTTGAATATATATATATACACATATTGTTAAAATTTATATATATACATGTATATAATATTACATACATACATATAATTTTAAGAACAAAAATAGTTTCAAGGGATTTGGGAATTGGGCTTTGTCTTCTCTATATGTGTTTTTCTGCAGACAAGCCATTGAGTTTAGAAGGGAATGCATCACATATAACCTAGACAAGGCCTCTAATTGGTATGCTAGCCCACGCAAAAGCTATCTGATTGCATTCAGTAACTGGCAGGGACAGAAAGCATTTCTAAGGGAAATAATATCTTGCTGTGAATCTGGAAATATCTATGTAAGAACTGAACAGTAAACACCAGCCTTAATTTTAATGCCTCATATTACGCAAAATTTTCAAAAGACAAGGTCTCTGATATTCAAACTCATCCCCTGGGAAAGTGATGGTATCATAAGACTGTTATAGGAGTCAATGTCAAATTTCCAACTGCTCGGGGATGCAGTCAGAGCTTTAGACTATCGACATTTCTAGATCATCATTTTCTCTCACAAACAAAAGTATTTACCTATTAAGAACTGTCAAAGGCTGAGATTCCACGATCTATCTGGCTGCTGGCAATCACCCCTTTTAGGTTGAGCTCTGATGGGGCAATATTTAGGTTCTAATGGCCCTTAAAAGCTGCAAGGTGCAAATGTGAAACGATGAAATCCGGACCGTAATGGCCATTTGCAGAATGATCTTGCAAAGCTGCTGAGAGATGTGGCTGTTGATGAGGCATCTCCATCAAAATGTGCTCCCAGAAATGCATTCTCCATGATACCTGCTTTATTTAATGGTGATCGTTCTCATCCTCCACCTCCCCTCCCACAACTAAAGATGATTACTCTGATAGTAAGCTGTGTCTCACCCATCATTTTCTGTCAATTTTCTTGCCTCTGGAAAAGATTCTGTTTGGGTTCTCAGATTAATTCTCAAGGCAAAGCACTCGCCTCTTATCCCTGCTAACTCTGTTCAGAATAGATATCCTGTGAGAGTTAACTCAGCAAACAAAACTTAGAGTATGATTTAAACACAACACATCAATTAAAGTTTGAGAGGGGAATAGGAAAAGATTCAAGAATAACTTTCCTATAGAAACACATGTTAGACATGAAACATTCTGTGAAGTCAGCCATACACATCTGTTAGCTAAGCAGCAGGATTGCTGCTCAATCTCCCATCCAATAATCTAGATTGATGTCCCATCAGCATCTGCAGCATGAGCTGTGCATACCTGATGACATTTAAGCCCAATAAAAAACAGAAAGTAATAATCATACAGCAGTCACACAACCATTGACAAGTGATTTTTACTAACCATTCAGTAGTGTCCCTTCTCTGAAGCCCCTAAAAGGAGGCCCAGGATGGCATTCAAAATATTTCTCAGGACTAAATTCCTGGGATTAAAGGATTTCAGGCACCCTTCTCTAAAAGCATTTCTTTATGGCTCTTCTTTCCAACATGGGTACATTCAACATCTATAAAGATGATGAATCCTTAGTGCCCAAGACTTTATCCCTCCTCAGCTGAGCTGGGGAAAAATCTTGACCTATGCAAAACATATTGAGTGATTCAGGCAGTTGTGACATTTAAAGGGATGACAGAGAGGGCCAGAGGCCATGGAGATGAAATCCAGCCTCATTTGCAAAAGGAGACTGGTTTCAATTGCAAGGCCCTCATCTCTTAATCAGTAGGGTTCTCAGGAGAGTGCCCACTTTTCATTTCTTTTTTCCCACAAGGTAATCAATTACTTGAGAAAAATCCAATTCTGAGGCACTAGAAGGCTTTCTGTTGTTGTTGGTATTAGATCATGAGGCTATCATTTAAGCACATTAGTTAAAATGTATTAATAGATTAGGTGCAAGCTGGGTGTGGTGGTGCAAACTTGTAGTCCCAGCTACTCGAGAAGCTGAGGTGGAAGCATTATTTGAGCCCAGGAGTTCGAGGCCAGCCTGGACAGCATAATGAGACCCAGTTTCTAAAAATTAATTGTTAATTAATTAAGTGATTACTAAAGTAAGCACTTCCCAAGTGGGAAGCTGGAAGTGCATTAGGCATTAAAGCCCACTTTCAAATTTGTCCTCGTGGCATAGTTGATGACCATGGTATTACTGATATCTGTGCCTGGGCGATGGAGTACCAGAGGATGAAGGATCTATTCTGCAGTCTTATGATGATGCTATGGTCAGTGGTGGAACATTTTTCCCAGGGCCAAGATATAGGTGGGGTAAAATTTTATCTCAGCAGTATGTTTGATTCCCGAATCCTTCTGAAATGACAGGTGAGAGGAACACTGATAAAAGAGTTGAGTATCTCTCTCTCTCTCTCTCTCTCACTCTCTCTCAAACACACACACACACACACACATGCACACACACACACACAGCATTCCCTGGAAAAATTGTTTTGGTGAAAGGCTCCATTTTTTATTCCTCTACTCCTCTTTTAGATATTCACCCAACAACACTTTACTTTCTATTATTAATACTTTCTTCAAACACTAACTCCAACCAGAACCCAGTAACACTTTTGAAAGATTCCCAAAACATCCTGCAGGAAGAAACTCACACAACTCAAATCGACTTATCTGACCATAGACACTCCTTTCTTTCTGCAAGCACCTGCAAACACCCTATGGATCTTTGGTCCTGCTGAAAAGAACTTTTGGGAAATGCTAAACAAACTTACAGGTATATTCTCCTGTCCTGCGCCCCTGCCTTTTGGTCAATCCTTTTTCTTCTCTGCTCTTTTCCCATTTTACTCTTCTCTGCCCCATTTCTCTTGCTTTTCCAGATTTGCTCCATCTCTTCTCCACTGAGTCTTTCATACTTCCCCCAGTGATCTTAATACTCTTCCTTAGGTGGTTTTTTCTTTGATTACCTCTTTGCCACCTTCCAAACCTGGATTTCTGTTTTTCACTCCACATAATCTCTTCTGCAGATCACAGTGTTTCCTCCAAAGTAAATTCAAGAATCCAATAAAGCAACTTGGTCTTTAGTCACTTAATTTGTGGTTTACTGCCTCTGCCATCCATTCTAATTCTTTCTTAAGAATCTTTGCATCTTTAGAAACATTGCTTTCTCAGCATATCCTTTTATTATTATTTCCTTAATATTTGTTTCCTACAAAAATTTTTAAAAATCTTTTCACTCCATTTTTTCTTTTTTTGAGACAGGGTCTTGCTCTGTTGCCCAGGCTGGAGTACAGTAGCCTGATCTTGGCTCACTGCAACCTCCACCTCCCAAGCTCAGGTGATCCTCCTGCTTCAGCCTCCCAAGTAGCTGGGACTACAGGCACCCTCCACCATGCCGGGCTAATTTTTGTACTTTTAGTAGGGACAGGGTTTCACTGTATTGGCCAGGCTAGTCTCAAGCTCTTGACCTCAAGAGATCCACCTGCCTTGGCCTCCCTAAGTGCTGGGATTACAGGCGTGGGCCATTGTGCCCGGCCTCACTCCATGTTTTTTATCTTTATTTTTTCCATTCCAAAAAACTTCACCAGAGACTATTTTTACCAGCTTCTATGTTTCATCCCTGCCTTTTAAAACATTCACAGTACAATATCACATATATGTAAATAAATTGGTGTAATAAAGCCTTCCACATATTTGTTTACTTGTGATATTGATTTACCTGGTTTCATATTGAGAAGTCCTACCTATATTCCTGTAATCCTTTTTAATAAAATCTAAAATGCTTTCCCCTATTTTTCGTATTCACGTAAATTATTTGGTGCCATATGAATTGTAAGATCTTTATTGTTCTGCCTAAATGCTCTCAATTAAAAAACAAAAACAAACCTCAGGGTGTTTTGTTTTCCTTCTGAAGTTAACATCATACAATAATATGCGCCCGACCTCCTCCAGTTTCTGAAATTCTTAGTAATTATACAGTCTCTCATAGAGGTCATTCTTTATGATAGTGTTTTCTCTCCAAATGCACTTAGTATCTTTTTTCATACAACAGTAAGTATACAGCTTCGAGAGGAACTACTGAGGAGATAGACAGATGATATATAGACAGGTAGACAGATAAATAAATAGGTGGATAAATAAAAGATTGTCTTTAAACTTTATTTGAAAAATAAAGTAAGAGCTACCATTTATGAAGCATTTACTATGTGTTGCCAAGCTCTACTCATTTACACATTTGTCTCCTCTAATTCTTGTAACAATCTTGCAGTGTGGACATTCATATTCCCATTTTATAGCAAAGAGAGATGAGTTTCATGGAGATAAAGCAACTTCCTTAAGGTTACATAATTTCTGAGTAATCAAAATGAGATTTGAACCCTGCTCTACCTAATTCCAAAGGCTATTAGGCTATACCTCTATATCTTTATCGAAAAACTACCAGTTATTTCCACTAGGATGTCTCAAAACAGCAACTCTAGGACTCAGCTAGTGGTGGCCTAGACCCATATTTGGATAATAAAGAATTTCAGGCTGTATACAACTACCAGCATGGGATAGACACTGGCCAGAAGAGCTGTCTATATCCTAGTGAGGGCAAGTTAGGCTGGATCCTTAAAGCATCATACCAAACAAACATGGGAATGCATCTTCCAGCAGTTCATGCTGGAGGTCAGATCGCACACATACACACATTCCTCCCCCACACAGGAGGAGACTGTGTTTATCGGATTATATGACCAAAAGCCCAATAACACACTTGGCTCCAAGCATGGATCAATGCTGAAATAGTACATATATTGTGTTGTTAAAAATGCTTCACAATACAATTTACGTTAATAAATTGTGTTGTTAAGAATCCCAGCACTTTGGGAGCCTGAGGCAGGCGGATCACGAAGTCAGGAGATCGAGACCATCCTGGCTAACACTGTGAAACCCCGTCTCTACTAAAAATACAAAAAATTAGCCGGGCATGGTGGCGTGCGCCTGTAGTCCCAGCTACTCGGGAGGCTGAGGCAGGAGAATGGAGTGAACCTGGGAGGCGGAACTTGCAGTGAGCCGAGATCGCGCCACTGCACTCCAGCCTGGGCGACAGAGCGAGACCCCGCCCCAAAATAAAACAAAAAAAGAAAAAAATAATGCTTCTCTCCCTCTCTCCATCTCTTGGCACAACTTCACCTAATTTGGCTTCATTCTCAGGCAGGCTATTTATTCTCTTGCATCAGTAAGGTGGCCATTAGCAGCTACAGGCTTACATTGTGTCCCTAGTGGAAAAGAACTTTGTTTTTCCTTACTGGTTCAACAAAAGTCCTACAATTGACTGGGACAGTGTGGGTGAAGTGTTACTTCACCAACTAAGCACATACTCTGGCCATGGGAGAGAGTATACTGATTTTTCATACCTGGACCCTGGGTTCACTCCTAAGGCTGGCAGGAAGACAGGGTTGTCAGCCCAATCAGAGCCACATGAACTGAGAGTTGGGAGCAGATGTTTCTGACAGAAGGTAAAATGGGTTCTGGGTGACCATAAATAACAATGTTCACTACTCTTTTATCGGAATTAATACAAAAACCTGCAATAGCTGAGAAACACGAGTGCCAAGGCTGACTCAGTTTCTGCACTGCTGATTCAGGTTTCTTAAACTCCAAGTGAAGAAGGACAAAATTGGTAATTTAGCTCTATCAGGAAGAAACAAAAAATTACAAGGGCAAGGAGCCAGACATTCATTCATTTACATATTCATTCATTCTGCAAACACATGTCCATTTATTCTGACACTGGACATTGATCTACTATGTGTCAAGCCTGTGACTGGTGCTGGGGATGTAGATGAGAGCTAGTACTTTTCTTTAAGGAATGTACAACCTAGAAGAAGAGAGACAGAGAGGTTTCAATAAATAGCTGCAACACAAGGAGGTAAGTACAATATTCCATTTCCCCCCCAAGGTGGCCTCTTCTGGTAGCAATACCCTCAGTCTACAAAGTATTTTCTAAAAAGAAGGAAAGCACCATTCATGTATTAGGAAAATGTCATAATCAATCATATACCTGCTTCACTCTTTAGGAATCTGTTTGCTTTCTCTGGGCTTCTAACAAGATTTTTCCTCTTTCTTTAGGAATTCTGAATCTAACCATAGCTAACTTCCCTGCAAGTGAAATAGAAACAGGGCACAAATATCCCCAAATAATTTCATTTATTTTAGAGTGACTAGAAAATGTAATTTGGCCTAGATCCTACCTTACTCGCTATGAGGCCAGGGATAAGTCATTTAACATCTTGGGGCCTCTGTTTATACATCTGTGAAATGGAGATGATAATGCAACAGAGGATTGTTGGGAAAATTAAATGAGATATTATACATAAACCTCTTGGAAAAGCGCATGGCTTGGAGTGGGTATACAACAATAAATAGTAACTGCAGTTGTATTTTTATGTGTTATTGTAATGATTATAATTGAATTGAAGATCAGAGAAGGTGAGAGTCTTGCTCAGATTTCCTCAGCTTATTAATGGCAGGATCAAGGCTCAGAACCAGGTTTACTGACTGTCATATGAGAGCTTTTACCCTGATATCACTGGGCCTCACCACTGTAAAGTTAACATTCCCAGTCATGCTTGGCTCAGACAGTTCCTGAAGTCATTTGTATTCCTTCAGCACATACCTGTGGGGAGAGTGAGTGTGGCACTGACAAGAATAATCATACTTGGCATTAGCAGAATATTTTATACTTTTCAAAGCTTTTGCATATGGTACCTCATGTGGGATTAAGTATTTGCCATGGACACTCCATGCATGGATAATCAAAGTTAGAATTTTATGCTAGTTATTAGATTTGACTTCAGCTTGCTTTCTGGGGACCTACAAATCAGTTGATCGAGTGTAAGTTGTATTCATCTTTACCAGTTTTCAGGGAACTTAGGTCACCCAACATTGAAAGTTTGGTTTGCATGTCTTAGAGAAAAGCTGTATTTCCAGGGATTTGCCTTGTAAGTGTAGAAAGAGGAGTGGTGGTGACAGAGAAGACGCTAGGAATATGATGTAAAATTTAAGCTCTTGCCAGTATCCTGACAGGTACTTCCAGGAGATAGGATTGCCTCCCCAGTACCCCCAGAGCTCAGAGTGAGCCAGAAGGATACACTGGCCATGGGTCACCCCAGAGGATGGGTTGACACAGCCCCCACTGTCTGCCCCTTCTTTATGTGAGGCAATGTATACAAGGCTATTGGTATAGTACCCATCACTTAACAAATGGCAGTTTGAGGATAAAAGAAAGGGCTTTAAAGTCAGAAGAACTTGAGTTCAAACACCTGCTATGCTGTCTACCAAATGGTAACCTTGAGCAAGCCACTTAGCCTCTCTGGTCCTCGATTTACTCACACTTTAAATAGGTATTGGGGCACCAATCTGGTAAAATTATGATAAAGATAAAATCTATGAATACAGTGCCTGCATGTGGGAAGTGTGTAAAACAGTAACTCTTATTAATACTAACTTACTATCATTAGCAGTAGTAGTTGAAGTCATTATTTACGCAATTCTGAAGGCTGGGGTGGTGTTCCTTAAGACTGTGTCTCTCACTGTGGCAACTAGAAGACTAGAAGACTGGTTGGAAGCAGCTTTTCAGGATGCAGTTCAGGATACGCTCTAAGATTCCAGACAACCTGAGAGGCTTGAAGGTTGGTGCAGTTGAGGGGAAAACAGTCCATTGCCATACTATAGGAAACCAGCATCCACTGTCACTGAAGGATGCTGCTAGGAAGAGCTCTACACTACGTGGGAGCGCCACAAGGGCAGGCGTGGTATCAGTGCCTGAGACATCCTGCACATGGTCCATGAATAAGGAGAAGCTCTTGTGAGACATAGCTGTTGGGAGGTATCACCTGGAACCAGAATTTATTTAACCAGAAGCAATTACAGAAAAGCCAAAGGGCTGGGCATAGCGGCTCATGCCTGTAATCCCAGCACTTTGGGAGGCCAAAGCAGGTGGATCATTAGAGGCCAGGAGCTCGAGACCAGCCTGGCCAACACGGTAAAACCCCATCTCTACTAAAAATACAAAAATTAGTTGGGCGTGGTGGCACACACCTGTAATCCCAGCTACTCAGGAGGCTGAGGTATGAGAATCACTTGAACTAGGGAGATGGAGGTTGCTGTGAGCCGAGGTTGCCCCACTGAACTCCAGCCTGGGTGACAGAGCAAGACACTGTCGCAAAAACACAAAAACAAAAGCCCAAGGACCAGGAGTGACCACATTCCAGATTCAGGTGCTGTAGGAAACGTTATAGCTTAGGAGCTCCAGCTTACTCCAGTACCCAAAGACAATCTAGGTCAGGTGAGTGTGTGCATTTGTGTGTCTGGGAGGTGGTTTGGTAGGAAGCTGATCAAAAAGGTTAGTATTTGAGTGTTTCAATGCCCCATGTCCACTTCAGGAGACCTGGAGGGGCTGAAGACCCTAATTTGGATAAGACCCTGAGACTGCTAAAGAGACCCTAAAGTATAACCTGGCTGCAGGTTCCTAGTATGATAAGTAGCCTGAGAAAAAGAGGGTTTCATTAGCAAAGGAAATGAGAGCTCTTGTATTCTATTTTATGGGAAATAACATTATCATTCCACAAGGAGATTTCAGAGGGAACATAGCTCTGAACTAAATTATCCTGCTGCAAGTGCATCCAAACTTTTTGACCCCTTGATCTGTGTAGAATAACCTTTGCCCATTCTGGAAAAATAAGCCTTCCACAAACTTCATAGTGTTTAAAAAAATAAGTTGATAAAGACCTTTTTTCTCGTCACCTCTTCACCTTGCTGTGGATTGAGGCTTCCAAGTCAGTGCCTTCTATGACCTTGAACAAGTTTATTATCTCTCAGAGCCTTGATTTTCCGCTGGAGAATAAGTATATATAAACACATATATACACATACACACGTGCACATATATATGTGTATATATACACATACACACATATATATGTGTATATATACACATACACACATATATATGTGTATATATACACATACACACATATATATGTGTATATATACACATACACACACACATATATGTATATATACGTATATATGTATGTATACATACATATATACGTATATATACATATATGTTTCAACTGTACATTGTTAACATAAAGTGGAGATAAGAAACTTTGTATAATGCTTGGCATTAACAATCATAGCAATTACAATAATATTACTTATTAAGTAGTTGATATATTCAACATACTGGGATTACTGCTTAATCTATAACAACCCTCAGGTAAGGTAGTATTATTATTCCTAATTTGACAGATGAAGATACTGAGACTTTGAGAGGTAAACACATTTGCCCAAAATATCACAGCAAGTAAGTAGCAGGGCCAAGCTTCAAACTCAAGCATGCTAATGTTAAGGAACCTGCACTTAACCACTTTGTTATACTTCCTCTATATAGTAATGATTCTTCCATTCACTAAGTAATTACTGTGTCCCTATTATGTACAATGCACAGTAAGCATCCCATCATGAACCTCTGGGAACAGCTTTTTTCAAAGAACAGATTATTAGTTCGGTGTAAAGCACAGTAATTGGCAAGAAGGTACTAAAGAAACATGGGTTAGCTGTTGTCTCTGCTGTTATAATATCAGAACTGGAAGTTAGAAAGAGGAAGCAAATGGAACCCAAGGGAGGAGAAGCATGGGAAACTCAACAAGAAGCCGTTTGCACTAGGAGCTTTAGCTCTCTGGGTTTTTTTGTTTTTGTTTGTTTGTTTGTTTGTTTGTTTGTTTCTCTCTCGGATGTCATGTATTAGTATCATCTCCTTGAAATGATTTTGGAGAATAGAAGTCAAGCCTAATTTTCCTGTGGGCCTAGCACACCCAGGCCTTCAGAGAGCTACAGGTATCTGCTGTATCAATTGTACTGTGAGCATGTTTGCCATCAGTGTGTGGCAACTCCTCTGAGGTCAAGACTTTCAAGAGACTGGGGAAGGAACTTGGTACAAAGCACCATTTCCCAAATTAGGTACTGCCCTTTGGTGGTAATAAATCTATAATCCAGAGGCCTTCTCAGTGACCAGCCATTTCTTCAGGTGAAATGGAGTCTTGCTCTGGTCCTCAAGGCACACCTGCTGTGCCCTGGGGCAGTACCCAGTGTTCTGGCAAGGTGGAACCTCTATGTGAGATAGAGACCCAGGCAACTTCCGTTGGAACACTGGTGTAGTTAGAAAGCCTACATCCTAAAGAACCTTGGTCCAAGGGCAAACTGCTCACCTCTTCTCCTCATGCAAGACCCCACATGTGAGCTCTGCCTGTCAAGCAGGCACAACCCCATGACATAATCGAAGGACGACTAACAGCAGGATCACTGTACCTGAGACGGAAAGGCTGTGAAGTTGGCCTTGCTGTTCCTGCCATTCAAAACTAGAATCCACACCCTTCTGTTCTCAGAGATATCTTTTAATGTCACTAAAACATGATGCCTACTAAGTTCATTTTTTTTTTTTACCTTTTTAAGAAGGAAATCACTCACAAATACAGGGAAATATTTCCACTTTCCTCGTGAGAAAATAATCTATAGCTTAAAGAAAAAAATTAACTAAGCCCTGGTAATATTCTGGCCAAGTAGAGAGGCTTGGCTGCACCTCCTGAGCAGCAAAGCCAAACCTTTCCCCTCTCGCTTCATGGTTTCTGCTGCTGACCCGCTCTGTAGCACCTGGGCCCAACAGCAGCGGCCATGTTGAAATAGGAACAATTAGGGCCAACCTCTTGGATGTCCCATAGTCAATCTTATGGACAAACTTGACTAAGGAAAGAGAAATTCATTATGACTAGAAGAGTAGAAAGTTATTAGTTCCCAGACAATTAGCAACAAATCAGTAGGTAGCTTATTGACTATCTTAGTGGTGAGCCACTGTCTGATATTAATAATTCGTAAGATGCTTAAGAATATCCTTCTTTTTTTTATTTTTTATATTTTTGAGACAGGGTCTCCCTCTGTTGCCCAGGCTGAAGTTCAGTGGCACGATTATAGCTCACTCACAGTCTCGACCTCCTGGGCTCAAGCAATCTTCCTGCCTCAGTCTGCCGAGTAGTGAGACTACAAGCATATACCACCATGCCCGGCTAATTTTTTAAAAAACTTTTTTTTTTAGAGACAGGGTCTTCCTATGTTGTCCAGGCCGGTCACAAACTCGTGGCTCAAGTGATTGTCCTGCTTTGGCCTCCTGAAGTGCTGGGATGACAGCCATCAGCTACCATGCCCTCCCAGAACATTCTTGATGAAGCACGGGAAGTTGAAAAAATAAGTCCCAGCCTAGCCCCAGTGTTTCTGACCAACCACTCCAGGGTAGGCTCTTTCTATTAGGCAGTTATCGTCCCTTCAGTTGACTCCCCTGTGAGCCAATATGTGAAGTCAGAGCTCTTACAATGTTTTCTCCAAGCCACTGAGTTGCCAACTTCTGTGCGTCCTCACACAGGGGGCTGTGAGGGAGATCTGAGAGGCTGAGCGATAGACCACATTCAATATCACGTCTGCTGTCCAGGATTTGTGGGATTTGTGGAAACTTAGATCAATTATTTAGGTTTTCAAGCTTCATTTTTTATCACCTATACACTGAAATTAATAACACTTACCTGATACGGTAATGAAGAGGACTAAATGAGCTAATATGTGTAAAGTGCCCAGCAAAGAGTCTGGCCCATGCTTAGCACTCAGAAGTTCTCTGACAAGGATGGGCGAGGTGATGTCCTGTACCAGAACACTGCAGGGAACAAAGCACCAAGAATCCAAGAGGGATATGCCTCCTATGACTCCTGAGTGTTAGACACCAGGGCCTTTCAGCATTCCAAGAGAGGAAAAAATCATCCCATCTGATTAGAATGTTTTGGAAAAGTATCAGGAAGGAGGTAGCATTTGAAATGGACTTTGATTGCTCATGCAGTAATGAGGGGAAGGTCATTCCAGGCAGAGGAAACAGTAGGAGCAAAGTCAAGGAGGTGGGGATGCACTGTGATTTGGGGAAAGTGGGGTAGTCCATATAGTCTGGAAAAAAAAGTTTTCTAATGTAGGGAGATAAATACAAGACTGAATGGCCAGACTAAAATCAAACCGTGGAGGATCTTAAATGTTGAGTTAATACATTTGAGCACCATTCAGAAAGCAACAGGGAGCTAGCTGTTCACAGTCTTTTAACAGAGGAGTTAAAACAGAGGACACCATCGTAGACATAAATGCTATAGTAATAGGTCCTTATTTTCATTAATTTTCCAACTAGGCTTAGAGCAAGGATTTCTCAGTTTAGGACGGAAGCTAGAAGGTGATACTTACAAGGTAGTTATGGCAAGAATCACCAGAAACAATAAGATAAGGATCCTATCAATTAATATTTGTAGTACAACAAACCATCTCAAAATTTAATGGCTTAAAACAACCATTTACTTAGCTCTAGGGGTCAGTACTTTGAGCTGGGCTTAGCTGGGTCTGGAGTCAGCTGCCAAGTCAGCTGGATTTATTGTTGACCAGGGCACCATGGGTCTCGTCCAAGTGGCTTCTCATCTTCCAGTAGGCTAGGCTGGACTTACTCACTTGGAGAAAGCAGGGATTCTAGGAGAGTGAGTTGTGGTGTGCAAAGTGGCTTCTTGAAATCCAGGCTTGAGACTGGCATGTCATAACTCCTGCCACTTGCTGTTTGTCAAAGCAACTCACGGGGTCAACCCACATTTAAGGGGTAGAGGAAGAGACTAATTTCTTGGCAAGTGAACCTGCAAAGTCACATTGCACATCTACCATAAAGAAAGAGTTCTAATATGTAGCCATTTTTTGTAATCTACAACATGACTATTGGGATTTAACAAATATAAGGACACCCTGTATAGTTACATCCATTCCTGGTTACATATTCAAGCAAATAGCAATAGTGAATCCCAACAGACCATAAACATGGGGCATTCAGAAATCCTAATGTGAGTCTATTGCAGTAAGTTCTAAAGAGGAGTAAAGGGCTTATGGCTCACTGGCCAGATGTAACCAAATGTGTTTGTGACTTCTTACTCAGGACAAAAAAGCAAAATTTAATGGGCTATGAAGGAAGAATTGATCCATGAAGCAATTTGGTAGCAACTGCCGACAGCTTACCGAGAATTAAAGTAATAACAGAAAACTGTCTGAAATGGTTCAAGAGAATAACCTCCAACACTGAAAGTGAAATCATTCAGCGAGGAATAAAGATAAAGAGCCAGCATGGTAGTGCTGAGGCTGAAAATTCAAAAGAAAATTTCAGGGACTCTTGATTCTCATCCTTTTTCTTTCTCCTTGTTTTATTTTTTTAATGCATGAAAAAAAAATCAGACGCATCATCGCCAAACTCAGCATGCAATTAAAATGGCAGTCAGGACCAGCCATAATTTTGCCAAATCGATTTCTCGTAATGATGTTTGCAACCCCTCTGAGGTTTGGAAGTGAAGTCTGCCCAGCTTATCCATTTCTTTTTCCTCACAAGCATGTGCACACTGAGATTGGTATTGCTGGACTGCTCATGAATGCTAAGGGCCAGACATTGATTTCCGTTTTGGAGCGGGTGTGGGAGAAAGCATTTCAGTCAATGAGTTGGTGGTCTCCATCCAGTTCCCTAGCATACTAGTACCCCTAGCCGCACTGTGCCATGACAATGGGACCCTTTGTTGACAGTCTTGGCACAAGCACTAAGGATTAACTGGGCATGCTGCCTCCGCATCTCTCAGCTGCAGCTCTGCTCAGTTCAGAACACAGCTCAGGACCAGGAGACAGCCTGAGAAGGCTTCATTTGTTACTGCCCATGGCTCACCAATGCTGGGGACAATCTGTTGTTTGAAAGTTGTACACTGGGTTTTTTATTTCAGACATAAGCTACACATGGCTCTTCTCACTTATGATGAAGGCAGTTAGCTCCATTATTTTCTTGCCAAGAGATATTCACAGTCCAGAGCATATACAGGAACACACTTTGTTGGGTGACCCACAGCCAAGAAGCGAGTCTCTTTATGCCATGGCATTTCCCTGTAAAGTGTGCAGTATGGAAGTTTAAAACAAGTTTTTGCAGTATGACAGCAATGGCATAGATGATTACAAAGTAAAATTTAGTGTATCTAGGAATGTTCTTGGCTGGGCTCACCCTTCTAAGATATCAAACTGTAAATACAGACTTTAAAGAGATTTTAAAGTAGAGTAGACATCTGTTTGTGTGGGTGGGAGAGGGTGTTTTGCTTTGTTGTTGATTGTTTATTCTGCCTGTTTAGCATACCTTCCTTTTTTCTTGTAAACACCCCAGGATACTTCTGAGAATTACCCATCACCACCACTTCATCATACACAGACCCTTAATTTATTTAGGTGAGGTTGACCCAATCCTCTCAGCTCCATGGTTGAACATATGACTCAAGAATGACCAACTGGACTATTCGAACAACCAATTGGGTAATCAAACTCAGTGATTATTTCACAAGTGAGCCCTTGACTCAAACCAAGACAATCTGAGTCCATTGCAAGATTTTGCTGGTACTCTTGAAAAAGAGGCATTATCATTTCACTGAGTTAGCTAAAGAAGTAAGGTGTAAGTTTGGGACTGCTGCTTGGAGCAATTTAACCAAATTTAAACAAAAAGAGAGCAGCCGAAGGAGATGAAGAGGAATCAATTCCAGATGTCATATTTTGAGTCTCTGGATCCAGCCATGCCTAAAGCTAAATCTATTGCTTGACTTTTAAATTATGTAAACCAATAAATCTCCCCTTATTTAAACTAGTTTGAGGTGCATCTTTGTCCCTTGAAATTGAAAGTGCCTTCATCCATTTCTAAGATTCTCTACTTTGTGATCATCCTTTGGGTCAAGTGAATGTAGAAGCCACTGGAGGTGATGTTTTCTCATAAGTATTCAGAGATAGAGACTAGCAACACAATGGGTGAATCACTCTTTTATTTCCCCCTTATAGGAATGAATGACTTTTTAATGTTCAGAAATATTTTCTCCTAATATGAATCAAGCTCATTTTCTCTTAGATAGCCATGGAGAAATTCCATGTCCTCCTTCCACAAATCTTCATCTAAAGGAAGACAAAATTTAAGTTGTCCCTTTAGTCTGTCTTTTGAGATTTTTTTTCCTTTGGTCATTCTGTTTCTCTTTGTTGGCTTAGATATTGTCTTGGTTAGTTTTTTGAAGTAGAGCGATGCTAATCTGATTAGGTAACTTCCCCATTTAAATCTCTTAATTGGCTCCCCACTTACCTTAATATAATGCCCACCTTCTTTCCATGGGATATAAATAGTACCTCCATTTCTAGCATCTAATTGGCTGGCTAAGTCCCATTTTACTCTCTTGTACCCAGGGCTCAGAACATTCCACTTCACTAACATTTGTTCCTTTTTTGAGGCTTGTATCTGAGGTAAGCAGGGTCTCAGGGACAATATGAGTCAGTGCCATCTTGGCAGCTCTCACAATCCTGGGAAGAAGTATTACAGTAGCCAGCAGGAGAGATTTGCTTGTTAGGCCTCCCTCCTGGAATCAGGTGCTAGCTCTGAGGCCCAGGAAAACACCATAGGTATAACTCCCAGAACTCCTTGAGGCATCATATGGATCCCTAGCTACTGGTTTGGATAGTACTCTTTGAAACAGAGAAATGGGGACCTTGGGAACCTTAAAGAAGGTGTTTCCAGTCACTGGAATTCACACAGGACAAGTAAGAGAGAAGTATTTAGCACATCAAAGTGTGAGGGTGGGAGCATACAATTTTCACCCATTATATCATCTGTGCCCAACTGAGAGCTTGGAACAGGTAAAAGGTGCATAGTAAATATTTGCAAATGGAACCAGATATTTTAGTAAGGGTCTGACAGATGATGCTAGAAGTATTAATTCTGATTTCTTCCACCTCACAGTTATTTAACAGGACCCATAATAATGGTAGCTTTCTCACAACAGCACAACATTATTGATTCATATAGTTTGTGGCCAGTTGGTATCCTTAATAAGCCTGTGGCTAATCAAGCAGATGTTTTGTCTGTGCAAAAAAGAAGGAAGGAAGGAAGGCAGGCAGGCAGGCAGGCAGGCAGGAAGGAAGGAAGGAAGGAAAAAAGGAAGAAGGGAAGGAGGGAGGGAGGAAGGAAGGAAAAGAAAAAAAGAAAGAGAAAAAGAGAAGGAAGAAAGAAGAAGGAAGGAGGAAAAGAAAGAAAGAAAGAGAAAGAAAGAACGAAAGAAAGAAAGAAAGAAAGAAAGAAAGAAAGAAAGAAAGAAAGAGAACGGGAAATAGAGAAAGAAAGAACGAGAAAGAGAGAAAGAAAGAAGGAAGGGAGGAAGGAAGGATCCAGATATTAAAATATTGAGGTGCTAATTGTTTTTTCTTTCAGTTTCGAATACATGTGAAAAGGATGTAGCTTTGCCTCACCTGCTCTACTGTATTCCAATTATGCTGTTGGACGAATCTGGGCTAATTTATGATAATAATTCTAACCCAGTGAGTCCAGTATGAATCACACCGATGAATCATATCGTTTCTCCAGGCACAATTATGTCTTACAAATACATCTTCCAGAACAAAATTTTAAAGGTGGTGCATGTATGATCATTTTACTTTACTTTCTCTCTTGGACTTCATTAAATCAACAGAGAATCAAAATGGCACCCAAAAAACTGGAAAAAAGATCATACTCAAGGCAGAAAAACAAACATGAAACCCTCTAGAACCATAAATCATATCTACTAAATATTGTGAAACATTGAAAATTTATCTATAAGAACAGAAATTATGAGCTAAATACGTATCCTCAGACCACTTTCAGCAAAAAGATCTCCCTAAAATAAGGGATGGTTTTATAAAGGCCTACTGAATAATTAAAGATAAGATAAAAGTTTGTCAAAATTCGAGGATAAGACTTTTAAAAAATTTTAAGTGTACAATGTAATAAATTTTGACATAACATAAACACATAAACCACTGCATGAATCAAAATTTGAACATACCCATCACCCCCCAAATTTTCCTGTGTTCCTTTGTAATCCTTACCTCCTGTCTCTCTTCACCACCCCATTCCCAGGGCAACAACTGATTTGCTTTCTATCATTATTGATTCATTTGTAATTTCTATAATTCTAGAATATAAGTGGCATCATACAGCATGCACTCAGTTGTGGACTGGTTTCTTTCACTTAGCACAATCACATTGAGATTAATCCAACTTATTGTGTACATGAATAGTTTATTTCTTTTTATTATCCCATGATTTGTATATACCATAATGTGTTTATCCATTCACCTATTAATGAACATGTGTGTTGCTGCCAAATACTGCTTTCACCAAAAAAGCTGCTGTAAACATTTGAATATAAATATTTTATGGATATATGCTTACATTTCTCTTGAGTAAGAACATAGGAGTGGAATGACTGGTTAAATGGTAGATGTATGTTTAATTATTTTAAGAAACTGCCAAATTGTTTTCCAACATAGTTGTTCCATTTTAAATAAGAATTCCAGTTGATTCACGTTCTTGCCAACACTTGTCAGAGTTAGTCTTTTTAATGTCAGCTATTCTAATAGTTGTGCAGGGGTATCACACTGTGGTTTTAATTTTCAGTTTTCTAATTACTATTTATGTTGAGAATCTTTCATATGCTTATTTGTCATTCATAAATATTCCTAGGTGAAGTGTCTCTTAAAATCTTTGGCCCAGTTTTTAATTGGGTTGTTCACTTTCTTATTATTGAGTTTTGAGTATTTTTAATCTATTCTGGACACAAGCCTTTTATCAGATATGTGATTTGCAAATATTCTTTTCCAGTCAGTGGTTTGTCTTTTCAGTTTTATGAAAAGTTCTTAATTTTGATGGAATCTTGTATATCATTTTTCTCATGTGTTTGTTGTCATATCTAAGAAATCTTTGCCTAACCAAGGTAACAAAGATTTGATTCTATGTTTTTTTCTAGAAGTTTTATAGTTTTAGGTTTTCAGTTTAGGTCTATATTCCAGTTTGGAGAACATTTTTGCATTTGGTGTGAGGAATAGATTGAAGTTCATTCCTTACATATGCATGTCCCATTGTCCCAGCACCATTTGTTGAAAAGCCTGTTCTTTCTCTGCTAAATTGCCTTTTGTCAAAAAACAACTGACCATATATTTGGGTCTATTTCTGAATTCTCAAATCTGTTCCATTGATCTATTTGTCTACATTTATGCCAATATTATATTATCTTGATTTCTGTAGCTTTATAGTAAGTTTGAAATCATGTAGCACAAATTAAACAATTTTATTATACTTTAAAAAAGTTATTGTAGGCCCTTTACATTTTTATCTAAATTTCAGAATTAATTTACCAATTTTTATTTTTTAAAAGGCCTGCTTGGGTTTTTATCAGAACTGTATTGAATCTATAGAACTTTACATCTTAGTAAAGTTAAATCTTCCAACCCATGAATATAGTGTATTTTTCAATTTATGTAGTTCTCCTTTAGTTCCCTTCAGCAAAATTCAGTTTCCATTATATAGGCATTGTGTATCCTTTTCACTTTTTTTTTTTTTTAAAGACACGGGGTCTTGCTATGTTGCCCAGGCTGGTCTTAAACTACTGGGTGCAAGCAATCCCTCTTCCTTGACCTCCCAAAGTGCTGCGATTACAGGCCTAAGCCACCACGCCCAGCTTTGTGCATCTTTTTCAGTTGTTTCTGTAAGTACTAAATTTTTTTGGTGTTTTGGAAAATGGCATGTTTTAAAATTTTAAACATTAATATTATATTGGGATGCAGTTGGTTTGGTATATTGATCTTGTATCCTAAAAACTCGCTAAATTTCTCTATTAATTTTAGTAGTTTTTATTAAAGACTCTGTGGGGTTATACTATTCCATAAGATTATGGAAGGCAAAACCTCCTATTTGTTTTTCTTGCATTGATTAGAATCTCAATAGCAATGTTGAATAGAAGTGGTGAGAGCAGATATCTTGGGCTTATTCCTGATCTTGGTGAAAAGCATGTGGTGTTTCACCCTTAAGTTTGGTGTTAGCTATAAGTTTTCCATAGATGTCTTTTATCAGATTGAGAAAGTTCCCCTCTAGTTCTACTTTGCCGAAATTTGTATTCAGAATGCATGTGGGATTTTATGTAATGCTTTACCTGTATAAATTGATATGCCATATGACTTTTATTTTTTGTCTATTAGTGTGATGAATTACATTTATTAATTTTGAATATTAAATCAATCTTGGATTGCTACATTAAACTCCACTGGTTGGATTCAGTTCGTTAAAGTTTTGTTAAGAATTTTTGTATCTATCTTCATAGGATATATTACTTTTTGGTTTCGTTTTTCTTTTTTTTTTTGGTAATGTTTTTCTGGTTTGGTGTCAGAGTAATAGCCTCATAAAATGGATTTGGAATATGCTATCTTCTTCAACTTTAAGGAACAGTTCATATAGTATTGGTATTATTTATTCCTTAAATATTTGATACTAAGAGTAAGTAAAATCCTCTAGGCCTGGAGTTTTCTTTGTGAGAAAATTTTCTCTTTGAATTCAATTGCTTTGAATTGACTTGGGCTATGAGGTCAGCTGTGGTTACAGTTTACTTCCAGCTGATATTATATCACTTTAAATATATTATAGAAACTTCTCAACAGTGTACTTCCATTTCTCCTCTGCTAGTCTTTGTGTTATCGTTGTCATAAATTTTACTTCTGCATATGTTTTAAGTTTCATAATACCCTGTTATTATTTTTGTATTAACCAGTCAATTACCTTTTTAAAAGATTAAAACAGTAAGGAAAGAAATCTGTCATTGAGTATCTGTTCACTTTTTTTTTCAGTCTTTTTTCTCTGTGCATAAGTTTGGCTAATTTCTTTTGCTGTTTTCAAGTTCTCTAATCATTTTTTTGCAATGTCTAATATGCCGTTGATCATATCCAGTGTATTTTTCGTCTCAGACAATGCAGTTTTCATTTTTTAAAGATTGAATTGGCTCTTTTAAAACTGTCTTCCTCTATATAACATGCTAAATCATTCCTCTATCTTCTTGAACATACAGAATACTTTTTAAATAACTATTTTAATGAACTTACTTATTTCATCTGTGTTTCATATAGGTGGGTTTCAATTGATTTATTTTAAATTCTATCATCTGTATCATTTGTAGCTGGGTTTCCGTCACCTAATTTTTCTTCTCATTATGGACTGTATTTTCCTGATTCTTTTTGTGACTAATACATTTTATTGAATTCTAGACTTTTTAATTTTACCTTGCCAGGTGTTGTACTTTTTTGCATATCTATAAAAATTCTTGAGCTTTGTTCTGAATCGTGGCTAAGTTGTTTGAAAATAGTTTTTGATCCTTTTGGGTATCATTTTTAACCTTTATTAGTCTTCATTCAGAGCACAGTTTAGGATTTTTTTTTTCCTATTACTGAGCAAAACCCTTTTGAGAAATCTATCCAGTGCCTAATGAATTATGAAGATTTTCAATATTTCATCCATAGCTGGACGATCAGGACAGGAACTGTTCTTAACCCTCAGAGATCTTCCAGGTGTGTTGCTTCTGACTTTTTGGGAGGGTTTTTCCTTACACAAGTGCTGATCAGTAGTACTCAGCTGAAGACTGAGATGAACCTTGCTGATCTGCTGATCTCTCGACTTTGTTCTCTTTCTCTCTCTCTCTCTCTCTCTCTCTCTCTCTCCCCCTGCACTCTGTCCTGTGAGCTCTAGCCACTTTGGGCTCACTGTGTCCCCAGCTTCTTCTGTTCATTTCAAGGAGACTGCCAGGCTCTGCTAAGACTCTGTCTAAGCAGTGACCTAAAATCTCTCTCTGAGCAGTTACCTGGGGCAATCTCAAGGCTCACTTTATTTGTTTCATGGCGTCAGTCTCATTTGTTGTCTGATGTCCAATATCTTGAAAACCACTGTTTCACATATTTTGTCTGTATTTTGTTTGTTTGTGCTTTTAGGCAGAAGAGGAAGACTGGTCCTCATTATTTCATCTTAGCCAAAAACAGAAGCTGGACGTAAGAATTTAAAAGAAGTCAAGTTTTCCTTTAAAATTTCAAGCAGGCAAAATTTCAGTAAATTATAGGATTTCTTCCCAAATCTTTTTTGAAAAAAATATGCTTATTACTACATTTGGCCTCTGAAAATTTCTTAAAATAAACAATTCATAGGTGAAGAAATCATGATAAAAGGTGTTGTGGTGAGCTCTGACTGCTTAAATTCATAAATTAAGGTTTTAAAGCATGGGGAACAATATTATAGAATCAAACATGATTATTATAACTGTTGGCAACCTGCTGTAATAATAAATTAAGTAAAAATTAGGGGTTGGGATAGGAAAGAGGAGAAGAAAGACATATTTGTCTTGTTTTTAATAGCAGTGGGTCAATAATGATGTTTAAAATTGAAACCTGTAATTGGAAAAACAGAACAAAACAAAAATTTTAACTGCCTACTATTTTTCCTGATCCTTTCTTTTTTTAATTTTTGATTTTTTTAAGAAAATAAGGAGGGTGGAGCCAAGATGGCCAAATAGGAACAGCTCCAGTCTACAGCTCCCAGAGTGAGCGACGCAGAAGACAGGTGATTTCTGCATTTCCAACTGAGGTACCAGGTTCATCTCAATAGGGAGTGCCAGACAGTGGGTGCAGGACAGTGGGTGCTTTGCGTGAGCTGAAGCAGGACAAGGCATTGCCTCACCCAGGAAGTGCAAGGGGTCAGGGAATTCCCTTTCCTAGTCAAAGAAAGGGGTGACAGACGGCACCTGGAAAATCGAGTCACTCCCACCCTAATACTGCACTTTTCCAACTGGCTTAACAAATGGCACACCAGGAGATAATACCCCGCACCTGGCTCAGAGGGTCCTACGCCCACGGAGCCTCGCTGATTGCTAGCACAGCAGTCTGAGATCAAACTGCAAGGCAGCATCGAGACTGGGGGAGGGGCGCCCGCCATTGCCAAGGCTTGAGTAGGTAAACAAAGCAGCCGGGAAGCTCCAACTGCGTGGAGCCCACCACAGCTCAAGGAGGTCTGCCTGCCTCTGTAGGCTCCACCTCTGGGGGCAGGGCACAGACAAACAAAAGGCAGCAGTAACATCTGCAGACTTAATTGTCCCTGTCTGACAGCTTTGAAGAGAGTAGTGGTTTTCCCAGCATGCAGCTTGATATCTGAGAATGGGCAGACTGCCTCCTCAAGTGGGTCCCTGACCCCCGAGTAGCCTAACTGGGAGGCACCCCCCAGTAGGCACGGACTGACACCTCACACAGCTGGGTACTCCTCTGAGATGAAACTTCCAGAGGAACGATCAGGCAGCAGCATTTGCAGTTCACCAATATCCGCTGTTCTGCAGCCACTGCTGCTGACACCCAGGCAAACAGGGTCTGGAGTGGACCTCCAGCAAACTCCGACAGACCTGCAGCTGAGGGTCCTGACTGTTAGAAGGAAAACTAACAAACAGAAAGGACATCCACACCAAAAACCCATCTGTACATCACCATCATCAAAGACCAAAGGTAGATAAAACCACAAAGATAGGGAAAAAACAGAGCATAAAAACTGGAAACTCTAAAAATCAGAGCGCTTCTCCTCCTCCAAAGGAACGCAGCTCCTCACCAGCAACGGAACAAAGCTGGAAGGAGAATGACTTTGACGAGTTGAGAGAAGAAGGCTTCAGAAGATCAAACTACTCCGAGCTAAAGGAGGAAGTTCGAACCAATGGCAAAGAAGTGAAAACCTTGAAAAAAAGTTAGACGAATGGCTAACTAGAATAACCAATGCAGAGAAGTCCTTAAAGTACCTGATGGAGCTGAAAACCAAGGCACGAGAACTATGTGACGAATGCAAAAGTCTCAGTAGCTGATGCGATCAACTGGAAGAAAGGGTATCAGCAATGGAAGATGAAATGAATGAAATGAAGTGAGAAGAGAAGTTTAGAGAAAAAAGAATAAAAAGAAATGAACAAAGCCTCCAAGAAATATGGGACTATGTGAAAAGACCAAATCTACGTCTGATTGGTGTACCTGAAAGTGAGGGGGAGAATGGAACCAAGTTGGAAAACACTCTGCAGGATATTATCTAGGAGAACTTCCCCAACCTAGCAAGGCAGGCCAGCATTCAAATTCAGGAAATACAGAGAACGCCACAAAGATACTCCTTGAGAAGAGCAACTCCAAGACACATAATTGTCAGATTCACCAAAGTTGAAATGAAAGAAAAAATGTTAAGGGCAGCAAGAGAGAAAGGTTGGGTTACCCACAAAGGGAAGCCCATCAGACTAACAGCTGATCTCTCCGCAGAAACTCTACAAGTCAGAAGAGAGTGGGGGCCAATATTCAACATTCTTAAAGAAAAGAATTTTCAACCCAGAATTTCATATCCAGCCAAACTAAGCTTCATAAGTGAAGGAGAAATAAAATACTTTACAAACAAGCAAATGCCGAGAGATTTTGTCACCTCCCGGCCTGCCCTAAAAGAGTTCCTGAAGGAAGCACCAAACAGGGAAAGGAACAACCGGTACCAACCACTGTAAAAACAAGCCAAATTGTAAAGACCATCAAGGCTAGGAAGAAACTGCATCAACTAACGAGCAAAATCACCAGCTAACATCATAATGACAGGATCAAATTCAAACATAACGATATTAATCTTAAATGTAAATGGGCTAAATGCTCCAATTAAAAGACACAGACTGGCAAATTGGACAAAGAGTCAAGACCCATCAGTGTGCTGTATTGAGGAAACCCATCTCACGTGCAGAGGCACACATGGGCTCAAAATAGACGGATGGAGGAAGGTCTATCAAGCAAATGGAAAACAAAAAAAGGCAGGGGTTGCAATCCTAGTCTCAGATAAAACAGACTTTAAACCAACAAAGATCAAAAGAGATAAAGAAGGCCATTACATAATGATAAAGGGATCAATTCAACGAGAAGAGCTAACTATCCTAAATATATATGCACCCAATACAGGAGCACCCAGATTCATAAAGCAAGTGCTTAGTGACCTACAAAGAGACTTAGACTCCCACACAATAATAATGGGAGACTTTAACACCCCACTGTCAACATTAGACAGATCAACGAGACAGAAAGTTAACAAGGATATCCAGGACTTGAACTCAGTTCTGCACCAAGCAGACCTAATAGACATCTACAGAACTCTCCACCCCAAATCAACAGAATATACATTCTTTACAGCACCACACCACACCTATTCCAAAATTGACCACATAGTTGGAAGTAAAGCACTCCTCAGCAAATGTAAAAGAACAGAAATTATAACAAGCTGTCTCTCAGACCACAGTGCAATCAAACTAGAACTCAGGATTAAGAATCTCACTCAAAACTGCTCAACTACATGGAAACTGAACAACCTGCTCCTGAATGACTACTGGGTACATAACGAAATAAAGGCAGAAATAAAGATGTTCTTTGAAACCAATGAGAACAAAGACACAACATACCAGAATCTCTGGGACACACTCAAAGCAGTGTGTAGAGGGAAATTTATAGCACTAAATGCCCACAAGAGAAAGCAGGAAAGATCTAAAATTGACACCCTAATATCACAATTAAAAGAACTAGAGAAGCAAGAGCAAACACATTCAAAAGCTAGCAGAAGGCAAGAAATAACTAAGATCAGAGCAGAACTGAAGGAAATAGAGACACAAAAAACCCTTCAAAACATCAATGAGTCCAGGAGCTGGTTTTTTGAAAGGATCAACAAAATTGATAGACCGCTAGCAAGACTAATAAAGAGGAAAAGAGAGAAGAATCAAATAGACGCAATAAAAAATGACAAAGGGGATATCAACACTGATCCCACAGAAATACAAAGTACCATCAGAGAATACTATAAACACCTCTACGCAAATAAACTAGAAAATCTAGAAGAAATGGATAAATTCTTCGACACATACAAGTTCCCAAGACTAAACCAGGAAGAAGTTGAATCTCTGAATAGGCCAATAACAGGCTCTGAAATTGAGGCAATAATTAATAGCTTACCAACCAAAAAGAGTCCAGGACCAGATGGATTCACAGCCGAATTCAACCAGAGGTACAAGGAGGAGCTGGTACCATTCCTTCTGAAACTATTCCAATCAATAGAAAAAGAGGGAATCCTCCCTAACTCATTTTATGAGGCCAGCATCATCCTGATACCAAAGCCTGGCAGAGATGCAACAAAAAAAGAGAATTTTAGACCAATATCCTTGATGAACATTGATGCAAAAATCCTCAATAAAATACTGGCAAACTGAATCTAGCAGCACATCAAAAACTTATCCACCATGATCAAGTGGGCTTCATCCCTGGGATGCAAGGCTGGTTCAACATACGCAAATCAATAAACGTAATCCAGCATATAAACAGAACCAAAGACAAAAAGCACATGATTATCTCAATAGATGCAGAAAAGGCCTTTGACAAAATTCAACAACTCTTCATTCTAAAAACTCTCAATAAATTAGGTATTGATGGGACGTAACTCAAAATAATAAGATCTATCTATGACAAACCCACAGCCACTATCATACTGAATGGACAAAAACTGGAAGCATTCCCTTTGAAAACTGGCATAAGACAGGGATGCCCTGTCTCACCACTCCTATTCTACGTAGTGTTGGAAGTTCTGGCCAGGGCAATCAGGCAGGAGAAGGAAACAAAGGGCATTCAATTAGGAAAAGAGGAAGTCAAATTGTCCCTGTTTGCAGATGACATGATTGTATATCTAGAAAACCCCATCATCTCAGCCCAAAATCTCCTTAAGCTGATAAGCAACTTCAGCAAAGTCTCAGGATACAAAATCAATGTGCAAAAATTACAAGCATTCTTATATACCAATAACAGACAAACAGAGAGCCAAATCATGAGTGAACTCCCATTCACAATTGCTTCAAAGAGAATAAAATAGCTAGGAATCCAACTTACAAGGGATTTGAAGGACCTCTTCAAGGATAACTACAAACCACTGCTCAATGAAATAAAAGAGGGTACAAACAAATGGAAGAACATTCCATGCTCATGGGTAGGAAGAATCAATATCGTGAAAATGGCCATACTGCCCAAGGTAATTTATAGATTCAATGCCATCCCCATCAATCTACCAATGCCTTTCTTCACAGAATTGGAAAAAACCACTTTAAAGTTCATATGGAACCAAAAAAGAGCCCGCATTGCCAAGTCAATCCTAAGCCAAAAGAACAAAGAACAAACTGGAGGCATCATGCTACCTGACTTCAAAATATGCTACAAGGCTAAAGTAACCAAAACAGCATGGTACTGGTACCAAAACAGAGATACAGACCAATGGAACAGAACAGAGCCCTCAGAAATAATGCCACATATCTACAACTACCTGATCTTTGACAAACCTGACAAAAACAAGCAATGGGGAAAGGATTCCCTATTTAATAAATGGTGCTGGGAAAACTGGCTAGCCATATGTAGAAAGCTGAAACTGGATCCCTTCCTTACACCTTATACAAAAATTAACTCAAGATGGATTTAAGACTTAAATGTTAGACCTAAAACCATAAAAACCCTAGAAGAAAACCTAGGCAATACCATTCAGGACATAGGCATGAGCAAGGACTTCATGTCTAAAACACCAAACGCAATGGCAACAAAAGCCAAAATTGACAAATGGGATCTAATTAAACTCAAGAGCTTCTGCACAGCAAAAGAAACTGCCTTCGGAGTGAACAGGCAACCTACAGAATGGGAGAAAATTTTTGCAACCTACTCATCTGACAAAGGGCCAATATCCAGAATCTACAATGAACTCAAACAAATTGATAAGAAAAAAACAAACAACCCCATCAAAAAGTGGGCAAGGATATGAACAGACGCTTCTCAAAAGAAGACATTTATGCAGCCAAAAAACACATGAAAAAATGCTCATCATCACTGGCCATCAGAGAAATGCAAATCAAAACCACAATGAGATACCATCTCACACCAGTTAGAACGGCGATTATTCAAAAGTCAGGACACAACAGGTGCTGGAGAGGATGTGGAGAAATAGGAACACTTTTACACTGTTGGTGGGACTGTAAACTGGTTCAACCATTGTGGAAGTCAGTGTGGCGATTCCTCAGGGATCTAGAACTAGAAATACAATTTGACCCAGCCATCCCATTACTGGGTATATACCCAAAGGATTATAAATCATGCTGCTATAAAGACACATGCACACGTATGTTTATTGCGGCACTGTTCACAATAGCAAAGACTTGGAACCGACCCAAATGTCCAACAATGATAGACTGAATTAAAGAAATGTGGCACATATACACATGGAATACTATGCAGCCATAAAAAAATGATGAGTTCATGTTCTTTGTAGGGACATGGATGAAGCTGGAAACCATCATTCTCAGCAAACTATTGCAAGGACAAAAAACCAAACACCGCATGTTCTCACTCATAGGTGGGAATTGAACAATGAGAACACATGGACACAGGAAGGGGAACATCACACACCAGGGACTGTTGTAGGGTGGGGGGAGGGGGGAGGGATAGCATTAGGAGATATACCTAATGCTAAATGACGAGTTAATGGGTGCAGCACACCAACATGGCACATGTATACATATGTAACAAACCTGCACGTTGTGCACATGTACCCTAAAACTTAAAGTATAATAATAATAAAATTTAAAAAAAAAGAAAATAAGGGGTGTGTGTGTGTGTGTGTGTGTGTGTGTGATTCAGCAATTCTTTTGCATGTATTCAGTTTTTTCTTCCTTTTAATACAGCCAAATGAACACAAAAGCTTTCCTTTTTTTTCTGAAAACCCATGAGTATCAGAATAAAAGAATTTAAAAAGGTATAAACTCATCATAATAAAGAAAACAGAAAAGGAAATTATAAGCAGATAATAGATTTCAACAATTTCTGGAAGAGAGAAAGAAGGGTGCTCGCTGATTAAGAAAAGATTTAAAAGCTGCAGCCTAAATATACCTGTCTCCTGGGCAGGAAGCAGGGGCTAAAGTGGAGAGTATTAGAGAATTATAGGGAGGATCTTGATTAAGAAATCATAAAGCAAGTGAATGGCAGCCATAAAATTGGGTTGAACACAGGCAACGGATTTAAGGTACATGCATAGGTCAATTGATTCCCTCATCCCCTTACCCCCAATTAAAAAAACAGAGGGTAAGTATTTAGCCCTTTAGGAGACTGTACTATTATTACAGATATTTTTGTTCCTTTTTTTTTTTTTTGTGGTACACATGCCTATCCAAGAGTTAAATAGCCTTGTCCTGTTGTACTTGCTCAAGGTCATGTGATTTCTTTGGCAACAAATACTAGCAGAAATGATGTGTTTCACTTTCAAGCAGAAGTGTTAAGGGCCAGCACATGGTTCACCATGTGTCTGTTCCCTTTGCCACAACACTGCCAGTATCTTTGAGAGGAGCTATTTTTGTTAGCCTAGGTCAGGTAATAAAGCAAGAGGAAGCAGAACATAAGCCAATGCATGGTAGACTTGTGATAATCTTTGTTATTGTAAACCATTGGGATTTGGAGGGTTGTTTGTTACTATAGCATTGCTTAGCCGAAACTAATACAAACTCCAGTACAAAACAAGGAAAGAATGCCCCCCTGCCCCGACGCACACATACACACACACATAAGGTTCTCCTTCAAAGAACAAACTGGAGAGAATTAAAATAGCTATTGTGGCTGTCATTGCTACAGAGGAAAAGCACTCATCATTCTCACCATTCTTGAACTTGGGAGGCCCTTATATAATAACCGTTGCCTTGTGCACTCACACTGAGGAAGAGCCTTCCTGCCAATTTTCTAGCTGTATACACAGTTCTTCCAGTCAACATTCATCTTTCTTCATTCTTAACCTTGTAAATAGACAAGTAAGGTTCATTATTCATTTAGGGAAAGTCCCAGTCTGAAGTGATGGAATAATATAGTCCAAAAAATATGAGGCCAGGGGAAATAGGGATTATTCAGAAAACAGACAGAAACAGAAAGAAAGGAAGAAAGGGGAGAGAAGGAAGACAGAAACAGGAGAAAATAGTAGAGAAATAAAGACAAATAAAGAATATTCTCTTTATTTTCCAGGAAAGTTAGAAAGATATTTTATCAATAATACAAATACAGGATGGTGTAACAGAGCTCTAGTTTTCCTCCCTAAATACATTTCTACCCTTCTTCCTGATGGCATGCAGCTAGACTATTTTTCATGTTCCTTCACAGTTAGTTGTAACATGTGACAGTTCTACTCTATTTAATGTGAAACGAAGCAATGCATGCAACTATTGTCCCAGAACTTCTTTTTTCCTTTCCGTGTGAATGTGGCTGTGACACAGCTTTGGCCATGCAAAAGAGAGTGACACCTTAAGGGATGACATGGTGGAAGATGGAGGGAACTTGGGCTCCTGACGGCTTCGGGAAGCACAATCACCCCATCCATCTCATGTCAGTTACACAAGAA
Source organism: Homo sapiens (assembly GCF_000001405.40). Taxonomy (NCBI): domain Eukaryota; kingdom Metazoa; phylum Chordata; class Mammalia; order Primates; family Hominidae; genus Homo; species Homo sapiens. Next base: position 97,601,421 of record NC_000012.12, on the reverse strand, counting down.
TGAAATGGAGTTTGGTATTATTTAAGTCACCATATTTTGGGGCCTATTGTGACAGCCACCTAGATTTATGTCAATAACATAGATGATTTGAAAAATAACAGAGAGCAAAACAAGCACAGGGAAATTAACAAACAAAATGGCCAAAAAATGAAATAATGGAAGAAAACTTGAGGATCTATCCCAGTACATATCACTAAAAAAGACAGGAAAAATACAAGAGAACATATAATAAAGTATCAATGCCAAAGCTTCAATGCCTGACGACTAGAAGTTCCAGAGAAAGGATGAAAAATGTGAACAGGAGAAAATTAGTAAACAACAACAACAACAACAACCATTGATTATATTTATACAAAAGAAAAAAAAACAGAAAAACTGAATCTTCCTGTTAGACATCAGGATAGTGGTTACCTTGCCAGGGTGATCAGAACAAAACAGGAGAAAAGTTTCTGAGGTGCTGGAATCATCCCATTTCCTGTCTTTAGTGCTTGTTACAGGGATATTTTCAGCTTTTGGAAAAAGAAATAGATTATACTCTTATGACTCATGGATTTTTCTCCAAGTAGATTATATGTAAATAAAAATTTTTAAATAAAACAAAATGAAGAAATATGAACAAAACTTTCCCGCACTGAAGTGAGATGAATCTTTACTTTAAAAGAGCTTTTCAAGTCCTAGAAAAAGAATATACAAAAAGAAATACCATTCTATAATTTCTAAGATTTCCTAATGCTAAAGTTAAAGAGATCTCAAAAGTTGCCAAAGAGAGAAGAAAAAAGTAATTTACAGAAGAATAAAAGTAGATCATCATCAAACATCTCACCATCAGTCATACATGCTGAAAAATGATAAAATAGAGCCTTTGAAATTCTGAGATAATTAATTTGATCCTAGAATTCTATACCTAATCCAACTAATAAGCAACTATGAATAGTCACATCATTTTCAGATGTGTCAGAACTCACTAAGTTTGTCTCCTTATTTCAAAGTAGTTATTTAAAGATGTACTCCAGCGAAACAGGATAAGAACTAGAAAAGTGAAGACATAGGATATAAGAAATGGAGGAACTGCCGGGCGCAGTGGCTCACACCTGTAATCCCAGCAGTTTGGGAGGTCAAGGCGGGCAGTTCAGGAGGTCAGGAGATTGAGACCATCCTGGCTAATACAGTGAAACCCCATCTCTACTAAAAATAAAAAATAAAATAAAAAAAAATTAGCCAAGCGTAGTGGCATGTGCCTGTAGTTCCAGCTACTTGGGAGGCTGAGGCAAGTGAATCACTTGAACCCAGGAGGCGGAGGTTGCAGTGAGCCAAGATTGCACCACTGCACTCCATCCTGGGTGACAGAGTGAGACTCCATCTCAAAAAAATTAAAAAAAATAAAAAGAAAAGAAAAAAGAAATGGAGGAACAAAACCAAGAGTCCAATGAAAAGATCAATTAGAATGACTGCTGTGTGACAGGCCAAAAAAGAATTGACTAATCATAGAACAAGAAATCGCTGTCCAATGAGCATGCCTTCAGAAAGAAGGGAATAGATTCCAAAGAGTAGTTAGAATGATTAAGAGCTGGACACTATCAATTACATTTTTCCCCTCTCAAGGCAAGAGACAATTAAAAACTCCAGAAAGCAAACAAGAATATTGTGTCCTAAATAAAAAACAAATTAGAATTTGGTGAAGTATAAGAATAAAGAATCTTTCGACCTTGGTTCTGGAAACATTCCATTTTTCAGTGAAACAGGAAGAGAAGGAATCAGAGTGTTACATTGGTTCTGCAGGGAAACATTTACATAGTCATAATGTAAATGCTTTTAAATGCTTTCAACATTTATGGAAAATTATAAAGATTCATCACAATTAGAGAACAAAATGTAAATGCTATCAACCTTGATAATACAAAGTAAGAGTACAAATACTTTTAGATCTGATATGTGAAAAAAATGGGAAAGGGAAGAGGGAAAAATATGACAAAAAGGTAATGTTGCTAGTATCTTTATTTAAAAATTGCATAGTCATGGAACATTTTTAAAAATTGTGCTAAAAAGAGATACATAAATTTATGGTGATAAGACTATCAGAAATTAAAACAGAGAATAAAAATGTATTACTTTTCTCTACTAATGAAATATACAACTTCCAATAAGTTATGAATGAAAGCATTTGTTAGGTAATGTTACTCAATACAATATTTAAAGAAAACTTCTGAAAACTAGAACCCGGATCTATATGTTTATAGCATAGCGCTTGGCATATAGAAGTTCAAAATAAGTATTTGTTGAGAGAGCCAGTACTTGTCTCTTTTTGTTCTTTTGTTTCCTATCTTGAATTGCTTTTTTGACAGAGCTGGTGCCCATACTGCTAATGTTTAGTTGGATTTTTAGACTTGTTTGAAAATTGTTGCATAGTACCTAAGACAAAGGTCTTACCAAGGAATCAAACAGAGGTCATCTCAATTAAGATAAATGGAAATCGCTAATGAGTGGTTAGCATGAAAATAAAAGCCTTAGGCCGGGCGAGGTGGCTCATGTCTGTAATCCCAGCACTTTGGGAGGCCGAGGCGGGCGGATCACGAGGTCAGGAGTTCCAGACCAGCCTGGCCAACATGGTGAAAGCCCCATCTCTACTAAAAATACAAAAAATTAGCAACATGTGGTGGCGGGTGCCTGTAATCCCAGCTACTCAGCAAGCTGAGGCAGAATTGCTGGAACCCGGAGGCAGAGGTTGCAGTGAGCCCAGATCACACCACTACACACCAGCCTGGGTGACAGAGCAGGACTCCATCTCGGGAAAAAAAAAAAAAAAAAGAAAGAAAAGAAAAGCCTTAGTTGTGCAATGGCTAATTTCCTAATTTCACTTGTGAATTTCTCTTAGGAAAAATAAAATCTAGTAAAGATCAAGATGGCGCCTCCCAACCCCAGGTTTTTCTTCAGTCTGAACAGTGAGTTAGAGACACACGCTATTGTGCATCTGGGGTTGAGGGAGTGGGGTCGATGTTTAATACTTACTTAGTCCTTCCTTCCAGACAAATCCATTTCCTTTGACATCATTTCTGCTCCTCCATCAGTTGTGAATATAAAATTTGATTATCCAACAACAAATCCTGGTTTAGTTTCCCCGTCCTTAATCAACATTCCAAAGCTGTCTGTTTACTTAGTTTTTGCAAGCAACTTTTTCTCAAACCCCAGAGTATGCTTTATGAACAGTAACTCACATTTCTGAAAATATTAGAACAATGTTCTCTCTATAGCATTTTATTTTTTGGAGGACTCTCTTATCTTCATATATGACAAGGGGTAACTATTTCCACATTCTCATTATTGACCCTTTTCTCTCTATAATGGGCTATTATCAACCTGATTTTAAAGGAGAGATTGTGCCAAGAGATGGCCTTTTCTTTAAAATGACACCTTTTAAAACACAAAATAAGCAAGCAACTGATTCAAAACAATTAAGGAGTTAGGTTTTCTTCATAATGACAATGTCATCAGTGACAGAATTAGCTGACTGTTATTTCTTTGCCTTCAATTAGTTACTGAACTACTTCAGCCAGAACCCCTGGTTTTATTCCTGTTAGCTGGTTGGGGCTGAGGAAACTGGTATAGATTCTCTTGCTGTGTAAATTCTGTGTATTTTATGGCTATTGCCTTGAATAATATTCATTAATCAAAGAGAGCAGAGTTAAACAGACATTTGCGTGCTTCTATCTTTTCCCCATTTGGATTCCATGGTCCAAGCTCTGGGAAGCCGCTAGAGTTGCCATTTTTCAGGAATTTGTTTGCGAAGTGGCCGATTTACCTCAAGGCCCCTGTGGCTAACACCAAGTGCAAGAAATGACAGGCATGCCATAGCCTGTCAGCTGCTACAATTAAGTAACGTTAATGGCCACGACTGCAGAAAGGGGAGGATAAGAATCATAAAACAGTAGACGTGCATAGGACCATCCAATGCCATCATTTTATATATGAGAAAATTGGGTTCAGAGATTAATGGGTTTGTTCAAGGTCACACAGGTACTTTATCAGGGCCTTATGGTGTTGTGATTTCTTTATAATCCACCTGCTCACCATATTCAGCTGCTAGAATGATTCTCTGCCAACCCAGTTTTGTTACATCACTCCCCTGCTTGGAAACCTTTAGTAACCCCCTATTGTTTCTAGTGTCAGAGCTGTGAGGGGCAAGCAGCTGGCAGAAGCCCAGAGCTCTGTCAGGGACCAGGCGCCTGCAATGAGAAATAAATGGCCAGCTCTAGCAGCAGCTGTGGAAGTCAGATGACAGAGAGGCAGATCATTTGGGTTCTGCTCCCACCTGCATCATTCTAACAAGCTGTCTTGACTTTGGATGAGCCCCTATGACAGACAATCCAGACCTTGATTTTCTCATCTGCAAAATGAGCAAGTTAGACTGTACAGATGTCCATGCTTCCCTTCAACTTGGGAAGTTCATGCCACACCCGTAGCTTTCCCCAGTGCCTCAAAGTTGAAATGTAATATGTACACAATGCTTTTTCCTCTGAGTGCTTTCTGGTCTTCCTTACCTCCCAGGTAAAGAATGAGAAGGTTTGCCCAGTGAGAATCCTGTAGTTTTACACTTGTGAAGGACAGAAAAACTATGGGAATAATTGAAGTCCAACATTATCCTCTTCTGAACTAACTTACTGCCTGCAACCCTTGCCCACTCTCTCTTATACCAACCTTATTTCTTCCCAGTTGGATTTCTCCCCGTTTCTTTCTCCCCCTTCTACAATTTTCCTCCTTCTCATAGACTGATCCTTTATGAATAACCATATTTCCATTTCTCTTTCCAATCTTTCCCTCTCCTCCTTCTATCATTTTTTTTCTCCCATTCTTCCTTCGGTTTGTCTATTCTGGTGGCAAACATCACCTGTCTGTCTCCATCATCAGGAAAAAATTATTTTCCAATCTGGAAAAGCAATCAGTCAATCAGAGGAGCTTTCTCTTTTTTTCTTTTTTTTTTTCTTTTCAAGCTTCAACCAATCTAGATCATTGTGGAGCAGAATAAAGATTTCTAATGGGATGAAGAAAGGTAATTTTTCTCAGGGCAAAGAAATAAGATTGTTGACAGGAAATGACCCCAGCCTTTGCCCTCTAACTTAACAGAATACCTAACCACACTGTTTTGTTCATTCAGAGAGAATCACCGGTGCACCTTTGCAGAAAAATATCCCACAGACTTGCAGGAAATCCCATTTCTCTGATTCCTCATGAGTCAGTGTCTAACAAAGGAAAGAAAGAATGAGTTTTGCTTCACGTTAAGAAAAGTTGGCAACCAAAGTTAAAGGCAGGTCCGGACGCTCTGTACTCTGTGTAGATTATCAATCACCTGAAGGCTATAGCTCCAGCTTCCTCAAGCCTCTCTTACTGCCACCCTTTGACCCTTAGCAAGTAGCTTTTCTCTGCAGTGAGAAATGAAATGGGAAAAGTGGGTAGAGAAATAGAATACAAGGGGGGAAGGTAGAAAAAAACAACAGAGTAGGACACAGTAGAAGGTGGCAAAAAGTGAAGGGCTTTTGCAAGGGAGATATTATTCCACTGGCTTTCTGTAAGGTTTTCTCAACATGTGCATGCTGAAAACACAGGATCCGCTGCATGCCCATCAGTGCAATTCCCAAGGCTCTGCTTTCATTAAATGCAATTTCCTTTCCTCGGGCCCTGCGTTTGCGGCTGCACTGGTTACGGTTTGGGATATTTCATCCATTTGTGACCTTTCTTTCCTGACACCCTGCTTACAGGCAAGTGTTCATGCCAGTTAACCTTCTCTGTTTTCCCCAGGTGACCTTATGAATTTCCAACAGGAAAAATACAAAATCGCCAATTTGTTTGTTCATTACCCAGAGGATAAACACAAAGTGGAGAAGCCTTTTATCTTGCTGCACCGGCAAACCTCCTTATTACTCAGCATCGAACAAACATTTGCTAAGAGTTAATAAATCCAGAGTGTGGCTTTCTTTGTTCGGGGAATGTCCTACCATCCGGGGCAATCACTCATTAAGGAAAAAGAAATACAACACACTCATATTTTATTCATGGCTTCAGAAATCCCAGGGGGGAAAAAACCCAAAATTTATAGACACAGAGAAACCCAAAACAAAAGGTTCCCACTTTCTTATTTCAAATGACACCTTCTGACCCCCAGCCCCTTTGAGGAGATGCTGATCCATGTACAAAATGGTTTCAATACCATTGCCATTTCAGTCAATTGGTCTAATTGTTAACACTGAGCCCAGCGACCTTTCACCATATCCCACCGTTAAAAGAGACTGAGGTTTATTAAAGCATAGCTCTGAATAAGTCCAATGGGTAATACATTTTGCAGTCATCAATCACAAATATCCTCTCAAGATTATTTAGACTTCCTTTCCCAACTTTCTGCCGTAGAGGTATCTGGGCAGGATTCACATTAACGGCATCAACATAGCAACTCTAGCAAGTGTTAATTTACCAATGATTCCTGTGTCTGCTAGCCTGGAAAGGCTCTGCTGATTTATTGGACTTGAGCAGAACTCTCATCCATTATAGCTTGTCTTAACTTAATCAAAGGTATCTTCTCCCTTCAGATTGTCTCACCTACAAACTCCACGGTCACCATGATAAATGTGCCCGCTTGACTTCTTTTTCTGATTACAGTGAATGAAGCATCACAAATAACTTGATACATTCTGTTAATGCTATGGCTTCAGTGCTGAGATGGCTGGAGTTATGTCATGTAGCATTGGCTATGTGGGGAGCTGGAAGGTGATTGCACTGGGGTTTTGATTGAGTGATGTAATTGATGATTGGAAGCAGAACAGAATTCACAGGGATTTCTTGGTTGTTTAAAAGATCAAGAAAGCAAAGCAATTTTCTTGTTTGTTAAGGGAGGCCTTTTCATCCCTCTACCAACAGCAATACGCATATGCACCCCCATTCCGACCCAGCACACACACACACACACACACACACACACACACTCACACACACGTATGCACACACCACAACCCACAGACAGCCACATCCTCTGCAGAAAACATGAGTGGCTTAGAACAGTCTTTAATCTAAACTCTCCCCAAACACAGTGGTTGATAAAAAGAGGATAAGGATGTATCTGAACAAACAAGAACTGGAGGAAACAACTGATACATTTTGAATTTTCAAGTAACTAATAAATTATACCCGAAGGAAAACAGAGTGTTTAAATAACCAAGTATTTTTTTGTACGGAAGAAGTGTCTTGTTTTTGTTTTTTAAGTGGCTTATGGTAAGTGTTCAAGATTAATCTCTAGACTTTGCCTTTGACCTCCTTTTAATTAACAATGATTTGAAATTGGCAACCATGAACTTAAAGTGTTATTCTTTGACTAATTCACCTACCTCCTCTTCTTTGTAGATTTTGACGTCCTCCAAGCAGGTGACGGTTTTATTCCTCTTTGCAACCCCAGCAATTCAGCTAGTGTTTGATCTGTTCAGGGTATTCATAAAATATGAATGTTAAACTGAATTGTTCACATTTAGGAGAAAAATCCCATTAATTTATGTTGTCTCCTATATATGGACCTAGTTCCAAGGATAAATATGGACTGATAAAGCCTCCAGTTGACTGCTTCACTTTTAAATCAGCCCTGTTAAAGAGCAAGCTTTTCTAAATTTCCCTGGTCAATAAGTGCCCCACCCCTTCCCTGGTCAACCTATGGTATCTGGCAACCAGAAAGTCAATATATATATTCCTCTGCTATTGTTTGTGGTGAACATATTTTATTCTATTAAATACATCAGGTTTCTGTAGTACTGTGTTTAAAACAAAGCCTGCAAAGAGTAGACATTGAGTGACAAGTTCAGAGTTTAGATCAGAAGTCAGAAAAACATGGCCTAGGCAAATCTTGCTTATAGCCTATTTTTGTATAGCTTACAAGCTGTATATGATGGTTTTGACATTTTTAAAGGATGTTAAAGAAAGCAATAAAAAAGAATATGCAAGAAAAACCATATGTGGTGCACAAAGCCTAGAATATTTACAGAATGTTTAAAATATTTAGAGAAAAAGTTTGCTGACCCCTGGCTTAGATAATTTTAGACAGCCAACTTCTGAGCATTTTTGAGCATGAAGTAGTTTGATAAAGGTTGATTTTTAAGTATGTTGATCAAAAAACAATGTGGAGAAAAAATTATACTAATAGACCTAGTATAAGATAATAAATTAGTGAAAAGAAATGAGAAAATGAATGTGTCATCTTCTCTAGCAGTGTATACACTCCTTAAAGTAAGAAATGCATTGACAGATTCTTGATTTTTCTGGGAAGATCACGATTTTATATAATCTTATTATTTTCTAAACAAGTAATTTTTTGTTTATATTCTTGTAGGAGAATTTAGCAGATTATAAAATTTTAGTTTGTTTGAAGATGCTATTCCTTTGTATCATAGCACCTATTATAACGGATAAGTCTGCTGTTACTTGAATCCATTCTTATGAAGGTAATCTATCTTTTTCTCTTATTCCATATCATAATTTCTATTTGCATTTCATGTTCTGCAGTTTTACTAGGATCTATGCTGTAGGCTTATTTTTATTTTCTGTAACAGCTTTTTCTAACTAGTGCTTCTTCAATCTATGGGTTCATGTGCTCCTTCATTAAAAAACAACAACAAAAAATTTCTAGCCATTGTTTTTTTGAAATCACTTCTTTGCTTTTCTCATTCCTTACAACTCTTGATACAGCTATCATTAGATTTTCTTATTATTGCTTTCACATCTTTTAAATGCTCTTCCCAATTTTCTGCTTTATCATCTCTGCTTTGCAAAGATGATTTCACTAAATCAGTCTTCCAATTTACTGATTCTCTTACCAGCCACATTTAGTATATGCATTAATCTGTCCATTTAATTTTTCTAAAATGAAACTATTTGGTTCTTTTTCAACTCTGTATCCTTTTTATTAGGTCTAATTTTTCTATTATTGATTCTATTCCTTTTTATCTCTTCAAATATTTTAAACATGCTTATTTTATTGTTTCAGAGTATACTCTTCTATTTATGGTAGTCTTGTGAAGCTCTCCTTGGGGAAAAGATATAAGGCTTATAACTTTCATTGGAGTGGAGAAAACATAGTGTGCAACTTGGAACCAACTGGCCATTTATGGAATAAATGACAATTTAAAGAAAGGAATGAATTATTAGAAAGATAAATTAGGACACAATTGAAAAAGATCATTTTCTTTAAAAATGTTGGAGTTTAAGATGCATGTAATAGAGAGCCATGGAAGGTGAAGCAGGGTACCCTGGTAAAAAGAATGCTGTAGGAATCTCTTAATATCAAAATTTTAAGAAACTTTGGCATTTTTCTAACACAAATGCTTTAATTACAGGGAAGGAAAGAGAATGTACAAGATAAGTTACTCTGCTCAAGAAGTTACAGCCAAGGGAAAGTATTGCATAGAAGCAAGAAGATAAATAAAATTGGAGGAGACAAGAAGATTGATTAGGAAGCTGTAGTAATTCAGGTGTGAAATGAAGAGATCTTGTACTAGGTTAGTAATATTGAGAATAGCAAGAAAAGGATAAAGGAATGATCTACAGGGCTCCTGAATGTTTGTAATATATGGAACAGTGTATAATGGAAAGGTAATTCTAAATTGAAAGCTGAGACAACTGTGGGCCCATTAACATTACTGTAGACAATAAAATGTTAAAAGAAATACTAAGAAGTTCAAGCAAAAAAGAATGGCAGAGAGGAGAGAAGCCTTTTGGCATGTTGTACGCATTTGACACATGTTTACATTATTTTAATATTATTATTATTATTATTTTACTGCCCAGGGAGAGGTATGATTTAGTGGGGAAGAAAACTTGGACTTTGGAGTAAAAAAAAAAAAAAAGTATGCACTATTGGGCATGTTATAACTTCTTTTTATCTTATATCCCTCACTTTCCTGCCTCACTAGAGAATTTTATGGATCAGATGTAACAAGGTGACATGAAAGGTTTTGTAACCTACAAAGCATTATTATTCAAATGTGAGATACTACTTTTCCTGGTCATAGTATTGCAAGTAGAGTTAAGTATCTTTCAGGCATAGATTTTGGAGTAAAAAGTAATGCTCCAGGCTCAGCTTAGCTCCTACAAATTCTGCAATACTGGACAATTTCTTTTTTTCCCCTGTATCTAAGTTTATGAATCTATGCAACATGCATAACTGCAGTATTTACAGCTTGCTGGGTGGATGATATTGGGATCATGTGTGTAAAGCACAAGATCAGGCATGCAGTTGATAATTAATGTTAACTCTTGTCACCACACTGATTTTAAAGAACATGGATGTGTTGCATGGCTGAAATTACCTTTTTACAGCTCTGTAGTTCTTGTGGCTGATGAAGATAAAATTCTGCCTGAATTTTAAGGGCTAGAAGATCTGAAAGCTCTCATAGTTGAAGCCAAAGGGTAATTTGATTAAAGCTGAAGGAAATGAACATAAATGTTCCTTAGCCCATCTGACATATATGAAGTGATACCAAGAACATCACTGTTTACTCAACTTTTGTAGTTGGAAGTGAAAAAGTTTTATGGGTGGGGTACCATCTTTTATTTTCTATTCTATAATCTTGCATTGAGCACATATTATTTCTTTTAAAAGATTCATTTTAAAAGAATGTGCAGTTCTAGGGGAATCAGCTTCTGCCTATTCTATGACCAACACATGATGCTTGCAATGAATTTTCTCAACCTCTGAAAGTTGTAAAATATAAGTATATAGTCATAACATATTGAAATGAACCACCATGGACACTAGTTAAGTTGGACAGAAATTTCAGAAATTTCACTGTGGCTTGAAAGCAAGGAAACCATTAATTTCTAATACTCCATATTAGCCTGGCAACTGTATGGACCTAGCAGGTGTTGCCCAGGAAGCCATGTTTCCTTAGAATTAATGACACGCCATAATTGTAGCAATTTTTCTAAGTCTCTAGAGTGTCTGTAATTAAGAAGTTTAACTGCACTTAAAATGATATAAAGTGCCATTAGTCCCATGCTAAATCATTTCAGATTACTGCTATATTTGCCAGTGAAATTATCCAGGTAATTTTCTCAACCTGACTAATGTAAGGTTTCACACATGAGTACTTCCATTGAATAAAACTTCAGGCTTATTACAAAAAAGAAAATGTTTTGAAGCTCCACAAAATTGAAATGTGAAGCTTTGCTGTTTATTTTCGTCTCTCTGAGCCAGTTTCCTCATTGAGTGGGTTGGACTAGACCAGTGGCTGCCATTTAATTTGCAAAGTGATTTCTTTCCCCTCCATGTAATCAGTGGAACTTCCCTTCAAATACAATTGTAACTGAACACCCAGGTCAGCTCAGGCTGAAGAAAGAAATCAGAAGACCCCCACCTACCTTGTGTTCACCCCTAAGAAGACCCATCCCTCTTTAAAACCTCCAAAACTCCGTGGATTAAATATTGGGGTGGTACACAAGTAATTGCAGTTTGGGCCATTACTTTCAATGGCAAAAACCACAATTACATTTGCACCAACCTAATAACATTTAGGTCCTTTCTAGTTTGCTATTTTACTTCTAAGTAAGGTTCCATCTCAAGTGTTTAATTCATTACCATATATATTTTTTTCTCTACAACCTTCCCTTAAAGACAAGTTCCAAAAAGTGAAGTAGTTTTAATTCATATGAAAAAGAAAACTAGGGTGAAGATTTCTTTTAAGTTAATAGCCCAGTCTATTGTCCTAAAACAAAATGGTGGTCAATAAAATATTTAGAATTAGCACATCTTTTTTATGCATGCATTTCCAGTGTGAGAGGGAAAAGAGTCAGATGTTCAACACAAAATAATTGTTTTCATTTATGGTGTCTTCAACGCATTGCTCTGTTATGTTTCATTTTGCTAACAGTGCCTGTTCTAATAATGTCAGTTACTTAGGTTTATGGGGTAACCTGATAACCAATCCAGCCTTATTCATAGATTTACCCCAGTTTCTTATGGGGTGGTAAGAGATATGATGCTATAATTTAATTAGGTCAGAAACTGATATATGCTATGCAAAAAGAAATTACATGATTCATTTGAATCTTAAAACCCGAAATATATACAATCATAGCTCATCATTACTCACCATCCAGCCATTAAATTGTCTTATGTGAAGTGCTTACATTTTACCCTTTCTAGTGATTTTTATTCTTCTGGCACTTGTGTCTTTCATCTGAGACCAAAACGATCTGCCTAAATCCTTCTGTTAAAAAATCTGCCTAAAACACTTACTATTTCTATGTTTTCAAGTCTGCTATCTTTATTTTTGTGCAAGAACATTATTTGGCCTGCATTTAAACAGATATCTTCATTTAGATATAAAATTCTAGTTTTGCAATTATTTTGTTTCATCCCTTCAAAGATACCCCATTGTCTTCCTGCTTCTATCACTTTCATTTAGAAGTCAGGCAATGCCCTGTTGCTCCTTTTGAAGGTAGTACATATTTTCTATGCTCTGGCTGTTTTAAGAGCCTCTTCTTGCCTTTAACTTTCAGCAGTCTTTCTATACTGTGCTTAGGTGTAGTTTTCTTGCATTTATCTTACTTGGAATGCTTGAGGCTTTTTGAATCTGGTTTGAAGCCTTTCATCAGTTTTGAAAACTTCTTATATCTTGAATGTTTATTTCTCCTCCGTTCTCTCTCCTTTCCTTCTGACACTTCAGCTGCATGTATGCTATAACTTTTTACTATGTTTCATATTCCTAAAGGATGCTTTTCTATGTTATCTTTTTTTTTTCTGGATTTCTATCCAGGCATTTTTTATTGACTTGTCTCATAGTTGACTAATTCTCTTATCAGTTGTTTCTAATTGGTGATCAAACACATCTACTAAGTTTTTAGATTTTCTTTGCTATAAATTCCATTTATTTCTATTGTACTAGTACCAGTTTTCTGCTAAAATTATCCATGTTTTTATCAAGTTTTTTGATACATTAATTATAGTTCTCTTTTTTGGTTGTCTTTCTTAGTAATTTTTTCTCTTGTATTCTGACATGGCTAGTAATTTTTTGTTAAAATGGACATAATATATAAAAAATATATAAAGATAAATAGAGGGTCTGGATAACATTATCTTCCTCCATATTTACATTATTCAATGTAATAGTAACAAGGCACAGGGAGCTATTTCAACTTAAATTAGTTAAAATTAATTAAAATGTGTAATTTCTTCATCACACTAGCCACATTTCATGTGCTCAATAGCCACATGTGGCTAGTATCTACATCATTAAACAGCACAGATATAGAACATCTCCATCATCACAGAAAGTTCCCTTGGACAGCTTTACTCCAGAGGACTCATTTTTGCTTCTGGATGACAGTCACTCCATTGTGAGGTGAATAGAAGCTGGGTTTTACTCTTTTTGAAGCTAGATCTATTCCTGCTTGTTTTTATTCCTAAGGTGAAGCCCTTCAGGGTTCCCAAGTGAAACCCTGAGTCATTTAGCAGCCCCATTACCTCTAATTTGTTGTCTCTATAGCTGTTAGACTGCCCATAGGTCTGGTCATCTTCTTCTTTTTTTTTTCAATCATACTTTAAGTTCTGGGATATATGTACAGAACGTGAAGGTTCGTTACATAGGTATACAAGTGCTATAGTGGTTTGCTGCACCCATCAACCCGTCATCTACATTAAGTATTTCTCCTAATGCTGTCCCTTCCCTTGCTCCCCATCCCCCGACAGGCCTTGGTGTGCACTGTTCCCCTCCCTGTGCCCATATGTTCTCACTGTTCAACTCCCACTTATGAGTGAAAACATGCGGTATTTGGTTTTCTGTTCCTGTGTTAGTTTGCTGAGAATGATGGTTTCTAGCTTCATCCATGTCCCTGCAAAGGTTATCATATTCCTTAGATAACCAATAAATATATTGGCTCTGGGTTTGTCATTCTTTTTTATAGCTGCATAGTATTCCATGGTGTATATGTGCCACATTTTCTTTATCCAGTCTATCATTGATGGGCATTTGGGTTGGTTCCAAGTCTTTGCTATTGTGAACAGTGCTGCAATAAATATATGTGTGTATGTGTCTTTACAATAGAATGACTTATAATCCTTTGGGTATATACACAGTAATGGGATTGCTGGATCAAATGGTATTTCTGGTTTAGATCCTTGAGGAATTGCCACACTGTCTTCCACAATGGTTGAACTAATTTACACTCCCACCGACAGAGTAAAAGCATTCCTATTTCTCCAAATCCTCTCCAGTATCTGTTGTTTCCTGACTTTTTAATGATCACCATTCTAACTTGCAAGCGGTGGAATCTCACTGTGGTTTTGATTTGCATTTCTCTAATGACCAGTGCTGATGAGACTTTTTTGACATGTTTGTTGACCACATAAATGTCTTCTTTTGAAAAGTGTCTGTTCATACACTTTGCCCACTTTTTGATGGGGTTGTTTGTTTTTTTCTTGTAAATTTGTTGAATTTTCTTGTAGATTCTGAATTTTAGCTGTCTGTCAGATGGATACATTGCAAAAATTTTCTCCCATTCGGTAGGTTGCCTGTTCACTCTGATTATAGTTTCTTTTGCGGTACAGAAGCTCTTTAGTTTAATTAGATCCCATTTGTCAGTTTTGGCTTTTATTGCCATTGCTTTTGGTGTTTTAGTCATGAAGTCTTTGCCCATGCCTATGACCTGAATGGTATTGCCTAGGTTTTCTTCTAGGGTTTTTATGGCTTTAGGTTTTATGTTTAAATCTTTAATCCATCTTGAATTAATTTTTGTATAAGGTGTAAGGAAGGGGTCCAGTTTCAGTTTTCTGCATATGGCTAGCCAGTTTTCCCAACATCATTTATTAAATAGGGAATCCTTTCCCCATTGCTTGTTTTTGTCAGGTTTGTCATAGATCAGATGGTTGTAGATGTGTGGTGTTATTTCTGAGGCCTCTGTTCTGTTCTATTGGTCTATATATCTCTTTTGGTACAAGTACCACGCTGTTTGGGTTACTGTAGCCTTGTAGTATAGTTTGAAGTCAGGTAGCATGATGCCTCCAGCTTTGTTCTCTTTGCTTAGGGTCATCTTGGCTATACAGGCTCCTTTTTGGTTCCATATGAAATTTAAAGTAGTGTTTTCTAATTCTGTGAAGAAAGTCAATGGTAGCTTGATGGGAATAGCATTGAATCTATAAATTACTTTGGGCAGTATGGCCATTTTCACGATATTGATTCTTCCTATCCATGAGCATGGAATGTTTTTCCATTTGTTTGTGTCCTCTCTTATTTCCTTGAGCAGTGGTTTGTAGTTCTCCTTGAAAAGGTCCTTCACATTCCTTGTAAGTTGTATTCCTAGGTGTTTTATTCTCTTTGTAGCAACTGTGAATGGGAGTTTGCTTAGGATTTGGCTCGTTGTCTATTATTGGTGTATAGGAATGCTTGTGACTTTTGCACAATGATGTTGTATCCAGAGACTTTGCTGCAGTTGCTTATCAGCTTAAGGAGTTTTTGGGCTGAGACAATGGGGTTTTCTAAATATACAATCATGTAATCTGCATACAGAGATAATTTGACTTCCTCTTTTCCTATCTGAATACCCTTTATTTCTTTCTCTTGCCTGATTGCCTTGGCAGAACTTCCAATACTATGTTGAATAGGAGTAGTGAGAGAGGGCACCCTTGTCTTGTGCCTGTTTTCAAAGGTAATGTTTCCAGTTTTTGCCCATTCAGTATGATATTGGCTCTGGGTTTGTCATTAGTTTGAGATATGGTCCATCAGTATCTAGTTTATTGAGTGTTTTTAGCATGAAGGAGTGTTGAATTTTATCAAAGGCCTTTTCTGCATCTATTGAGATAATCATGTGGTTTTTGTCATTGGCTCTGTTTATGTAATGGATTACGTTTATTGATATGCATATGTTGAACCAGCCTTGCATCTTGGGGATGAAGCCGACTTGATGAGATCATGGTGGATAAACTTTTTAATGTGCTGCTGGATTTGGTTTACCAGTATTTTTTTATTTTATTTTATTTTATTTTATTATTTTATTTTATTTTTTGAGAAAGAGTCTCATTCTGTTGCCCAGGCTGGGGTGCAATGGCACAATCTTGGCTCATTGCAACCTCCATTTCCTGGGTTCAAGCGATTCTTGTGCCGCAGCCTCCTGAATAGCTGAGGTAATTTTTTGTACTTTAGTAGAGACAGAGTTTCGCCATGTTGCCCAGGCTGGTCTTGAAATCCTGAGCTTAGGTAATCTGCCTCCCTCGGCCTCCCAAAGTACTAGGATTACAGGCATGAGTCACCGCACCCAGCCACCAGTATTATATTGAGGATTTTCGTGTTGATGTTCATCAGGGATATTGGCCAGAAATTTTCTTTTTTTGTTGTGTCTCTGCCAGGTTTTGGTATCAGGATGATGCTGGCCTCATAAAATTAGTTTGGGAGGGGTCCCTCTTTTTCCATTGTGTGGAACAGTTTCAGGAGGAATGGTACCAGCTCCTCTTTGCACCTCTGGTGGAATTCGGCTGTGAATCCATCTGGTCCTGGGCTTTTTTTCATTGGTAGGCTATTAATTACTGTCTCAATTTCAGAACTTGTTATTGGTCTACTCAAGGATTCGACTTCTTCCTGGTTTAGTTTTGGGAGGGTGTATGTGTCCAGAAATTTATCCATTTCTTCTAGATTTGCTAGTTTATTTGTGTAGAGGTGTTTATAGTATTCTCTGATGGTAGTTTGCATTTCTGTGGGATCAGTGGTGATCTCTCCTTTATCATTTTTTATTGTGTCTATTTGATTCTTCTCTCTTTTCTTCTTTATTAGTCTGGCTAGTAGTTTATCAATTTTGTTAATCTTTTCAAAAAACCAGCTCCTGGATTCATTGATTTTTTTGAATAGTTTTTGGGTCTTTATCTCCTTCAGTTCTGCTCTTAGTTATTTCTTGTCTTCTGCTAGCTTTTGCATTTGTTTGCTCTTGCTTCTCTAATTCTTTTAACTGTGATGTTAGGGTGTCGATTTTAGAGCTTTCCTGCTTTCTCCTGTGGGCATTTAGTGCTATAAATTTCCCTCTACACACTGCTTTAACTGTGCCCCAGAGATTCTGGTATGTTGTGTCTTTATTCTCATTGGTTACAAAGAACTTATTTATTTCTGCCTTAACTTTGTTATTTACCCAGTAGTCATTCAGGAGAAGGTTGTTCAGCTTCCATGTAGTTGTGTTGTTTTGAGTGAGTTTCTTGATCCTGAGTTCTAAATTGATTGCACTGTGGTCTGAGAGACTGTTTGTTATGATTTCCATTCTTTTGCATTTGCTGAGGAGTGTTTTACTTTCAATTGTGTGGTCAATTTTAGAATAAGTGCTGTGTGGTGCTGAGAAGAATGTATATTCTCTTGACTTGGAGTGGAGAGTCTGTAGATGTCTATTAGCTCCACTTGGTCCAGAGCTAAGTACAAGTCCTGACTATCATTGTTAAATTTCTGTCTCATTGATTTGCCTAATATTGAGAGTGGGGTGTTAAATTTTCCCACTATTATTGTGTGGGAGTCTAAGTCTCTTTGTAGGTCTCTAAGAACTTGCTTTATGAATCTGGGTGCTCCTGTATTGGGCACATATATATTTAGGATAGTTAGCTCTTCTTGTTGCATTGATCCCTTTACCATTAGGCAATGCCCTTCTTTGTCTTTTTTGATCTTTGTTGGTTTAAAGTCTGTTTAATCAGAGACTAGGATTGCAAGCCCTGCTTTTTTTGGCATTCCATTTGCTTGGTAAATCTTCTTCCATCCCTTTATTTTGAGCCTATGTGTGTCTTTGCACATGAGATGGGTCTCCTGAATACAGCACACTGATGGGTCTTGACTCTTTATCCAATTTGTCAGTCTGTGACTTTTATCAGGGCATTTAGCCTGTTTACATTTAAGGTTAATATTGTTATGTGTGAATTTGATCCTGTCATTATGATGCTAGCTGGTTATTTTGCCTATTAGTTGATACAGTTTCTCCATAGTGTTGATGGTCTTTACATTTTGGTTTGTTTTTGCATGGCTGGTACCAGTTTTTCCTTTGCATATTTAGGGCTTTCTTCAGGAGCTCTGTAAGGCAGGCCTGGTGGTGACAAAATCCCTCAGAATTTGCTTGTCTATAAAGGATTTTATTTCTCCATCACTTATGAAGCTTAATTTGGCTGGTTATGAAATTCTGGGTTGAAAATTATTTTCTTTAAGAATGTTGAATATCGGCCTTCACTCTCTTCTGGCTTGTAGGGTTTCTGCAGATAGATCTGCTGTTAGTCTGATGGGCTTCCCTTTGTGAGTAACCTGCTCTTTCTCTCTGGCTGCCCTTAACATTTTTTCCTTCGTTTCAACCTTGGTGAATCTGACAATTATGTGTCTTGGGGTTGCTCTTCTCAAGGAGTATCTTGGTGGTGTTCTCTGTATTTCCTGAATTTGAATGTTGGCCTGTCTTGCTAGGTTGGGAAGTTCTCCTGGATAATATATTACAGTGTGTTTTCCAACTTGGTTCTATTCTCCCCGTTACTTTCAGGTACACCAATCAAACATAGGTTTGGTCTTTTCATATAGTCCCATATTTCTTGGAGGCTTTGTTTGCTCCTTTTCATTCTTTTTTCTCTAAACTTGTCTTCATGCTTTATTTCATTAAGTTGATCTGTAGTCTCTGATATCCTTTCTTCTGCTTGATTGATTTGGCTATTGATATTTGTGTATGCTTCACGAAGTTCTCATGCTGTGTTTTTCAGCTCCATCAGGTCATTTATGTTTGTCTCTAAACTGGTTATTCTAGTTATCAATTCCTGTAACCTTTTATCAAGTTTCTTAGCTTCCTTGCATTGGGTTAGAACATACTCTATTAGCTCTGAGGAGTTTGTTATTACCCACCTTCTGAAGCCTACTTCTGTCAATTCATCAAACTCATTCTTTGTCCAGTTTTGTTCCCTTGCTGGTGAGGAATTGTGATCCTTTAGAGGAGAAGAGGCATTCTGGTTTTTTGAATTTTCAGCTTTTTTTGTGCTGGTTTTTTTTCATCTTCGTGGATTTATCTACCTTTGGTCTTTGCAGTTGGTGGCCTTCAGATGGACTTTTTGCGTGGTTGTCCTTTTTATTGACACTGATACTATTCCTTTCTGTTTGTTAGTTTTCCTTCTAACAATCAGGTCCCTCTGCTGCAGGTCTGCTGGAGTTTGCTGGGGTTCCACTCCAGACCCTGTTTTCCTGGGTATCACCAGCAGAGGCTGCAGAAGAGCAAAAATTGCTGCGTCCTCCTTCCTCTGGAAGCTTCATCCCAGAGGGGCACTCGCCAGATGCCAGCTGGAGCTCTCCGTATGAGGTGTCTGTTGACCCCTGATGGAAGGTGTCTCCCAGTAAAGGGGTACGGGGATCAGGGACCCACTTGACAAAGCAGTCTGTCCCTTAGCAGAGCTCGAACACTGTGCTGGGAGAACTGCTGCTCTCTTCAGAGCCGGCAGGCAGGAAAGTTTAAGTCAGCTGAAGCTGCGCCCACAGCCGCCCCTTCCCCCAGGTGCTCTGTCCCAGGAAGATGAGAGTTTTATCTATGAGCCCCTGACTGGGGCTGCTGTCTTTCTTTCAGAGATGCCCTGCCCGGAGAAGAGGAAGCTGCAGTCTGGCTACAGCAGCGTGGCCACTCTGTGGTAGGCTCTGCCCAGTCTGAACTTCCCAGTGGCTTTGTTTACACTGTGAGGGGAAAACTGCCTACCCAAGCCTCAGTAATGGCAGATGCTCCCGCCACCAAGCTCAAGTGTCCCAGGTCAACTTCAGACTGCTGTGTCGGCAGTGAGAATTTCAAGCCAGTGGATCTTAGCTTGCTGGGCTTTGTGGGGGTGGGATCTGGTGAGCTAGACCACTTGGCTCCCTGGCTTCAGCCCCTTTCCAGGGGAGTGAATGGTTCTGTCTCGCTGGCATTCCAGGCGCCACTGGGGTACCAAAAAAAACCTCTTGCAGCCAGCTTGGTGTCTGCCCAAATGGCCACCCAGTTTTTGTGCTTGAAACCCAGGGCCCTTGTGGTGCAGGCGCTCAAAGGAATCTCCTGGTCTGTGGGTTGTGAAGACCATGGGAAAAGTGTAGTATCTGAGCCAGATAGCACTGTCCCTCATGGTATGGTCCCTCAGAGCTTCCCTTGGCTAGGGGAGGGCGTTCCCCGACCTCTTGTGTTTTCCAGGTGAGGCGACGCCCCACCCTGCTTTTGCTCACCCTCCGTGGGCTGCAACCCCTGTCTAACCAGTCCCAGTGAGATGAACTGGGTACCTCAGTTGGAAATGCAGAAATCACCCGCCTTCTGTGTTGGTCTCACTGGGAGTTGCAGATTGAAGCTGTTCATATTCAGCCATCTTCCTGGTCATCTTCTTAATTCCATGGCTGTCACTTTCTGCTTGGCCTCCCAGGCTTTACTCCAGGTACCACTTATAAATAAGCAAGTGAATTAAATTGGGGGAAAAAAACCCAGCAACAATTGCTGAGCTTTCTTCAATGCCCTTTCTTTCTCTCTGGATCATGGCCAATTAGTACTGTCGCTCTTAGCATCTCTCAGATATCTTCAAATAGATTTTTTAAAATCCAGCTTTTCTAGTTATTTCAGCAGGGGGTTAGTTTGATACAAGCTCAACCATTATAGCCAGAAGCAGCATCTTCCCATTCTCTCTATAGCTCCCTGCTGTCAGGTTTTCATCTTCCCATGGAAATATGGAAATATTAAACTATTCTTGTCAAGGTCACTAATGACCTCTCTGTCATCAAATTCAGTGGTCAGTTCTCATCTCACATGGACTTTCAGTGGCATTCAAATGCTCCTCCAAATGTATATATTCAACTTCCTACTTGACTTTTCAAAATAAAAATTTAATAGTCATCTCAAATGTAATGCATATGGTTATAAATTCTGGATCTCCCCATTCTGCGTCTCCCTCAATCTTCTGTCATCTCCATAAATGACAGCTTTATACAGAATTCTAAGTGCACTGGTGAAATACTTTGTAATCATCTGACTCCTTTCCAGTGACTTTCCATTTTACTCAGAACACCACCCAACCTTCAATCCCACAGACTCTGAGCCATAAATAATCTGTCCTCCCTCTACCTCTCTGACTTCATTCTCCTGCCATAGTTCGTGTCTCCTGTTCTACCCCAGTTATGCTGGTCTCCTTGCTGTTCCTTGAAGATACAAAATAGCTTCCTTCATCGCATCTTAAACCAGCTGTTCCCTCAGCTTAGTTATGCTTTGTCCAGATATATATGAGGTCTTTGCCAAAACATTACTCCTCACAAAAGCTTTAGCTGATTATTCCATGAAAATGAGTACCTTTCTATCACTGTCTACCCCTTTACCTTGTTTTGTATTTCTGTTATGTTTTTATCACTACTTAATAAATTATTAAGTAGTGATGAAAAGATGTATTTACTTGATTTTTGTCTTTGCTAGAATGCAAGCTCTACTGGAGCAGAGATATTATCTGTTTTATTACTGCTGTATTCTCAGTGTCAGCCATACTAATATAAAAATAATGCATCATCCCCATTTTACGGTTATAAATGGAAAAAACAAAGAGGTTATTCACTTTAATCCAGGACATAGAGCTAGTGAGCTAGGACTGAATCTGGTAGCTTGAGTCCAGTGTCCATTCTCTTAGCTATTTCCTTGTATCCTCTTCTGATAGAGGAGGTTTTAATTAATAGTCTGGGCTATATGAATCCACACAACTTCTTTTGCTTGTAGAAGTTGGGCTCAAGACAAAACACAACAAAATAAAACAAACAAACAAAAACAGTGTTATCTGGCATGCCCACAAACCCTCCAGAATCCTTCTTGTTTTCTAAAAAGATGAAAGTGGAAGGGAAGAATCCTTATCCCTAGTGGGAGCAAGACTGAGACCCCTTATTAAAAGCACTTCCAATGTCAAGGCAAAATAAGACAAAAGTTCAAGAAAAGAGGAGGCAGAAGAGGGAAAGGCAGAAGAGGAAAGGGAAGAATGGAGGAACAGAGGAAAAAGAGAGGGAAAGAGGAAGAAAGCATGCAGCCTCGTGCATGTTCAGATTTTACTTTTTTTCACATATACCAAAACCATACCACAATTTAACCTTATAGTTGAATAACTATTATTTTCATGATTCTTATTCAAGTCAGGGAGAGACAGGAGGTGTAAAAGGAGTCATGAACTCTTCTTAGAAGACAAAGCACACACTTTCTCTTAATAGTTCCCATTGGTAGAATAGAGAGAAGAAAGCCAAGGAAAATGTAGGCCTAGTTGGACAACAGAGGAACCATGTGATGAGAAAATCTTCTCTTAGAAAGACCCAGAGCAAGCAGAGGTAGGATTAATCTGGAGAAGCTAATAGTGTCTGTCTGCTAATGGTTAGACTATGAATGGGTAGGAAGCTCAGTATCTGTCTACTAACGGTTAAACTATGAATGGGTAGGAAGCTCAGCAACTTATGAATAAAGGAATTTAGTAGAGTCTACTCAGGTTATGTGTTTAAGATTGGAGGTTAAATAAGCTCTCGCAGAAATAATACAAAGCCTAGTTAGAAAAGAAGAAAGGCATTTGACCTGTATTTCCCATAAGTTTTTAATTTCTAAATGTTTGCTCTGAAAAAGGGCTAAGGGATTTGCTACATTTTGAGGCCATCTATTCTATGCATGGACAATTATCAATGCATGACATAACTTATTTACATATGTAGTTAAAGACTTCCTCTCTATAGCTTTGCCAACTGGTGCTACTTTTGCCTTACAGAGTTGTACTTGTAAACTGTGTTCATTTTCCCAAATACCAGTTCTTTAGGTAATTAAAGGCAGGATTCACATTCCTCTATAGATCTCCTCTGTTATGTTCTCTACTCTCCTGTTTCAGTTTTCACTCTAGGTAAACTTCCAGTTGTTGGCTGGACATTTGGATCAGGAAGTCATCTTGCTTAGATCTCAATTTCAACGTGATTAAAACAGAACAGAATCACTCCTACCCCTAGAGCAACTCTTCTCTTGACTTTCTCATCTGCCAAGAAGTCATTTTTGACTCTATTATTTCTCTACTGCAATCCTGAATTAAATAGATCACCATGTCTTTGTGGACATTATCCCATTTGTTCCTTCCTTCCCATCTCCTCTGCCTTAACTGGAATCTATGCCATAATGACCACTCCCTTTGACTTGTAATTGATGTCTTCTCACCTCAGCCTGCTCTTTTTTCAACTCATCTAATATATCCCAGCTAAACCATATTCTTATCAAAATTGTCAGTGCTTTCTAATGGTCATTTAATACAATACAAACTCCTTAACCCAGTATTTGAGGCAATCTACACTATGGTCTGACTCTATGAGATTGTCTTGTACCAGATTGCTATTAGGTTGGTGCAAAAGTCATTGTGGTTTTGCCATTACTTTTAATTGCCATTACTTTTAATGGCAAAACTGCAATTACTTTTGCACCAACCTAATATATCAACAAAAACAACAACAATAATTAAAATGTATTGACTACTTCTGACTCTCTACTATGTCTCGTATAAATCATACCTTCTAGAACAATGTTGTCCAACATGGTAGCCACCAGATACATGTGGCCTATTGAGCACTTAAAATGAGGCTAGTTTATATTAAGATGTGCTGTAAATGTAAAATATATACTGGATTTTGAAGACTTAGTATGCAAAAAGAATGTACTACATCTCACTAGTTTTATATTGATTACACGTTGTAATGATAATATTTATATATATATTAAGTTAAATAAAAAATCAAGGCCAGTTGCGGTGGCTCACACCTGTAATCCCAGCACTCTGGGAGGCAGAGGTGGGTGGATCACTTGAGGTCAGGAGTTCGAGACCAGCCTGCAACATGGTGAAACCCCATCTCTACTAAAAATACAAAAATGAGCTGGGCACGGTGGAAGGCACCTATAATCCCAGCTACTTGGGAGGCTGAGGCAGGAGAATCTCTTGAATCTGGGAGGCAGAGGTTGCAGTGAGCCAAGACCGTGCCACTGCACTACAGCCTGGGCAACAGAGCGAGACTCCGTCTCAAAGAAAAAAAAAAAATTAAAATTACTTTTAACAGTGTCTTTTAAATTTGTATACTGTAAGTCTTGGAAAATGTAGAAGTACATATATGGTTTGAATTTGTGGCTTAAATTATATTTCTATTGAATAGTTTTGCTTTGCTGTGACAAATAAATATGTGCATGAACAAAAAAAGGAAAATATATAGAAATACAGCATTTTAAAAACGTGACAGGATTTGGGGATGAGTCTTGCTTTTTTTTCAAAATAATTGTTATCATTTTAATTGTTTATAATAAAAAGTATAACACCTAGTTAAGTTTAAAAATTGTCATATCTATCCCTCAAGATAACTCTTTCTACAGGAAGCTTTTTTCGGGAGTCTCAGCCAAAAGTAATTTCTTCTTCATTGTATTTCTTCTGTGTGTGGTTCTGAAATGTGCAGCACAGAGAACCACCCAGGGTGTATCTAAAAAATTACCAGCTACCCAGGCCAATTGAATCATCATTTCTTGGGATGGGGTCTATTATCAATACAATTGATATTATCAATATCCCCATCTGTGGATGGGGTCTATTATTAATACAATATTAATAAAAGCAACATTGAGAAATAGCAATGGGTCAGGCTGTGGCACTTATTAGATGCTTCCTTTTAGTACAGTAACTTGTCTATTTGATATTTTGTCTCCTTTATTAGACTTAAGGTATGCAACTTTGCATCCTCCATGCTACAAGGTTTTGTATGTCACAGATCATCAATAAGTATCATTAAATAAATGCTGAAAGTTGAAAAGCATTTCCATAAATGGAATCACTGTAGGTAAATTTAGCAAATTCTGTCAATTACTGGGTTATTTATTTCTTACCATCCTATGATGTGCATACTATTATTATTCCCATTTTTATGAAGATGAGAAAATGAATTTTCTGAAAATGAAATAAAGTAGATGTGACATCCCACTAACCAGTGACAGGGTCAGGATTTGAACACAGATTGAATTGACTGCAAAGCACCAATGGCTAATTACCATTGTCCTGGAAAAATAGCAGACATTATTGTTCTCTATATTAAGTATGACCAAAATGCAGTCTGCCCAGCAAAGCATGAGACCAATAAAACAAGACAGGTGAAAAACTTAAACCTTTATGACAAGAGTCTAGTGGTGGCACTGAGTAAAGAAGAAAGTTTAGCTTGTACTGAAAGGAGGAGTACATTTGAATGTGTTGCAAAAGCTTACATTTTGATATTTTCTCACATTAGAGTGAAAATCTTTGAGTAGTAGCCAACTAAATCATATGTTGGGCTGAATTTAATTCATCGAACATTTTTTGAGGGTCTCCTATGTGCCAGGCACATAGGTCCTTAGCATACAATAAAGCAGAGCCTGACACATAGTAAACATTAGGAATGTTGCACACATTGTTGAGTTCTTGAATGCCTGAGTAATGAGTAATGATTCATAAAACACAGTTTCTGCTCAAAAGGTACTCACAGTCTGGTGGGGAAAACAGTTAAGAGACAATTATAGCACCATCTGATCTGTGTTATAAAAGAGCTAAGTCCAGAGGGGAGGGTGGGCCAACATAAGGGCCACCTAGCTGAAGCCTCCCGTGGAAGAAAAAGGCCCCAGTACCTAATCTCTTGCATAGAGGGGAAAGCTTTCAGCTACAGAAGGCTATGGATCCCTTCTACTTAAAATATCCAGGATCCAGGAGTGTGCCCAGCTATTTTTAATTAGCACTGCCGATAGGAAATGTGTTATCTCATGGAATGTAATGCCATCCATGCAGGAACCCAAGGAAGCCTAAACATTACTCTCAACTCTATCTCCTCCTTCCCTGCCTATGTTCGATTGGTTGCAAACTCCTTCTTAATAGTCCTCCTTAATAGCTTTCTAATCTGCCCCCTGTAGTCTCCATCTCCATCACTACCACTGTAGTTTGGGTCCTGATAAATTCTCTCCCGGATTACTGTGTCAGCCTCCTGACGCGTCTCTCTGCCCCCATCTTATCTTATTCTCCCACCCTGCAGCTAGAGAGATCCTCCCGAGAACCAAAGCTGATCACAGTTCTCTCTGTCTCTGAATCTTAAGTGGCTCTCTATTGCACACAAGATAAAATATAACTCCTTATTTGACATACCCTGCAGGTCTCTGCTTGAATCTTCTCTTCATAGCCAGTGATTCTGATGTACTGAATTGATTACCTATCTTGCATCTTGTCGTGGTGGATGATGATTCTAAGCTTACCACGGGCTGCTGCTTTATCCTGAACGCTCTACATTCCTCCTTCAGCTTTCTTCACTAGGCTTCCTCCAACTTACCTTTCAAATCTCAGCTGAGATGTGACTTCCCTAACAAGCCTTTCCTTGTTTGCCAAGTCTGGGTGGGGGATGGCTCAATCTTCTAATAGAGTAGTTATCATGCTGCATTACAATTACTTTCCCCACTTCAGCCTGAGGGTCTTGCATCAGAGAGAAGTCGGTGTCTTTCCAGCGTCTATGTCTTATGCCTAGCAAAGCACCTATCACTTAGTAGGAACTCAATGAATGCGTGTTAGGGTAGCCTTTCTAGTCAGTCAGCACCACAACGAATACCCTCTTTCCTTGAGTAGGTATGATAATCTAATTAGTGAGGCTGAGAAACTTCTGCAAGTCAGAGGTCAGATGGTGGTGGTAAACAGAGGTCTGTGGATTGTCCCAGTGGATGAGGACCAACTATGCAATATGTATTATATAATCGGTGCTAACTGAACAGGCCAGAGAAAATGAGCTTGGAACCAAAAAGCTCTCCCTTGGCCAATCTAGTCAGTGTAAAACTGTCCAAACCATCATTTAGCTAGCCACCTGGAAATACCTAGTTTCCCAAATAATACCCTGACAGCCAAAATTGAAAAAATTTCCCATCACCAGTGAGGTTTTATTTTTTTTAATTTTCTGTTCCAATGACAAGAATGTAAAAGTATGTAATTCTCTATACAAATGACAAGAATAGAAAAGTCTGAGTATGGTATGAACTTCATATCTTATTATGTATTACATTTTATTAGGCAGAATGATATCAAAGTTAATAATGTGAAGTTTTTGTGTAGGAACTGCTACTATTATCAGTAAAAATACAACGCTGAAACAAAATTATAGAAAAGGAATATTACACTTTTGTTCCTAAAGAATTTGCATTAAGCTCAAAGAGAGCAAATAATGAAGAATGAAAGGAGGCTTTGTTATTCAGCAATTTCTGTGATCTGCCAAAATGTCAAATAAACCATTTAATCAATCAGAAAATTAAAGAATGTGGCAAACCTCAAGGTAGTTTGAGATTACAGCTGTGCAAAGTACTTCAACTGTAACATGGAGCTATGTCACAATAACAATTACTTCATGACTCATTTTTCTATAACTTTGTTGCTGCAAAAACACAATTTAGGTTTCAAATTAATTGCAGCTGTGCTCCCATTTGAATCTTGTGTACTTTATTTGTGGATGTTTTCACAAATTCTTCCAACTTCTACTTTAATGAACCTCACTTTTACAGGGAGGCTACGTCTATTAAAAAGGAATTTTTGCCATATTTCATCCCAAAATTCAATTATAATCCTCAAATTTATTTCTTTGAATAATTATGTAGTGAAATCAAGCTTGGGAGGCAATTTGAGATTTTTGAAAAGAAACATGAAATGTTCTGATAAGTTGTCCCAGGATGGAGAAATTATTCAAGCAATCATTCAACAAACATTGAGTTCTTTCTGTGTACCAGGCCCTCTGGTAAATGTTGGAGAAAAATAGGGACAAACCAGAAATAGTCCCTGCTTTCATGGAGTATCAATTATACTTGAGAAGAAAAACATGAATTATGCAAATGATAATTGATTAGAAACCAAGTCAAATGCTCTGAAAGAAAGAACTATGCTTTGATGGGAATAAGTAACAGGTGAGCCTGATCTGGACAACAAGCTAGGAATGTGATAGATGGGAGAAGAGTCTGAAGGCTGAATAGATGTGAACTAGAGAGAGAAAGGCAGAGAAGTGGGCTTGGAAAGGCTTCCAGGTGGAGGCAGCCATGAGGGTGGGAAGAGATGGGAAGGGATGCTAAGGTAAGTAGATTGCCCAGAGAATGGAGATAAACCTGAAGAGGTAAACAGGGCCCAAATCATACAGCACCTATGGGCCATGGTGGTGACTTGGGCCTTTATTTTAACAGAACTGGCAAATCATTAAAGGGATTTAAGAAGGAAAGAAAGTTAACATGTCACACTTGAATTTGAAGAGCTATGTCTGGCTGCGCTGTGAGACTGGAGGCCCAGAGAGGATTCAAAACACATTGGAATTGTAGGCCATTGCAGCAGTTTTGGCAAGTCGACCTTGGGTAGTGGTGGTGAGGACAGAGAGACAGATGGATTTCATAGATATGTAAGACATAAAAATCAATATAACTTTGAATTAGATTAGAAATGGGTCAAAAAATTGTTTCAAGGATTGTTCCTAGACTTCTGCTTTACCCAAATGGTATAAACCACTAAGATAAGAAAACGTGTAGGAGGCCCAGGTTTAGGGCAGAAGATAACTAATCGGTTTTGAACTTGTTGCAAGTGATATACCTTTGAACCATTCTAGTGGCAGTGTCTAGAAGAACTTAGATATATGGATTTGGAATTCAGAAGAGATCAGGGAAGAAGTTATTGACTCCATGGACCTGGAGGAGATTTCCCAGAGAAAGAAGAGGAAGAGATCTAGGCCCAGGAAAATACCTGAAATCTTAAGTAACTTCAGATGAAATGTTTGGGCAAAAATGGAAAAACCTGCTAAAGAAATGAAGCTGTAGCTAGAGAGATAAGAGAAAACAGAAAATTGTTGTGTCATAGAGGCCAAAATGACACAAAAGAGAATATATATATTTAAAGCCACT
This sequence comes from Homo sapiens, assembly GCF_000001405.40. Classification (NCBI taxonomy): domain Eukaryota; kingdom Metazoa; phylum Chordata; class Mammalia; order Primates; family Hominidae; genus Homo; species Homo sapiens. Next base: position 97,572,531 of record NC_000012.12, on the reverse strand, counting down.
GATCAACAGCATAGATTGCTATGGAGAAATCAGTAAATGAGGATTTAAATAGTTCATTAGATTTAGCTACATGGAGGTTATTGGTGACCTTAGCAGCAGCTATTTACAGAGATGAGTCATGGGTTATAAGGCAAATTAGAGTGAACTGAGAGCAAGGAGGAAGTAAGATAATAATGATGATGGTTATAATCATAATAGTATTAGCTTACACTTGTATAACATTTACTATATTTCAGGCACTATTTTAAGTCATACCTAATTTACTCTCTACAACAACTGTATGAGAAACATCCTCTATAGAGAGGTTTTACCATTCCTCTTTGGCGAGGTTAAATAACTTCTCCAAGGTCACACGTGATGACAAGTCTCTGAAGAAGTTTTGTACGTGAAGGGAAGGAGACATTTATTTAGCAAAGTAGCTGAAAATTGAGGAAAGTAACAGAAAAGCTTTAGAGTTGACTTGTCCTCACCCCTTAAGGGAAACCCCTTGGTTTGTTTATGTAGGAATAGGAAAGGTATTTGTATCCCCTCAAAGATAGAGGTGTGGGTTTCTATTTTATACCTATCAAGAGAAATGGGGTTTTGCCTCTCAACCATGGTTCAGGAGATACTGAGCCCTGCTCAGCTAGCCAAGGAGGATCAGAATGGAAAATGTTCTGTGTGAAAGTTCACCCTCAACCTAAGAATTCATTTTAATTTTATATCTGTGCAACAATAGGAGGAACTACTTTGAATCCTTATTTAATATATGGAAATGGAGACTGGAAGAATGTCAACTCTGTGTTTTCTAGTTTTATGATAGTCGTGATGTTGTGGCCTCCTTCCTCTGAAACCAGAGTTCATATCGCTTGTCCAGGAGGCCTTCTCTGATTCCCCCAAAGGAATCACCCTATATGTCTATTAAACCCTGGGCATCCCTTTTCACAGCATTCATTCAACTTTCACCACTCACTCAGTCTGTTCCCCTGTCACCCCCACGATGCCATTAGTCCCAATTGGGGACCGTGTCTGCTTTGTTCTTGACAACATCCTTAGCCCCAGGCAGAGGACTTGGTACATAAATCAGCAAATGAATTTCAAATCTACACATTACATTTCAAGTGAAATGACATTTTTGTCTTTTTCATGTCAGTTTCTAATCTAATAACCCTGGAGATATTATATCTTCATAGTCTCCATAGTGCTGTTATGGTTTTCAAGCATTTCTGCTTGTATCTCTTGAGGAGAGCCTCAGAACAACCTGAAATGGGAAGGATGGAAATCACCCCCAAGTTAGGGGGTTAATTTGGATTTGGATTTGATAAAACTGAAAAAAACTATTTATTGAAATTAGCTTCTATAATTTGAATAAGAAGGGACCATAACCAAAAGGTATGTATTTTAAATGAAAATAACATTTGCAAAAGCAAGATGAGGAACTTGGGCTTCAAAGGAGTAAGTAACCTCTTCATGGCCACACATCTAGCCAGGAGCAGAGGAGGGTCCTCTCATTGTATTAATTCCACTGTCCTGTTTACCAGCTACCATTGCACACAATGTGTTCTGTGTTCCATTATCAAAAGTTTATGTGGATTGCTACAGGGTGGTTGAGCCTCTTTCAAATATCTACTTCCTCAACTTCCCTTTAGTTTTGATGTCACATGCCCTAGTAGAATTAGGATATAAGCCTTCCTCAGCTGCACTGTCTGCATAAGGATGTGGGGAAGGTCTGAAAATCCACCCCACAGAGACCTAGGGACCCTTGACACTTTGCTCCCTCTTGGGAGGCGGGAAACCTACTATGCAGGTACTCAGAGGCTTTTGCCCAGAGGGCTATCCCTATCTGTTCTAGCATCATTCTGACCTTTACCAAGAATATGGGGAAAGGCTGGCAATATGGACAGAGAGAACCAGACGGGTTGAGAGGGCTTGCAAGCTTTCCCTCAACTGGGCAGGCTCAATCATCAGAGGCGACAGGAGAGGGGAATGTGTATGGAGGGGTGGTGGGCACTCTCTGCTTGACCTCAAAGCCCTGATGAGAAGTAGGAGTGAAGGGATCTGACTATATCACCTTACGCAAAGCATAGAAGATAAGTTTGGAGCTGAGAGACAATATCTTGATAATTGGCACACCTAGTACGAGTCCTGTCCTGGGTCTGAGGACTGACATCAAGGTTATGATGAGAATATTTTGAAAAACATCCCAGGCAATCGTAATCTCTAAAAGCCTTACTTTCCAAATCTGGAAGAAAAAAAAAATTGGGGCAATAACTTCCTAGTGAGATTGTTGAGAGAATTAATCAAGAAAATTTATGTAAAAGACAGGGTATCTAAACGGCTATTAGTGGATTATTGTGTTCTTAGTTCCAAGGTGTCTCACAGAGGAAGATAGTGCAGAAATGGAGTGAGAGGCAGGAAAGCCATAAACATCTTAAGACAAAGTTGTTTTCTAGATTTGAGAGGCTACAACTGCTGACAGATGGTGGGGGGTCTCATTGGCTTTAAAAACTTGAATTTGGTGAAATTGAGAAAAATATTTACTGAAATTATTTTCTATAATCTGGATAGGAGGGGGCCATAACCAAGAGGTATATATTTCAGATGAAAATAATATTTGCAAAAGCATGTGCAGTATTTGCTTAAAGCCTGGTTTTCTTTCGAGCCTCCTGCCTCTTGGTCCTTGAATTTAATAGAAATTTGTGCTCCTGAAACAAATGGGTATGCTCACATGTACACATCTACACATACAACCATAGTAAGCATCTGTTAAATTTATTCATTATCATTCCTTTTGGATTTCTCCTGTCAACTTAAGTCATCTGTTTATTTTATCTAGGCTATTACATTTTCTTTAGAGACATTAAAGCCTATTTGTAAATAACAGTGTATTCTTCATAAATAGAAATTGCAGACATCCTGCATTTAGAGTAGTCTCCAGTTAAGACATATTTTCATATACTACTAATTTTTATCAGAACACAGTATCCTATTTAAACTCTCAACTGATTCATCCTTCAAAATCTGGGAATAAACAGTTCTTCTTTACTATGGATATTAACTACCATTTGATCTATGGCATTCCTCTAACAATTAAATTCATGAGTAATGTAAGAACATCATAGCTGAAAAACATCTTATTAAGGCTTTTTTAATGTGGAAGAAAACCATAGGACTAGTCTTGAAGATTTCAAAGGAAAGGCAACATATAATTCTAAGTTCTTCATTAATGTATATTTCTCTACAGATAAATGAGAGACTATATGTGCTTATCTGTGAAGATAGATGTGGATGTCTCCAAAGGCTTATACAAATGTACATGCTGGTGTGAATCGCCATTTCCACAAAGTCTCCAAATGACGATTTGTTGATCGCTCTGTAAAAGCCCAAGGCCTTTCTCTTTAGTAGGAATACCAACTATCTGATTGTTTTACTTTTATTCAAAGAAATTTAACAAATGCTGCTCATTTCTTGGTTACCTTATAATTTTATGAAATTCACAAAAAAAAAAGACAAATATGAAGGAGCCAGATTGTGCAAGAGTCTTAGATAAACAAAAGATTCTGGAACAAGCTAACATAGTAAGTAGAACAGGTAGTGCAACTTCAAAGTTATTTCATACACACCACAAACAGAGCTAATCTCTCAACATCGAGAGATACTCTTGTGGACATTTTGACCTTAATTTTAACAAGGAACAGGTAGACACTGGTATTTAAGAGTTAGCATGGTGTACTTTGATTCCTATTTGGTGACTCATGGTTTTCAAATATTTGCAGGTGCTGACGTGAGTCACCAAAGTCCTGTGTCTCTCACTCCTGGCCTTGTTAGTAGTCAGCAGTGTGAACTCCATCTCCTCATATGTGGAATGGGGGATTGAAATATATAATTTATGGTTTCTTTCCATTTCTAAAATGATTGCTTTCATTCCAGAAATTTAAGATCAAAGTTGAAAAAGTAAATAGAAACAGCACATTTTGACAGACACTCCCAGAGGGAACAAAAAAAAGGAATGGAGACAGCAAGGGAATCTCGTTAACTTTGTGCGAAACAGCATAACACTGATAAAGAAAAGAAGGTAAACAAAAATTTTCTGACATTTACTTCTGCTAGGAGTGTAGATTGGTACAACATTCCTGGAAAACAATTTGATGATAGTTATAAAGAGCCACAAAATGCTCATTAATTTCTAAATTGGTAACTTCACTACTAAGAATTTATTCTAAGGAAAAATAGAGATAAAAGTTGATGGGCAAAGAAAGATCCATCTCTGCATTATTTATAAGAGGGAAAACTAGAAAAGCAAAACTATGTGTCTCACAAGAAGATAATGGTTGAAGCATGGTGAACTCGGTGAGAAATGTAAGTGATTCTTTGTTGTCATGACATATAATGGTGGTATCTTGACACAATAATGCCAGGAAGTACCATATATGTATTACTTCTTTTAACAAATATTTGAATTTCTACTATGTGCAAACATAATTCTAGGCTCTGGGGACAAAGTAGCAAATAAAGAGGAAGATTTCTCTTCCAGCTCCCCCAGAGCTAGTGAGGTAAGACTATAAACAAATAAAGAAACAGGTAAATATGTAGTATATCAGATGACGAAAAGTACTATGGAAAAAAAGCAAGGTGGTAGGAGTTTGGAAGAGGAGGAGACTTGTGATTTTATAGTCACAGTCAGGGCAAGGCTCATTGATCAGAGATTTTGGAGCAGAGATTTGAGTCAGTGAGCTAGTGGACATGTAAATATCCAGGAAGGGTATTCTAGGTCAAGGAAACAATTTCAAAGGCTCTGAAGTAGAAGTACACTTGGTGTGTTTATGAAATACCCTAAAGTCAGCAATGGGGAGAGTGGTAAGAGATGAGGTCAGAAACATGGGGTGAATGCAGACCATGTGAGCCTTGGGGGTCACTATAAGAACTTCGAGCTTAATTAAGCAAGCAATTAAGTCATCAACATTTATTGAGCCCTCATTGTGTAACCTAATTTTGGACTACCAATAAGATTGCTTATGTATTCCCTGCTAAAACATACTCTCAGAATGTTTGTTATCATTAAAAAAAGATTTTTTAATGTCCAGTTAAACAGATGAAAGAGAAAAAAAGTTAATGGAATGAAACAATGAACTATAAGGGCAAACCTTATTACCTTGAACCAACCGATTTATTTTGCATTCTTCTTGATAAGGAATAAAGGTGAAGAAAAAGGTAAAAAGGCCTGGTATCACTGACTTCCATCTCTGAATTATCATATGTTTCAGAGTCTCTTTTATGGAAGGTTGTAAGAAGGGCCATCTAATAGAATCAAGAGAGATTTTCCTCAAACCCCATCCCACTCCACCTTTTGGACATCAGTGTTTCAAATCCAAGAATAGTCTAATCTATAAAAACCGGGTCTGGGGAAACCCTTTCTGGAGTAGCTACCCTGCAGAGATATGATTCCAGGAATTGGTTTAGAAGCAGAAAACCTGAGGCTCATGACCAAGAGGGTCACATTACTTGGTGTTCACTGAGGTTTTGGGTTCTGCTCTCCTGGTAGACCCCACCCTGATCCCAAGCTGCAGGTTCTGTTTCTTCCTCAGTCATGTCTCACGTGCAGATGTGGGTGACTTTGCTGATAAAGGTGGGCAAGAGGAAAGGTGTGTGCCAGCATGAGCTCATTTGCACCTGAGAAACACAGTGTACATGTCTACTTGGTGAGGTCCAAATTGTGATGAAAAAGATCAGGCTCTGCAATTTGAATGATGGGTTCAGTGTGCCTGTTACCACTCAAATAATGAGATAAGATTTCCAAACTCTCTATTTCACCTTCTTAGGAGGCCTACCAACTCCATAGCACCATTTTGGGATTTGAATATGTAGGATGATGTATGGTTTTTTTCTTAAGCTGCCCAAACCCAGATCCCATGAATATTGTCCTCCAATGACTAAGACAATGTTGTTGGTGAGACCTCTGATGAAGAGAAATTTCTGATGAGGGCATAGAGTTAAGCAACATGAGAAAGATGGCTCTGTGATCTTGCTACACTCTCATTCTTTCCTCATGCTTGTCTCCTGCTTGTGCCAAGGCCAGTGGCAAGATTGAGAGATTTACTCATTCACTTGCTGAGGGAGATCACCTTTCATTGCAGCATTCTGCTCCACTCACCAACATATTTATATGCACTTTACATAGGAATACCCTGTGAGATTTATTGCCAGCCAATACTTTTTAAAAGGTCAGAATCCGGTGACAGAGTCAATATCCAGAGCTATTGGGAGCTGCTGAGCCCTTCTTGGAGACAGTCAATCACTTTTGCACAAGTTGCCTCAGAGATGAAGCAAGTATTGGAATTCAGATAGAACCACACAAGAGTACAGGAAAGGGGAAAGTAGGCAAATACATGGCCATTCCTGAAATCACCAGCATGCTGGAAGCTTAGACTTATCTCATCCCATATGGGTAATAGCTGATTGCAGCCCACTGAGACTCAGCAGTAATTAATTAATCTAAGTAAGTGTGTCCATTAAAACCTACTATCTGCTTCAAATGGTATTTGTGAAGATATTTAGAAGTAAATATATTCTCCAGGGTAGAATACTTTGTGTGTTGGAAAAATTCCCAAGAACCACTCATTTAAGCTTTTCATGAATTCCTTGACACATTAATTTTCAATCCTTGACTCTTGCCTATGGAAATTTGATTGTCTATATCCTGACATTAATCTTTCCCTGATTCTAGAAAACTTTCTTTACATGAGGTCCCTATAGTAATTTTTTCTATGCCACTCATATTACATTTTATCTTGAGTGGTGTAGTAATATCTACTCCAAACTTAAACTCTCCTCATTCTTGCAGTAGGCCTTCACGTGCGTGCGTGTGTGTGTGTGCGCGCGCCCATGCATGCACATGTCTGCCCTGCTTTCCTAAATATACAATATATTTCCTACGATGATATGGCCTTTTGCTTCTTTATTCTCCTCCTGGCTCCCCCTTCCTCTCTCCCTCTCACATCATCTTTCTCCCCTCTTTTCCCATTCATTTGTTCACAAATAACTAATGCCCTACTATCAGGGATATTTCTAGGACCTGGGGTTACAGGGGTAAGTGCGAGTTTTAAAGAACAAATTTGATGATGATAAAAGAACTCTGGATACAAATGTGGTGTCACTGATTTTCACTACATTCTATTTTTATAGCAATACACTTACATTATTCTATAATTTTAAAAAAGTTTCTGTTACTTGCAAAGTCCTTTCCTTTATTGACAATTATTCCTAGGCTTTAGTGATAAAGTCAAATTCTAATGTTTATATGTTTAAAACATAAATGGGCATCACAGTTACAACTAGATTGATAAATGTCCCCAAACACATTGATATGCAAACAAAATGTGGGAGTGGAGAGTAGAGAGGGGATATAGTTCTTTTGGTACTAACAGTGGGTGGTTCTTAAGAAAAAAGCATCATTTGTCTAACTGGAGCAGCCTAGACACAGGCTAAAATCCCATTGTGTAAAGGAAATAGACAAAAGATAACAAAAATAATTTTTATTATAATTTTCATTGAAAAAATACAGAAAATCAATAAAAATGAGCAGAGGTAAATAGTCAATATTAAAACACTTCAAGCAAAAGTAAATATACAGAAAACAGTAAAAGTGAATGTAAGTCCATAGTCAATATTAAACAGTTCAATAAAAAAATTAAACTATTGATCCAACCTAGGCATTTAGGCCACATACGGAAAGGAGGTGCAACTAGACATTCTTGAAGCAGTCTTTTCTTTCTCAAAGGTGCTGCTTAGATCCAAGGTGCTGTTTTAGACTAACATCTGAAGGAAGGAGAGGGCAGAGGAGGGAGAGAAAAGGGAACAGGAGAGAAAATAGAAAGAGGGGAAGGAAGAAAAACTAATATTTCATGAGCTTTTAAAAAATATGATGTTAAATACTTTGTTAGGCACTGTATGCATTACTTCATTTAATCCTCACAACAGCCCTACAAGGTAGGTATTACTTCTCTTCATTTTAAAGATAAGGAAAGAGGCTCATAGAGTTTATATCATTTGCCCCAGGTCACATAGTTGAAGCGGCAGAGAGATTAGAATGCAACTCCACTCTAAAGTCCTCCTGCTTTCCTCCAACATCAGGTGTTCCCCATTGTACCACACCCTTACATGGAAAACAACTCTTGGCGGATTTATGGCTCTCAGGAGGAGTTGATCTAGCCCATCCAATGTATACCTTTTTTGGAGCTTGGGAGTAGAGAAATCTGGACCACATTTCCAAGAGGGCAAGTCTGATTTGTCTATTTCTTCTTTGTTTCAGAAGAAAGACCTCAACAGGTGGCGAAAGAAGGCATAGAAGGATTGAATGCTGCCTACCCGACTGGTGGGCTATTAATAGTTCCCCTAGAGCATGTTCTTTAATAGAAAACGGAGAAAAATGTATGATAAACAAAAATGTGCAAACCCAAATGTGCATGTTAATCAATGATTACGAATATGAATCCACCTAGATTTCTCAGCTGTCAAATCTAAGGATAAAGAAACTCAAAGGAACACCAGGCAGGTAGCAGAGCTATACACTAAATCTTGTCTCCATCACATTCACAGCTCCACAGGCTAACGTTCTCTATACTGATGGCCCCTTCTTAGTTGATGATTTTTCACAATGTATTTCATGGCTTCCATCCCTACATGAGACTTTATTACTATCACATAGGAATAAAAAGCCATAAAGCACTAGAGTGAATTTATCTTGGTCGGATGCAAAACTTATTTTCTTCACATGACTTCACAACCATTTCAAAGCTAACCAATCATTTCACGCTACATTAAAGAACATTTTAAACTACACATAAGTGACAGGAAGCACACTTGAATTGTGACATCACGAATTAACAAGATTTTATCCTTCCACGACATTCTTAGCTACAAGGACCGGGAAACAAGACCAAGAGACACTCAGCAACATTCAGCCATTGAATTCACCAAAAACAAAGGACACTGGGAAGAATTCCTGGAGAAATGCTCATCACTTTGACATTGAACTTGGAAACACATACGGAAAGACAGAAGACAGACAAATCACTGATGCAAACTGAAACCAGAGGAATTATTTCAAGCCTCTTGCTCCAACTTTTCCCCAGAAAGCTTTCTTACATACCCATGCTGGCTTTTAGACTTTTCATTTTGGGTCAGGTGGGGAGTCGGGATCTTAGTACCTGTTTGACTATGTAAGCGTTAAGCTTTCTCTACACCTAAATAACAAAAAGGAAATAAAAAAGTATAGCATACTATGTGCTAACTGCTCACCTACAGCCTTTTATAGAGATGCATCCCCAACCCCATCTACAAAAGCGAGAACGATGCCAGAAACAATACTATGCACTGAAATCTCTCAGTGATCTAAATAACTCAGGTCCAAAGACCAAGAACATTCTTCATGCTGCATTAAAGTGACATTGCTCTTGGTATTATTAAAACACTTATAAGTGGCCATGCTGAAACCCAATTCTCTGTACCACTGAAAACTCAATACCATAAATCCCAATGGTTTTATCTGGACTTTAAAAAATAAACTTGAGGTGCCTATCTACCAACTCCCGAAACAGCATTCCAGACTATTAAGCACTGCCCTCTGCTTTATTTTTTAAAAATGCATTATTCAAATTCAAATAAAAGAAACAAGAACTTGAGTTCCTCCTTAGGAGTAAAGGCTAGGCAAGCTATTTCCATCTAGAGGTGACTACCATGACATCTTGGTTTATGTGAATCACAGGGAAGAGACTGGAAATAGTTAAACGAAAGGAAGTGCATACATAAATTCAATTATCATGCAGAAAACATGCAAATGATTTAAGCACTGCATCTGAAACTCTAGTTTATATTCATTAATCTCAGGTTGCACTTTTGAAGGAGAAAGACATGCTAATTGGGTCCAGATTAATGCACTCCCAAACCTCTCCAATTTGTTTTTAGGTGAGGGTTAAATGATATGTTTTAAAATAAACACAGCTGCTCATCTGCCTCCACCTTCTACCTCCCAGACTCCACCTCTACCTCCTCCCCCAGCTGGCTCAGCTCTCCCCACCAGCTACCCTCCCAACCCCCACCGCTCCTCTACCACATCTCTCCTTCCATTAGGGAAGGGGTTCAAGAGCCCTACCATTTTCCCTTTGAAAATACACTAGAAGAATAACACTGTTTCTTAGCCAGCTCAACACTTTCCCTTTCTCCACCAGCCACCAAACTCCAGAAACAGAGTCAATCACATATCAAATCTGCTGATGCTTAAATGGTAGCATCAAGAATGTGGATACATGGGAAGGCAGCCTTGCATTTGCTCAGGTAGCGGGTTCTTTCTACAAGTTTGGACCTGCATCCTTTGGATCAGTACTGAAGGGCAGTTTTAAAGTGTCGAGGCACATGCTTGCTGAAAGCCAACATTGCTGAAGGTTGGCATGGCAATCCTGTGACTGTTATGTGGGAAACTAGAGACTCAGGAGAGAACTTGGGAGTTTTGTTGCTGTTCTTCCTCTGTGGCGCACTCAGCCAGCAAAAACTGGCACCAAGCGGAGGGCACTCAAAATGCCTTTCAAAAGGATCCCTTGCTTCCTTTCTCCCTCCTCCCTGGCAAAATTATCTTTAAAAAAAGAAGAATGTTATTATTGATTAACAGATTGATTGATTTAATGTATTAAAACATTAGTTTGGGACACACATTTCAGGGAGAATCTTATCTTGTGAGGAGTGAAGCTTTTGAAATGGTAAAATATTCATTTCCTGGACCTGATCTTTAGAAAAACAAAGGAGGAGGAACTGTGGGCTACTGGGAGTAGACCTGGGCACGGAGCTGGGATGGAAGCAATCCTCTCTGAATGAGCAGCCACCAAGGAGTTAAACCAGGCACAAAAAAAAAAAAAAAAAAAAAAAAAAAAAGCCTTCAAACTAATTTCACACTGAAAGTGATGTTTAATTTGAATCATGCTCGTCCCAAAGGGAAAAGGTTAGTCTTGTCACTTGACTCATATCCCCTCCCCTTCCTCCTTTCATGTGAATTGAAAATTCAGATTCACCATTAATCATGATGTGACACGTTCTTTTTTTCCCGTTCCAAAAATCAAATGAAAGCCTGGGACCACATCTGAGAACCCAATGGTTGGCTAATTCTCCCAACCTGCGTTCACAACAGAGAGAAGACAGAACAAGGGCACATACAGACACAGAGACATAAACTACTGGACATGCACTCACAGCAATACACACAAATGCATACAGCTAGTAGCAGTCATTGGCTCGGAGGAGAGCCTTTCCGCCTAAATTGATTTTTGCATATTTACAAACGTAAAATTAGTCATAGTAAATAACAACATGGGCAAGACTGATATTAAATCTGTCAACAACCTGACAAATGCTCTGAGCACTCTTTAGTTAGGAAATACATGTATGATAGTCATTGCTCCTAAAAGAGAAAATGATTATACGCTAACCAAACCCTAAGTACAAGCTAAAGATATTCACCTCATGAAGCCATTCCTCAACTAGCCCCTTGGCACTTGCTGGAATTATTCACAGCACGAGCTCTACTTTCTCATTTTCTGCTGACTCCGTGTGGGTAATTTCTTTCTCATGATTAAAAGTGAGCTTGGCAGATCCTTCAAAGCATGGCTTTAGGTGTGTTGGGGCTCCGAGTGCATTCTTTGTCTAAGGCAGGTCTCCAGTAATTCATTACTGGACCACTGGATGAGCAGGTCAGGGGAATATTCCTGCACCTAAAATGATTTTTTAAAAGGAAAACTTTATAGATATCTTTATATAAACATATTTGTATACTGAAACATGCCACTGACAGATGAAATGAACTGTTTACCTTGGAAAGAATAGGTAGGCTTTTCTCTTGCAAGTAATCACTCCAGGCTTTCTGAATGTCATCCCAAAGCGATTCTGCCTCCGTCGACTTATCCAGCATCTGAGGTTGTGAGATAACCCTGGTAGCACTGGCCTCCTTCCCGGCCCCTTCATTATTAGCCTCCTGGTGGGTGAGATAGAATACAGTGAATGTAATAACCCTACTTCACACAACAGTCTTGCTCTCTCTTTTAAATTGAAAATCCCCTTATTACAAAACAAGGGGTGTTCTTTTTCTTCTACCTTTAAGTAGGACTGCCACATTCATTGCTTTTTACAAAAACGCAGCTGCTTTTTAAGCTACAGATAAATAGAATCTGCTAGGCGGTAATTCGACTCAGTCTGAATGCATTATTTTCTAAGACACTTTAGCGAGGGGCTTTTTATTATAAACTGGAATGAACAAGGAAAGTCCTTTTCTCTTCTAATTATGAACGTGTTTTGTTCCCTACTATTAACCTACAATGTCAGATTGATCTTCTTCTTCTTCTTCTTTTTCTGCAGTCAGTTCAATAAATCAACTTTTTTTTCTGGAAAATTAGAGGGATAATTATTAAGTCTTCATGAACTTCAATGACAAAAATGAAAATAGCACATGGGAAAAGCAAATGCTGAAACCATAAATAAAGACAACGAAGTGGCTCTCTGATGTCCAAGGTAACAAATCCTGTTTTGACACCAAAAGTTAAGATAAAAAGGATTTACTTAATTTTAATGAATTTAACTTTAATAAAATTAAGGCTTTCCAGGCATCTTATTATATTTGTTCACCTAGAAAGGATGAAGGTATTTTTAAAATAACATTTCTATATAGAGTGCCCATACCACTCGTGTTTGTTGTTTACTTGTTCATTATGCGTAATAGTTTGCAATGTAATCAGTCATCCCCACACTTCTAGAAGCAATGAAATGAAGAATTAAAACAGAAGAGGAAACACTGTGATAAAGCATATTCAATTTGAGCTTCTGCAGACATTTCTGTAACTTCAAAGATAAACACTGAGAAAAATCCTGAGTTCCTAATAATATCTAAAGGCAGTCTAGAAACTGGACGTTGGTTTAATTTTGATCCCAGTGTTGATATTCCTGACTATAATATTACAATAGACCATGGCGTTTATGATCTAGGTCTATATGGATATATTGCCTTGCCAAGGGGAGGGGTGGGGGGAATCCCACAGGATATCAGTGGGGTTCCAATTAAGGAAAAATAAATACTGCTGCAGCTCTGACAGTAAGTGGAGATTACCAGTACATCACAGAAGCACAGGCTGGTGCCCCACTACTAAATTTACAGATTTAAAGCCAATGCTGTCATTTCCCTTCCTTTGGCAATAATAGAAAGCAAAGTGTTGAAGATGAACTCTGCGTGGCAGATAGTTTCAGAACAATTTACTCTGTTTGTTTATACAATTTTGAGTTTATTTCCGATAACAGTAGGAGTGGAAATCAAAAGGGCCTTATGCAAAACACAAAGTCATTCATGAACCCTAAACTGAGATCACATGCATATTCAAAAGACCCCAGACCCAATGTATATCAGAGAGAGAGAGAGAGAGAGAGAGAGAGAGAAACCTCGAAATCATATTTGCATCTAAAACCATGCTGCCTTTCTTGTGTCGTTCTGTGTGAATTTTTTTAAAGGGGATATTTATCACAAGTGAGATGCAGACCAAATTTTCAGAACATTCCCTCTAGGAAGAGTATATTTGCAGTGAGTGTTGGTGACAGAGCTTTTGAGATTCTACTACTCTGCTTAGATTTGAATCCATTTTCTTTCCTTCTGTTACGCCTGGGAACAAATGAGGCCCCATCAGGTTGCTGGCCTCAGTATCAGGAGTCTAAGTGATGCTGTGGCAACACAAAAAGCCCAGTTTACCCAGAATAAATAACCAAGCCCCTTCCCTGAGACACAAATTGAAGTATATTAGGCATCACTATAAGAGTGAAATTGAATCCCAGGGCATCAATATCTCCATTGAGCTAACATCACAAAAACAAGCCTGCTCTAGCAATCAGGAATTTATGTTTGTAATACTGATGTGTGAGGGAAATAGAAGAAAAAAAAACTCAGCTGTATATTTGAAAAAAATTTAATTTCCTAGATATCCTGATACAGTAACACATTCTTTTTATAGAAACAGGTTTTACTGAGTTACTCACAAAAATATCTTTGGACATCTGCTATCCTCAATTCATTCTTTCTGCCTTTTAACCCTGAACAATCATTAACACAGACAAAAGATAGAAGGCAGATTTGAATGTGAGCTTATGAGGGACAGCATATAATCACCATACTCTGCCACCTGTGTTCGTCTTTTAAGTTAATGAAAAGTATGTGATGATAAATAAGCCATCGGCCAGAACTCTTAGCCCTTATCAAACTTCCAAAATAATTAAATAAGTAGCTCTACTAAGAGCAACTCCATGACGAAGGAGAACAAGCTGTACTTGTTGACCAAGACCCAATGGGACAGTGCTTTAACAACCTGGCCACATTTCATTCTGTGTTTGAGAAAAGAAAAATAAAGAGAAGGAGAAGCTAAGTAAGAAGAACGAGGAGGAGGTGATGAAGGAAGAGGGTAGAAAGGAGAAGGAAAAGGTAGAGGAGGAAAAATAAAAACACCAACGATTGCAACGAATAGATTGTTTCATTCCTTTCCATGTAAAAATCATTTTTTTATACAATCTCCCTCTCTAAGCTTCACTTTTTCTCCCTATAAGTCGAAGATAGTTGTGCCTGTCTTATTGGGCTCCTGTAAAGATTAAGTGAGGTTGTATGAGTTATCTGTGATACATCCGGTAAGTAGTAGTTGTCCAGTAAGAATCAGCCATTATTATTATTGGCACTGTTAATTAGGTGACCTATTCCCTTTGTGCCTCTCTACCTGATTCATTCCACAGCCATCTTCCAAACTCTAAGCACACCCAGCAAAGCAAAACAACCCCAGTACAAAGTGACCCCCAGCATCACTTCACTGTGTTCTTCTACCAGATTCAAATCACTTTATGCTTGCAATGGGAAGTCTAAACATGGACTTTGTTTTACCTCCAGGTTCTGAAGCAAAGACGATATATCTCAGAAATGGGAAAGAGGAGGCACTAAACGTGTAATAATTAGAGCAATCAGCTAAGCCATTCTGTGTTCTGAAAGGGTTTCATAGGTATAGCTAAGTCTCCAATTTATTAAGAGGTGGCATCCACAGGGAGAAAATAGACTCTATTTGTTTTCAGAGTTGTTGCCTTCCAATCCCGATTTTAAGTGAGTATGCACACCTCACACATGGCTGCACACATACATGCAGACATACACACAGCTGAATTAACAACCTCTCAGGTGTACTGCAACTCCACTCAAGAAACAGACAGCTTTAATTACTGCACCTGAAAGTCTTCACTCTTCCTTGACTAGTGATAAAAACATTAAGTTGCATTGCAAATATCAAGTAAATCTGATTTGCAAAACTGCCAAAATACTCCATCTTTCCTAAACAAAATGCCATCTAACAACACCCAAGTCATAAAAGAACATCAGGACTGTGATTCTATTATCAAGACAGATAAAATTTCAAATGATGAAATAGCAGCTTATTTTTAAACATAACTTGGTGTATTCTATTTTAACTTTGACCAAAAACGTTAAGCACCTTGTTTTAAGTGAAAAAGACAAGCCATATTATGAAGATGAACTTTGGCATGAATATACAGTTTCTTCAGGAAAAAAAAATACAGTGTTGTAAATATTAAAATGTCTGCTTTTCACCTCCTTTTTCCCAAGTCTATTTTCTAAATAGGGTTGTCTGAAATAATCTCATTTTTATAAAGTCAAGTATCTTATGACGATCAAACTTGATAATTAGTGTACAAGAAAATGCAGACTCTTAAAAGGGTAACTTCAAAAAGACTTTTTCCTCCTGGTGGCTGTTTGCCCATGAACATGCCTTCCAAGCCAGAAAGAGGCTCCAAGCTCCACTGACCACAGGAAATTCCAGCCAAGATTCTAATCTCCTCTGCAGAAGTCAGTACAGAGGCAATGGATGGGAACAACACAGCAGAGAATGCTATTGAATTTGGTGTGTCCTACAAATGAGGAAACACTGATATCTCCCCAGAATCACAGTCAACATGGAGATGCTCTAAATATAAAAAGTAAGACAAGCTTTTTAATTTCTTGTCAAGGCTTCCTGACATCCAACACTTTCATGAGGTTAAGAAATGTGTCCCCAGCTTCTGTTTTCTGTTCTCCTTCAGGGAACACGGTGAAGAGGCCGCCCAGCTGCCTTTTAACACGTCACACTTGGCTGACTCCCTTCCTTTCTAGGGGAGTATGTCTGCTGCATTTGGACTCACAGAAGAAAAAGCAAAATTAATTTAACATAAAAGAAATTCACGTATTTTTGCCGCTTTAATATTCGAGAGAATGCCCATGGTTTGGTTAAGTTGAAAAAGTTTTACAGAATGAAGATTACTGAGGCATAAATCACATAGGTAAAAACTGAGATGTAAGATGGGATGAAATTTAAAAGCTAATTAAGTTCAACCAGGGCTTCTCAAAGACAACATGTCCACTAATCTTCTTGTGCTAATATTTTGTTTTTCAAGGGAGCAGTAAGTGGAAAGTTGTCATGGTTGTAGATTCCACAGTGTGATCCTTTAGCAAGAACCTGAGAAGGGGGAAGAAAGATTAGATGCATGGGTTTCTGTGCCGAATGGATGCTGGGACGAAGATGCAAAGAATAGATAAGTTAGAGCTTCAGAGGAACTAAATTTGAAGCCAGCCGGTAAAATTGATTGAACCTTATTATCTCTAGTCACTGAGAAATTCCCGAGACAGTTGGATGCAATTTGAAAAGGTCAGAAAAATATTTCCTGCACAGCATTACTGCTTCATGGTTTAAGGGTGTACATTTGTGAGATGTCAACTCTAATCATTTTTATTGACTTTGCTTTCCAGAGACAGACAGACAGTCTGGGAGGCAAGACCAATAGATAAGAGAAAGGCAATCTTATAAATGAAAATCTCTCTTATTTTGTTCTCTCACTTGTGACTGTGAACAATTCCGAATCTCGCCCATTTGAAGGGAAATTATACCAACTTCACGGAGGGCTGACAGAATGGAAATGAAATCTAGGAAATTGTGGCTATAATTCTAGTGAGATTACTTTCTTTTAACTGCTATTTATTTAGCCTCTACTATATGCTAAACACATGAAACGTAGATGATGTTGGATTTTAATCCAAGTGTGAATATTTAAAATGAAACACCATAAAATACACCAAAGCATGGATGTTAATTTACTGTCGGCATTTCCATGGAGGAAAGGCTTTGTGAAAGAAGGAAATCCACAGGAAAAGGTAAACATTAAATGAAAGGTATCAATATACAGTCAAGATATTATTTCAATAAAGGCTGTATTGTCATTAGAGCTCTTCCAAATACAAAGAAAAAATATTTTTCTTTTTACTTGAAAGGAGTCTTGGATGCAATAAGAACCTTTTAGCAAATATGTTTACAGGTCTTTTGGGGGGGACATGCAATTAAAGGTCAAAGCTGACTTTTTAGTACAGAATGGGATGACCCATTCCAACCCTGCAAAGGTTTAATTAACATCTGACTTTTCTTTCTGTGCAATGCCATATGCTGTAGAGACAAATACAAGCCTATTTACTCTTCTCTTGTTTAGCAGCAAGACCATAACTTTTCAATGGCCCTGAGACCCAGCTGCCTGCTTTCATATCACATGCCAGCCCCATGAAGATGTCCTGGAAGCTCACTGGAGCTTTTCAACTAGCAAGGTATTTTCTTATGGAAAGCCTTCATTCTGATCAATTCCATTCCTCACAATATTTAATAATTTTAAATTGTATTCCATAATCACTACTACCAGCAATATAAGCAGCCAATAACAAAACATTTCATAATATCAAGTACCCCAAAAAAGGGAAAGAGCAAGATCATTAGCTAGACACCTAGATTCTTGGCAACGAGGGTAGAAATATCTAGCTTTTAATTGACTTTTTATTTCTATCTCACCTGAATAATTGATATTGGTTAGATATGAGTAATAACATTTTGTGAATCTTCAAAATTTTCACCTTTTGGGTTACCTTAAGACTTTTTTTTTTAAATTAAAAGTGTTTACTGAAACTTTGTGATGATATACAAGTCTCCAGTGAATCACATTGAAAACTTGAAATTGTCCACGTTTATTTTTGTAGGCCCTGTTTTATTGGCAGAAAAGTATCTGATGCGTGCATCTTTTGATTTCTACTACTTAAATTATCCATAGGGAAAAATTTTGGACCTTCTGCATAATCATTAATACGATTAATAATGATAATAATAACAATCCCAGAAGTATTATTACTATTAAAAGTCATAATGATAATAGAAATAGTCACCATTGGCTGGGCGCGGTAGCTCGTGCCTGTAATCCCAGCACTTTGGGAGGCTGAGGCAGATGGATCACCTGAGGTCGGGAGTTCAAGACCAGCATGACCAACATGGCAAAACCCTGTCTCTACTCAAAATACAAAATTAGCTGGGTGTAATGGCACATGCCTGTAATCCCAGCTAATCGGGAGGCTGAGGCAGGAGAATCGCTTGAACCCGGGAGGCGGAGGTTGCAGTGAACTAAGATCATGCCACTGCACTCCAGCCTGGGTGACAGAGCAAGACTGCATCTCAGAAAAAAAAAAAAAAAAAAAAAGAGAAAGAAAAGAAAAATCACCATTAGTTGAGCATTTACTATGTGTGTATACTATGCAAATATATCATCTCATTTAGTCCTTGCAGTCAACTTAAGTAAACTTGATTTTTTTTTCAATTAAATATTACTCATGCTGGGAATGAGGCTTAGAGAGGCTTAGAAGAGATTGGACTTGGTCAGAAAACTAGTAGGTATTGATGCTGGGACTCAAACCCAGGCTTATTTGATTTGAGTCTACATTATTTCAAAGCTTCAAACTATTCATCATGCTCCAGGGGCATTACAGGACCAGGAGTGTCAACTGTTGAAGATCACACAGCATTTCTGAAGTTGAGTTAAGCCAAAGTTCACTGCTCATTTAGACTGAGGCATGACCACAACACACCTGCTAAAAGCCCACAACCTGCAACCACCTTCTAGAGCTATGAGCTAAGAGTTGTTGATAGACATCTTTCCTGCCCTCATGGAACTTAGTTCAAAAAGAGAGTAGCACACTCCTAGCAGGCTGCTTAATCAGGTTGCACAGCTCAACAGCACCACACAAATTCTGGAGGCTAACTGTGCATAAATTTCTTTTCTATTTGAATTATCTTTGAATTATGTTCTGAGATGAGCAAGAAAAGGCCATTTCTTCTCAGCTGGGGCTGCAATTAAGCCAAATGTGTTAGTTCAATGAATTATTCTCCAAACACAACTTTAAAAGGTAAAATGTATCGCTATTTTGTTATTATCACAGGCAAATAATTAGAATAAAAATAAAAAAAAGATGGGTCACAGGGTTTAGCACATAAACCATTATAGGTCTTTTATTTTAACAAAATGTGCCAAATACAGTCATGTTTCAACTGGTAAAATAACATTTTACCAATCATTTATCCTAACAAATTCACAAAATGTATCCCCAGCAATAGTTCTTATTTACAGAGAGATGATGACCATAAGTGTTGAAATGCTGGTAGGCTGACCTAGCACATGTTGTCCAGGTACCTGTCTTCACCTGCCTTTTGTAGGCTCACTCTTACCCCCTTCTGTCTGGAGGAGAGCCTAGTTTGCTTGTCAGGACTCCTTTGAGGAGACCTTTCTTCCAATTCTGAAAGCAAACTCTTCTACTAACAAAGCTGTCTTGTAACTCGAGAGGCACTAAAATGAACCAAGAGGAGAAATACAAGTAGCTGGGTTGCATTTCTTACAGAATAAAGTCACTGCTGTGGTCTAAAAGTGAAAGCATTTAACAGCAACAACAACAACAAAATAGAAAGGGATTTAGGTGCAGCTACTGAAAGGTAGAGGAATGAGTAAAGAGGAGGCTGGTACACAAAACAAACTTAAACCTGGAGTGCAAATTCCTCAGTGTTGCTGACTCCTTGCTTAAGAACAGAGCAGGGCAGGGAATGACACAGTAGAGGGTGAAATGATGCCCTTTATTTGTACCCCTGAAGGGCTTTGGAACTAAAGGAGTCCAATTCCCAATCAAGGGAGAAATGATAAATGCCCTCCAAGGTAAACTAGGAATCCTAGGAATTCATGTCAAGGAATCCATTTTTAAGCCTTGATTTCTTTAAAAGACAATGCCTGAAGAAATATTTTATGTCAGGTTAATTGGCTAATTTTATTTCACTTTTTAAATACCAACCTGCTTTCAAAATAGATTACGACTTTATTTAAAAATTTCTGTAATAAAAGTTCTGGAAGAAAACATCAAGCTGGCTTATTATATGAGATTTCTATTTTATCTGATTCTTCCTCTATGCACAAACTCAGCTTCAGTCATTAGTATCATTAAAATTAACTTTCTAGAAATGATGCAAAGGAAGGATAACATACAATTAAAATACAATATTTACAGCAATCGAAGCAGGTAACACACCTCAGAGGCTGGGGGGAATGAAAACAGCTTTTCCTTTCTCTTCTTTGGATTAAACATAATAATTTAGCGATTTCTTACAACCTATGACTAGATTCTTCATTTTAATCGTTCATCCAACATTTCAATGTCACAATGTTAAATATTCTGGGTAGCTAGCTGTCCTTCTCAAGAGGATTTTGGTAGCATGGAACTCAAATGTTATCTTGGTCCATTTTCTGCAAATTACAGGACTCTCCAGAGCATAGTCGTTCCTATGTGGGGAGATAGCATGGCTTAAATTTTTCTGAATAATTTTCAAAATCAAATTTGAAAGTTTTTATGAGATATGATCCTCCCTCGTGGGTGATATGAAGCATAACCTAAGGGACAAACATGAAAATAATAAGCATAAAACATATTAGCATATAGATGCCTTTGAAATAATAAACAGCAGAAACCAAAAGGCTTATCCCCAAAAGAAAGTTATGAGAAAATATGAAATTAACGTACACTTCTCGCATGACAACCCTAGCTTGAAAGCCAAACAGAATACACTTATTCAGCGAAGAGTGGAATGGCCAGAGCAATGGAGAAATAACTCCCACATCAACTCTTCTTTGTTCTGTTTTGATCATTATTACCACATCAATATTCTCTATTTATCCTTCACCTCATGCCATTCCTTTCCTCCTTTAAACAGAAAAATAATTAGCAGGCAAATAAGTATTTCCCTTTTGCTTCTCCTATGAGCCACTACCAGGTAGACAGATGGAATATTCTTTTTTATTTTTATTTTTTCTCCTTTATCTACCTTTCTATATTGCCCATTGATGGCACACAAAAGGCAGGGCTTGGTTATTCAATTACCAAGAGGACTAAGGAGGTTTAGTGGAAAATGAAACAGAACTTGGTCTTTTTTTTTTTTTTTTTTTAAAAACAATGAACCATGAATGCCATTAATGCTTTTTCTATTTAAATTGGTAGAGCCTCTCAAGATAGCAAGAGAGCATATTGTGGTGTTGTAGAAAGAATATGGTCTTTGGAGTCAGCCTTATTTAAAGGTCCAATCTGAGTAATTTCAGAAAAGTTGATTTGACACAATTAGTTAAGTGTTCTCTTCTACGAAATAGTGATAATGTTGTCCACTTTTCTGAGTTGCGACAATTAGAGGTTATATATGTAAGCTACCTGGAACAGAGTCAGTGCTCTATTCACCTGGATGAATGGATCAATGACATTATAAAGACTCTATAAATTTGCAATTCCAGAAAAGCCAAATACTTTCCCTTTTGCATTTTGCATGTATGTGCATGAATATATGGCTCCAAAGACAATTATGAAGGAGAGATGCCACAAAATATGATGCTATGTTCTAGATGCATAGTGGCACGGGATTGCAAAATAGTTCCAATTGCACTAAGAATAATAAAGTCGAGAAAATAGAGATCCTACAGAAATATTTTATCTTATGGAGCCAGGAATGGGAATTTAAATTTAACTTTGCAATTACTGACAGGAATCTATGAATATTTTATGTGATTCCAGGAAAGTGAGAATTTGCTAACTACATCTTAAATTACCTGACACAGGTGAATTCCCTCAGCAAGTTCATGTTGGATTGTTGAAATACAATATTCCTATATCTGGACACTATGGACATTATTTCAGTCCTTTTAATATTTTTATTATTCATTTATTTATTTATTTATTTGAGACAGAGTTTCAGTCTTGTTGGCCAAGCTGGAGTGCGATGGCATGATCTTGGCTCACCGCAACCTCCGCCTCCCAGGTTCAAGTGATTCTCCTGCCTCAGTCTCCCAAGTAGCTGGGACTACAGGCATGTGCTATCACACCCAGCTAATTTTTGTATTTTTAGTAGAGATGGGGTTTCTCCATGTTGGTCAGCCTGGTCTCGAACTCCCGACCTCAGGTGATCTGACTGCCTTGGCCTCCCAAAGTGCTATATATTTATTTTTAACGGCTGTCAATACAATATTTAGAACACTGAGAAAGGGTGCTTCACCAATGATACCATTTGATATTCTCCACTTGTTTTTAACTTTAAACTTTTGATTGATACTAATTACTTAACAAACATTGTATGTTGTGGCCTCTTGGCATATAAAACGGGAAATAAAACATTTATTACAAAATACCGAATTCTATAGGTATTTGAAAATCAAACTTGGGTTATTTCACTTTGTTCTCTTTCTGTGGAGCACTGGTCTTGAACCTACCCTTCATTAATGAACACCTGCTTATATGTCAACAGTTCCATTTCTATCAAAATTGACCCATCTATTTCTTTAATGTTTATGATTTCTCATCAGTATCTCAGACTCTGCTGACAGATAGTAAAGACATTGGAACAGGGGAAAAACTAAGACAGAAAAACCTTCAGGGATATATTTTCTTGACAACCGTGCTGCCTCATTGAGTTTGTGAAAAGCATGTTGCTGAGAAAGTTTTGACTGCTCTGCATGAACAGAGTAATGGTTCTATGTTTACTTTTTCCTGTTTAAACTTACCACATTGGGTCTACCCCTTGAGACAGACACCATGTGAATGGCATCCTTGCTGAATGTCCTTTAATCCTCATCTTTCTTATTCACTCAGGCCTAAGAGAGGCCTAATTTATTGCCCTTTCGGGCTAATTTTAAAAAGAATGTTTAGAAAGACATACCCCAGTAAATAAACCAAAAGCTACTTTTGGCTTTCAGGCTTTGAGAATATTTTGATTGCCCATATGCTCTCTGAGAATGGCTCTTTTGGCTATAAAAGAAAAGATTCTGTTTGATGAATTAAGTGAATACATATTTATACAAAATGTATATTCTTAACTCTCTGCCAGTGATTTGGTACGATAAAACATACTCTTTTCTGAAAACTATAAAGGACTTGAAGTTCTACCAATGTTCCCTTAAGGAGATTTCAACTTCTTATGGAACCTCGTTTGAATGCTAATGATGTGCAGATATATATGTTTCATAGTCTCTCTCAGAGTTCAAAACCACCCAGGGTGCGTAGTAGGAAATACTAAGGCCAGACTTCCTGCAAACTCTCAGATCTTTTTGTTTTGTTGATGTTCTCAAATCATTCTTTCAAAAGTTTCTGCTGTCAGATCTTAGTGTATGTTAGAGCTTGAAAAAATATCTATTGCAAGGGATAAAATGAAAATAAACCTTTTCAAGTCAATCTCCATTATTTATTTTAAAAATTCAATTGCTAGACTTTTCTCCATTTGTTTTTTTATGTGATCAAAATATGTTTTCTGCATCCAAATTGGAAGGAAGAAGTTAAATTGTCCCTGTTTACAGACATGATCTTATTTATAGAAAACCCTAAAGATTTTACAAAAAAACCTGTTATAGCTAATAAACAAATTCAGTAAATCTGCAGAATACAAAGTTACCATATAAAAATTAGCAGTACTTCTATAAACTAATAATAAACTATCTGAAAAAGAAATTTTTAAAAATCCCATTTATAATAACTATAAATAAAATACTCAGGAATAAATTTAACCAAGGAGGTGAAAAACCTACACACTGAAAACTATAAGACATTGATGAATGAAATTAAAATAGCCCATGTTCATGGATTGAAAGAATTAATATTGTTAAAATATTCATGATCTACAGATTCAAAGCAATCCCTATCAAAATTCCAATGGCATTTTTACAGAAACAGAAAAAAATCCTAAAATTTGTATGGAACCACAAAAGACTGTGAATAGCCAAAGCAATCTTAAGCAAAAAGAACAAGGCTGGAAGCATCACACTACTTGACTTCAAAATATACTACAAAGCTATAGTAATCAAAACCGCACAGGTCTAGCATAAAAACAAATGCATAGACCAATGGAATAGAATAGAGTGACCAGAAATAAACCCACCCATTTATGGTCAATTTATTTTTGACAGAGGTGTCAGGACTACATAATGAGAAAAGAACAGTCTCTTTAAGAAATGTCAAGGAAACTGAACATTCACATGGAGAAGAATGAAAGTAGGCTCTTATTTCAAACTATATACAAAAATCAATTCAAAATAGGTTAAAGACTTAAATGTAAGAACAGAAAATGTAGAACTACTAGATTAGAACATAAGGGAAAAGCTCCATGACATTGGTGTAGGTAATAAATTTTTTTAAAATGTGACCCCAAGGCACAGGCAACAAGAGCAAAAATAGACAAATGAGAATACATCAAACTAAAAAGCTTGTGCACAGCAAAGGAAATAATCAACAAAATGAAGAGAAAACCTACAGAATGGCAGAAAGTATTTGCAAACTATACATGTGATAAGGGGCTAATATCCAAAATATATAAAGAACTCAAACAACTCAGTAGCAAGAAAACAAATAATCTGATTTAAAATTGAGCAAAGCACCTGAATAGACATTTCTCAAAAGAAGACAGACGAATGGCCAACAGGTATATGAAAAGAGGCTCAACATCACTAATTGCCAGACAAATGCAAATTAAAACTATAATCAGATATCACCTCAACTTGTTATAGTGGCTATTATCAGAAAGACAAAAGACAACAAGGGTTGTTTTGGATGTGTAGAAAGGGGAGTCCTCTCACACCATTGGTTAGAATGTATATTAGTATAGCCATTATGGAAAACAGTATGAAGATTCCTCAAAATATTAAACATAAAACTGTAATATAATCCAGCAATCCCACTACTGGGTATTTGTCCAAAGGAAATAAAATTCATATGTCAAAGAGTCAAAGAGATATCTGCATTCCCATGTTCATTGTAGCATTATTCACAACAGCCAAGATGAAGAATCAGCCTAAGTGTTCATCAACAGATGGATGGATAAAGAAAATGTGATACGCATACATAGTGTAGATGTTATATATACATATTTTTATTATATTATTATTATTATTTAGTGATTAAAAAAGAATAAAGTCCTGTCATTTGCAGCAACATAGATTGAACTGGAGGTCATCCTCCAGTTGACCTCCAGTTCAATCTTTCTATGCCTGGCTATTTCATGTGAAATGAAATAAGTGAAATAAGCCAGGCACAGAAAGACAAACACTGTGTGATCTCACTTATATGTGGAATCTACAAAAGTTTAACTCATAGAAAGATAGAGAAAAATGGTGGTTACCAGGAGCTGGAGAGGGTGAGAGGTTGGAGAGATGTTGGGCAAAGGATACAAAATTTCAGTTAGACAGAAGGAATTAGTCCAAGAGACCTACTGTACAATATGGTGACTATAGTTAATTGTATGCCTGAAAAATCACTAAGAGTAGATTTTAAGTGTTCTCATCACATACAAAAAAGATAAGTATGTGAGATAATGTATATGTTAATTAGCTTCCTTGAACCACTCCCCATGTATAGACACATATTTCAGAACATCATATTGTACATGATAAATATATACAATCTTAATTTGTCAATTAAGAATTTTTTTTCACCTTCCACTACCATAAAATAGTCACAAAATTTACTTTGGCATCAACATTTCCTTGATTTTTTTATTATTATTTTCTTACAAGATGGAGTCTTGTTCTGTCACCCAGGCTGGAGTGCAGTGGTGAGATCTCGGTTCACTGCAACCTCCACCTTCCAGGTTCAAGCAGTTCTCCTGCCTCAGCCTCCCAAGTAGCTGGGATTAGAAGTGTGTGCTACCATGCCTGGCTAATTTTTGTATCTTTAGTAGAGATGGGGTTTCACCATGTTGGCCAGGCTGGTCTCAAACTCCTGACCTCAAGTGATCCACCCACTTTGGCCTCCCAAAGTGTTGGAATTACAGGTGTAAGCCACCACACCCAGCCCATTTCCTTGATTTAAAACATAGATGTGAAAGATTAGATCTCTCCATAAAAAAGCAGTATTTTTCAAATATTGTCAGTGACAGGGAAAAATTAAAAGTCCTCAAAAATAGCAATGCACCTCAGATAAAAGCCCTTCAAGGATAATGACAACCAAATTACCAAATTTAGGATATACCATAAAAAAATAACAATAGTTGATGGTAATAATGATTGAGGCGTATCTCCTTCAGCTCTACTTAAGTCATCCTCTTAACAGTTCCTACTTTCTTTTTGTGCCAATGGTGACTAAACACTCAAAATTGCACCAGCAGGTAAATCCTTCCTGTTATCTGAAGTGTTTATGTCACTTGATGAACTGTTGTTTACATAAGAAACTGGCATATTCCCATTTCTCATCCCATCCAGTGACACAAGTAATTTGTAAAAAGTGTGCCCTATCCATCTCTTCTTCCATTCTAAAGCTGTTAGACATATTTACGTGGAGTCATAGGTAACCTGCAGTGTTAGAAATAAGACTAGAACTTGCTCATCCCTAGGATTTTTTCCTCATCCAATCCCATAACCTGCCATATTTCTGCCCTTGAAATTTTATAGTCCTAATGAAAACGCAAATATCCCTAGCCCTATCCCCTAATTATCTGTTTGCATTTCTACTTGCTAGAAAAGCTTGGGAGTAACTGGAAGCCAAAAACTGAGAGTGCTTTCCAAAGATGCTAACTGAAGGTGATAGAAGAAGAGATACAGGAGAGAATATTCACATTCCTTAAGGTCAAGCTCAATGACTGATTAGTTTTAAAAAAATTGTTCTCTGAGGGTGGGACATGTCTGCAGGGTGTATTCAAAATTATCCACAGCATTAATAATCCCACAAATCTCTTATTTATCATTGTGAAGGACATCTAAGAGTCAGACTCTTAATCTTAGATCTGTCCCTCACCAGCTCCATGATGTTCCCTCTATACTCGCAATGTCAACCACTGCGGACTGTGGAAAGAAGAAAACATATGTAAAGGTGCATTATAAACTACTCCATAAATGTTGGTACTATTTTGGGGAGATATAGTTATCATGGTGATGATGATGGTGATGATGATTGTTGCTAGTTGAGTACCAGTTGCCTTCATAATGCAGTATATGAAAGGAAAAATATGAGGAAATTGACTAGAGAGAGCCTGAAGTGCAAGAGTGTAATATAATGTAAATGTGATTTTGTTGCTCTGACCCAGAATGGGAAAAACCATGGGCACATCCAAAAGGTCTTGTGAAAAATGATTCTCTTTAGTTCTCTTCCAACGTATTGAATATGTTTACAAATAATAGATGCCTATTAATAGATGTCATTTATTGGAATTTTTTACCCTGTACTTAGTACTGCTAAGCATTTTGCATGAATCATCTTATTCTGTTAGTGGGGGCAGAAATTGATATTCTATCATATTAGGTAACAAATACATATTATATAGCAGGAATCAACAGGATTATATAAACCTCCAAAAAGTCATGTGACTTTTTAATGGGATTTCATTGGACTGATTAATTCAGGAGAAAAAGAGATACAAGAAAATTGATTTGACCATCTGGACTGATTGGAGTAGATTGCAGAGAAATTAGTTGATAAAATAATATTGCTGTGTGGCAGGACAATAGGAAAGGTTTCAAGGAAATTGATAGGTAATGAACATAATTTACAATTCTAGCGAAGGTATGGTACCATCTCTGGCTATGGAACTCGATTCCCCCAGTACACAAATACACCCCTGAAAATTGTGCCATTCTTCTGAAGACTTAGCCATTACATTGAACGTACTGTCCACTCTCTGATTACCTATGTGTCTAGAGTTGATTTTCACCAGTTTTTAAGGAATTTACAATTCTGGCACTAACCTAAGACAAAGCCTACACTATCATGTGGGTTCTCTGCTGAGGATTACAAACTAATTTTTACTATCAGGCTAACCAAACCCAACTGGGCAGGCACAATTGTTACTAAAAGTTATATAATATGTCTTAACTTCAAATCTAAATCTGATTATTCCATCACAATACGTTTTAGTAAGAATGAACTTGAGTAACCATGAGTAAGCCAAGATAAAACCCCCAATACCAATTTTTCCATTTAGTTTGACAATATGCTTTGGGCTTGTTAATGCAATATTCTAACTAGCATCAAAACCTGGAGTGTTTATTTATAGCATTAGTCTTCTAGTCTCCTCTTCTTTCTTTTTGATAGAAGGGCAAGGAGGTAGGCAAATCACTGAAGAGATATAATACAAAATAGGAAAAGTGAATGCCTCTACAGATTCCTACTTCTTAGAGTAAAATGGGAATAATTATCTTTGCACCACTGGGCTAAACTGAATTGCATATTTAAGAATAGCACAAAACTAAGAGATCATGGCTATAGGATAGCTTTCTTTGCTTACCAAAATGATGGATACATTCCTGAGATGACTTATTTTCAAACCCCAGAAGCCACATTTTAACAACATGAGATGTAGAAGATCATACCGGTGAGTTTGAATCCTGGCTCTTTCAGGTAGGATTTGTGCTTCCATTTTCCATTCATAAAAAAGGGAGAATAGCAGCCCCCACCTCAAAGGTTTGTCAGAATTAGATGTAAAGTACTGAGAACAGTGTCTGGCATATAGTAAACATTATATAAATGTTAGACAGCAGCAGGAGCATTATTCATAGTCATACGCACATCATTTAAGAGACAAAAGAAAACCTCCATATTATGCCAGCTTCAGCACAAAGGGAAGGGAATTAAATATGATTTCATTATCCCAGTGATTGTGAATGTATTCATTATCATATATAGAGCGCTCATTATGTGCCAAACACTAAAGTATTAAACAGGGCAGAAAAATCGCCAGTCCTTATAGCATTTACTTTCTAGAGGGATGATAGACAACCAACAACTCTATGGTATAAAGTCTTGCAGTGATGAGAACTGTGGAAAAAACTAAAAGGAGGTAGAGAAATGCAGAATGGCCTTTACTCTGTCCCCACATTCGACTGTTTTTGACAAAAAGGCTTGGTGCGGGCCCTGCTTTCCTCCTGGAAGGAATGCTCGTGCTGACATTCTAAGTAACTGCTTCACTGAAATCCCAACCATTTGGATGCAACAAAAATAATCCAGCATATGAGCACATCCAGATAGACATATGTACACTGGTTTTTTAAAATGTAATGTGTATGTAATTTCCCGAATGGCTGGTTGTCACATCCATCTGGTCTTATTTCCATAGCACTTGAATGCACCACGAGGATATAAACCCTAAAAGCTAGAAAACAGAATTTAAATACCCAAACACATACGAGGTGTGTTTTCAAAAGCAGCAGACCTCAAGTGAACACTGTGGTAACTTCATTAACTTCTCAGCCACAGTCGAGAGTAGCTGAGACTAAGCATAAAGGCCACAGAACATAAAAGACATTCCACTGCAGACCTCATTAAGTGGACTTAAGAGAAGCTTGACAAGCTAATGACAAAAATCTAATTTGGACTTTCTGGATGTAAGAACCCTGAACAAGTCCAAATACACCGAAACTCTGCCATGCGTGCTATCTGAAAAGGCAACAACCCCATGTCAATTAGGGCCGTGTAGTTCATGAATCAAAGCCCCAGAGATGGATGTGGTCCTATTCAACCACACTGAATAGGAAATCATATTCTATGTGTTTTGGGGTTTGGGCTCTGGTCCTATTTAAATTGCACAGATGTTGTAGGTTTCTAAATTAACAGTGGAGGTGTTCATCAGGCTGCATATATTGAACAAAGACATGGCTAGATCTAGACACCACACTGTACAGAAAACATTTTTGGTATTATTTTCTCTTTTTCGAGAAGTCCTTTCCTGTTTCTAAATTCATCAGCACCTGTAGAGTCCAGGCCAAGTGAGATTACAATGATTTCCATGCCATATTAAAATTATCTAGTTGCTTCAGGTGTGTTTATTTCACTCCCCAACTACTTGTATATCCCTTGAGTGGAGAAGCATAATAATGATAATAGAGTAGTTCTTGTGTATGCCATGCACAAGGGGCAGTACCTTGCAAATCATAATTCTCATATCAATCTTATGATCAACTCAATTTTATAGACATGGAAGCTAACATTCATATAATTGTCCCCACCTCTAATTAGTGGAGAACCAAGGATCTAAACTCAGGCTACCTGACTTCCAAGCCCACTTTCATATTCCACTACCCAGTGCAAAAAGGAATAAATGCTTGTTGAAGGAATACATGAATGAATGTGTTTCTTAATATCCACAGAATTTAAAAGACAAATAATTTATCTGTTAATGATATCATTGTTGCAATAAGCATATAGTAATTATTATAATAATAAGGATAGTTATTTAGGATCCTGGAAGACATTGTGCCTTGCACGTTTTATGTTCCTATAGTGCCTTTTCAATAGCTGACATACAGAAGGTATTTTTAAGATAATTGTTAAATCAGTAAAATACTTTAATCCAATGGCTTCCTTGGGTCATTTTCTGTTTCCTATATAAAACTTATAAAAAGGAAAGGAAGAATCTTCTTTTTCTTTTTCTTTTTCTTTTTTTTTAAATCTGCCTCCATGTGCTAATTTCTTAAGAAATCTCTAGACATTTTACCATATTTAGATCTCTGAGCTTTTGTCTGAGCCTGAGGGAGATCTAAGTTCCTGGTTCCAGCTTTTCTAACTCGCCCACTCCATTTTCATACAAGCCCTATTAATAAGAGTGGAAATGAGAATGTTTAACTGTTGAAGGAAGGCAGTGAGTCAGGGTATCTTAATAAATGTTTACCGAGGAGAAACTAATTCTATCCACCTTTTGAAACCTGGATTTCTTAATATACTCATTTCTGTGCCCTATAGTTAAATGTAGTATTATTCACTTAAGACATTTTTGTTTGCCAATATTCCGTGGAAAAACAGTATTATTACCTTGTTTTTCCAAACAGTCCGGAAAAGGATTCCAAGTATATTCTCCTACCTTCATCTTTCCTGTTTTCACTGAAGTAATACCAGGTAAATCACTTAACATCTCCGTGTACTTTATAGAAAATGAATGCAATATTACTTGTCTTGTCTTGCTGCTGTGAAAATCAAATATGGTAATGTGTATAGAGTTATTTTTGAGCTATGAAGTGTTGTATAACTGTTAGAAATTGTTAGAAAATAAGAAAGCCAGAAGTGTATGTACTATATACTTCCAGTAAGCCAGATATTTAATTTTGTCCTTACATAAATGATATATGTGTACAAAACACACATATATATATATATATACACCTGGGACAAAAAGGACTTGTGTATCTATCTATATCTATATCTATATCTATATCTATATCTATATCTATCTATCTCTCTATCTATTTATCTATCTAATCTATGGATACACTCACAGTGATTGGAAATTTTACTGCTTAGAAGTTTAAGTAAATTAATGAGTGCCAGATTTTAAAACCTTCTCTAATTGCCTCTGTTGGTTTCTAACACAGAGCTACTGTACTTTATGCAGTAATTATAGTTATTATTTACTGAGTATAAACTTGACGTTAGGCATTGGGTTAAGGCATTTATATACATTATATAGTTCATTCACAACACCACTATAAATAGGTATTATTTTCTTTTCTTTCCAAATGGGTAAACTAGGGCCCAAAAGATCTAGGAAAATGCCTCCTAGTCACATTGCTAGCAAATGACAAAGGCAAAATTTGAATTTAGGTCTGCCCGTCTACAAGCTTTGCTTAGCAATTCAAGTCCCATTTGTCTGAAATTTGCATTAATCCAAGTGTGTATTAATCCATGTGCTATACTTTTCAGGGAACAAGTTCAAATGAATTCCATTCTTTGTGAAATGTTATAGAGTTCCTTCGGTCAGACAATAAACCAACCAAAAATATACATCTTTTTCAAAAACAGGAGCTTTAAATTTTTTAAAATGTCTTCAGGGGCTTATGGCCCCTGGGCCAGGTAACACACTGATCGTGAAATATAGGTGATTGACAGTTACAAATGGAGTTAATGGTCATAGTTTTTATTCATGGTAACCACTGTTCACTCTCTTAGACTTCAAGTGTCCCTACTGTGTGCACACCACTACAACACTACTCAGTGGTAAAGCTGTGACTGTGGTTAGACAGAAGGTTAACAAAGAAATAGATTTCCCTCAATGCGCCTACAATCTATCCTTTGGAAAGGAAATCAGGATACGCCAAGCAGTCAGAGTCAAATTAATTTTAGAATACATTAGCAATACTTAGAGGTAATAAAACTAAATCAAAATTTCTTCAAAGGATTAAGTCCTTCAGCCTTTAACTCAGTCAGACCTGCCTCCCTCACATGCCAATTAGAGTTCAAAGACAAGATTCACACACTTCATTTACAGATCTGTTGAACCTTGGGCACAAATGATAAATCCTTAATAAGTCAGAAAGATAGCTATATTTATTCTTAAAATTAACTAATTTGCACACTGAGGTTGGGTGATTTGCCTAAAGACAATTCATTGAAATGTCTGATAAAATTTCATAACCCTGGTTCCGATTTGACATCACTGACCTGTTTTCCCATTTTAAAGTTAAAATGTAGAAATGCTCATGTGTGTCAAGAGTCTTACACAAAACACGTTCGCATCTCCACATGAAGGTTAAAACAAAACAAAACTTTACTAAAATATTTAGATAATCTCATGATAGCAAAAAGTGCCCAGGCATCGTTTTGTTTAGAATAGATTGCTGTACTTTTAGGAAGGAATTTTCTTCCTTTGTCTGTGCTGTAAAAGCAGACTTGGGTTTATTTAGCAGTTGCCTTAGTGAACTCAGAAATAAACATACCTGACAAATCAAACTGGTTGGCCAAATCTAGTGTCTGAATTCAATGGTTAGGCGATTTTATGAATGTATGTGCACACACAGTTACATACACATACACTTTGGTTCTGTAACAAAGAACTCTCTTGCACTGTCCATGGAGTATTTTCCAAGCAAGCTACCTTCAGCCACAGGGAAATGAAACTTTCCAATTCTTCATCTCCAAGAATTAAGGAATTTTACATTAAGCACCTTTGAAAGGCCTAATGCTTTTAAGTGATAATCAAAGGCAAGATAATTCTGAAGGTGACTACAGTATTCTTTTTTCTGACAGTGTACTATTAATCATAACTGTAATGCACACAAATTTTATTTTTAAAATACTGAAATTAGCTTCATTGATTAGACAGCAAATAGCAATAATATGTTAAAATTAGTATTGATGTAGAAAATGGCAATCAAATGGCCCAAACAGTTAACTCATAATGCCCATTTTTCTATTTTTGATTTAAGCCATTCCCAGCCCCTCCGGTTTTCCTGGGCCAGTTAACAGTATGTCAACATTTCTGTACCTAAGATGTAACTAGCTGTGAATCATTTGTGAATCATTTTCACAAATTTTTTATTTTTAGTATGAGACTCCATTGTAATTCTGCAGGATCTAAACCTGTTTTAGTGAACCCAAATTACACAAAACTTTGGGGATAGAAATTAGCATAATTGAAATAATTCAATTTTTGGTAATTATGATTCTCACTTAAACCTAAATTAAATGTGCCAAACTATAATTATGTTCAAATTTGCATCATGAAAATCACCCCCATTTAGCTCGTGGCATCTTAAAATATCTAATAGGGATCTTAAACTCTTAAGGTTGAGTAAAGAGGCCTTATTTTCACAGGCTTTGGGAAGAGGAGACTTATTATGCATTAAGCACAGTTATTTAGCCTCTTGGGAAAGGAAAGATGGGTCCATTATTTCTTCACTACCTGATGTGCAGGATTTGTACTCTAAGCTTCAGATACCTCTAACTTACACTGCCATTAATGAGTTCTGAGTGCCACAGCAGAAAGTAAAGATTAACGCTTTCTTTCAAGAAAAACCTTAAGCAAAGCAGGTCATGCATTAGGACAAAGGTAATGGAAACCAAAGACAAAAAAGGCTGTTAACACTTTAAAACCGGGCACTAGAAAATAAGCACTGTTTTGCTATCCATTTTTAAATGATTAAAGATTCAAAACAACCTGAAGGCAATGAGAATTCACCTTTCAGTCCTGTGAATTGCTCACTGATTCTTAACAATCCTAGGATCAAACCTTTATTATTATTTTTGGGGGGTGCAAAAGGAAAACATCCATAAAATATTACTCAGTTAAGCTGCCTGTTTAACTAACCTTTCTATTATTTGATTTGATTAAATTAACCAGCTGATGTGATTAAGCTTGCAAGGTGGCTTATCCATCTTCATCTTTGGGATGGTAGGTGGATATAATCTTCAAATATATTGATCAAGAAATAGATGTGTCTGGATGTACAGGGCTGGCATATTGTCAAAGCACATAATGAGTTTCCCACAAAAAAACACATGAATATATCTCCAGTTGAGTAAAATATTCACATTAATACCAGAATAAGGCAGAAGAACCCTGGCTGACATCCCATCTGTTCTTATGAATTAAATTTAGAAATCATATGTAATATAGACATTTCTGTCTGAATATCATGAAACCCTGACACATCCAGGCTCTCATTAGAAAGCTCCATGATGTGACTTGAATAACAATCTGTCTCACCTAATTAGTATTTTCAGTTTAGCATATGCGCTTCCAGACATATTGCTGTTTGCACATGGTAATTTGGGTAAACAGATACCATCCACAGCTGCATCAATTAACACTGCTAATCAAAACTGAATTCAGGTAATTAGGCACATTTATGCAAAAAAATGTGTAATTTTGCAAAAAAGCGAGATTCTTCAATAATATGTCAATGAGTAAAAATCTCCTTTTGCTCGTGAAGATAAAGAATGAGACAAGAGAAATCATCATTAATATATACATCATGCAGACAGAGTAAAATTCCTAAATTAAATCTCAGTCTTTAATTGGCCTGTATTTTCAGAAATTGGATCATATTTTTTATAAATGTTTTCCTCAATGTTTCCACATAGTAAAGTTGATTCACATCTGCCTAAGGGTTTAATCATCAAGCAGGACTCAAATGGTTAATGAATTCTAAAGTATTTATATAATTAGAAAGGATTTTGGTCAAACTTGATCTTCCATCTTGTCTAGCATCTCTTAGGGAAGATTCTCTCAGTATGTGTCATTTTATTACACACTTTAATTTTCTCTGCTACAAAACACTTTCATTTGTAATTAGAATCACAATAGCAATTTATTTTCCTGCAAATATTCTTCAACTTCTCTGATTCTACACAATGCCCTTTAGTTGCTTTTTCATTCATTTTCAAAATGAAGACTCTAAGTTGTTTTTCCTCTCTCTCTCTCCAAACATAAACCAAACTGATCATTTTGATTAAATATTTTAATCGGTTCAGAAAAACTAGTTTCATTGTTGTGAAGTAATAAGTGGCTAACTAGTGACCAACAAGTTCTGGCTAAGGGGAGATTTATGGGCATAAGTTAAAGCTAAAGTAAAGAAACCTGGATCATTTTAAAAAGCATCTGAAGTAGATATAAGAATAATCTAGGATGGAGATTATTTGTGTATAATATACACACTCACAAATTTCTACTTCTTTTTCCTCCTTCAGACTTTGAAGCTTAGGTTTATTTCTTAGTGTAAACACCAGGCCTTTATAATGAAGTACTGGGCTCAGTGTCCCTACTTTTATCTTAATGGTAATAGTCACTTTCAGTACAAGTTGACAAACACTTCCTCACTCTCTACCACATATCAGCATCTCTTCTAGGCCCTGCAGATAAATATAGAGATGGATTTAGACTGACCACACTTCTCTGTGTCAACTTCAGAGAGTTTACAAACCAAAAGAGACAACAATGAGAAGGTTGATGAAATCACCAAGTGAAAATGAATCTGTCAATCCCAAATTTTTGGAACCACCTGGTCTAATTTTGCAGAAGTTTACTTTTTGCATAACTCAAGTTAATTCTTTTATTCTCATAAGAAAAGGAGAAAAAAAGTTTTTTTTTCAATTATTTTGCATGTTTTTTCCTCACATTGCAGCAATACTGTACTTCTATATTTATTTTTTGATATTTATCAAAAATATTTTTTCCACATATTCCTTTAAATGCATTTGTCATAAACAATTGGGCAATTCCTGACAGCATAGACATCTAACAGACTTATACTCAGTTTCAAGAGCAGGAATTATAAAATACAGAGACACATTTATCAACAGGTTGTCAAACTGCTCACACCAAAGAAACCATATGAGGTAGGACAGATGCCTCTGACTTTAAAATTCTGTTAAACATAATTATTTATGAATTTTAAAAGAAAGATAGGTAAACACAAGCATTTTAAAGACAATTTTTTAAAAAGCCTAATGATTGGTTTTCAATGAACTAAACTATTAATATTTGGGGAGGAAAATGTCTTCTGTCTATGAAATAAGCCCACTGAGTAATGTTCATTGCATGGGTGACCCAGTGTATTACTCAAAGCACTCTAAACTCCCTCTTCTCATACTTCCTCTAGAGTGAATCAGTACAGAATTAATTACCTCATCGTAGTTCCTGAGTTTTAGTAAATTCCTTTTTCTGTGGAAATGGTTTAAATTCATCTTGCAAGAATCCTGTTCTCATAGTCTCCAAGTTTTAGCAAAGTGGAATGCTATGATTATCCCAAAGACAGCTTTGGTGAAGGAAAGGCTTCACCAGCTCCTAAACCAGGCTGTGCCACTGACTAGCTATCTGACTTCAGGTAAAACCTTTGCCAATCTGAGTGTGAGTTTCTTGTTTATACAACATGGCTCATAGGCTCACCTCACTGGATTGGGGGGAGTACCTGAAACATAGTAGGTGCTTAATAAAGGCTTGTTGAAACTGAATAAAGGTTAGTCAATGATGGCTCCAGAAATGCTAATGCTGAAGGCATTTGAGTTAAAAGTATCTTTTTATGAAGTTCTCTGATTCCAAAGTAATACACAGAGATAGTATGATAATTTTAATACGAATAGCGTAAATTGTATCAAATAGGCCACAGACCACTACGCTATATTAGGTCACCTTCCAACTCACTTGAAAACTAGTCCTAGAAAACTAATCTTCCCAATTAAGTTGGAAAGTTAACATTGGGACACTTATTGTTTCTAGAGCATTTTTTATGATTTTATTAAACAAATTACAAGAAGTAATTCCACTGACCATTATTAAACAAATAATTTTATTTTAGAATTATTGTCTGTTAAAGAGGATAATCTTGAAAAATTCATGTGACTACTTTTTTACTATGAATAATTTTTTTAAAAAAACCTAGAAAATCCTTGAGTCTGCCACTTGCTATCTCTCCTTAGTCCAGAAGAATAAAATCGCTTATAGTACATCTACTCTAAATTTCTGTAAAATTAAATTAAATTGCTGACTCATAAACAATGCACAACAAATAAAACAACACCATTGGTCACTTTTTAAAACAGTCTGCTTTTTAAACAGAAACGCTCCAGCTAAAATATGCAGTCTATAAAATATCAAATGGATTAATCTTGGCTTATTCATAGCAAAGAATGTTATTTCACAGCTATAAGAGAAAATGTCAGGGCTGGGACTGGGTGGATTAGGTGGAAACCGATTGATAGAAAACAAAGGCAACATAAAGAAATAAAATGTCTTCGAAGCACACTGAAGCAAAATAAATTATTGGATCTGGGATTTAGCAAAGTATAATCTTATTTTCCTTTGCTCTTTCACCAACACTTTTTTCTACACTGAGACAATATGAATTTCACCTTCCAAACCCATGATTTTCTCTAATAAAAAGACTGCTAATAATTAATGACAATGTAGAGAAGGATGTTATCAGTAGTTCAGCACATTAGCTTTTTGTGCTTTAGAGAATGTTGTATTTATAACCAATTTTAATACTGAAGATTATTTTCATTTAGTTCTGTTAAGAGGTAAAATAAGATTAATCTAAATTAGAGAAGATAATTAAATTATGTCCAAAGAATTAATATTGCTTACTTTAGAGATATAAGTTAGTGGTCATGTTTATCTTTTAGTTAAAATTATCTTTGATAAGAAAACAAGTATCATGAAACAACTGAATTTTTTAAAGTTTGACAACTCAATGTACTGAAGCTAAAGCTGATAATCTACACTTTATCAGACAAGGTACAGAACAACGTATTTGTTTACAATTTATGGTTGAACACTTGTCCCACAATTAAGAATTAGGAAATTATCCTTACAGCAAACAGATCTTAGTTAAACATATTATTAATCTATGCTTCAAGGTATTATCCAACTCTCTGGAGGATGCCAGAGTGACTTTGCCAGCTGAATAAGCTCAGTCACTCTATCACAAGTTTTTCATCTTTGACTTTCTTCACAGGCTTGGAGTAGAAGCCTACCTTTCAGAAGGATGTTAAAAGAATACATGAAAAGCTTGTGCAAAAATAAACTATAGCACCTCAGGCTTCTTAATTTTTACACTATAATGCCTTGGACTTTTCTACCTTGACAGATTCAGAGTGAATTCTTTGATGAAAAAAGAGAAATAAATTACATA
Source organism: Homo sapiens (assembly GCF_000001405.40). NCBI lineage: Eukaryota > Metazoa > Chordata > Mammalia > Primates > Hominidae > Homo > Homo sapiens. The sequence goes on along the minus strand of NC_000012.12, from coordinate 97,533,765 downwards.
TGGAAGGAAGAGAACCTTTATTATCATTTTAATAGTTCACAGATACATAAAAGGCAGACACATTCACTATGTGGTGGGACCTAAGACTAAAAATATTCACTGACTTAGAACTAAACAAAATTAACATGATATGAAAAATGGAAACAGTTTTTTGAAGAAATGTGAATACACAACTTTTCACCAAGGCTTAGAAAATTTAACAGAGAAAAATAAAACTAAACCATTAAATGGCATTGCAAATAATTCGTTAGCTTCTCCTACAGCATTTTTGAACTTAATGAAAATACTGAATATATTCAGAAACTGCCAGAGATCATGGAGAATGAAATTCCAGACATCAGAAATAATCAACTTTTAGAAACTGCTTCATAAGCAACTGTACCAAAAAGCACGCATTTCCAGGAGACATCATGTAGATTTAACATGGATATGATATGCAATTTCGGTGGTTGGCACTGAACTAGAATAGAGATGTCATTGTTATTTATTCCTAACCCCTTCAGGACATCCCTAGGTTGTTTTTCTATTGGGAGCATGCATTTTCAGTGTACAGAGATTGGCTTCATGCTCCGTGCTTTTGTTGGGATGGTGGTTTTGATGTTTCGAATGCAGGCAGTAGTGCTTGGGACTCTTCCTATATGCTCCCAATTATCTGTAACGTTATTGTATATTCTCTGCCACCAGAATGCTTTTGCGAGAGCTATGGTCCTTCTAAAGCAGCATACCACTCAGAAGTGCAAAAATGAAAATTAAAATAGGAAGATTTTCTTCTTATTATTATTTGAATGACATACGACCTGCTCGATGTTTGCATTTAAATTGAGCAGAATAATTCAGCTCTGGCTTTTAATTTCAGAAGGGTTAATCACCCTAACAAAGGTCAATCAAACTTTAATCTTCAATAAAATTGCTACAGCCCCAATCACCTGCAGGACATTTATTATATTCCCATTTCCATGTGAAAGAATGCATTGCTTTCATTATGTATCACTAATCTTCTCACTCTTTACATTAGCACATTTTACCAAAAAACGTTAATTCCTTTGAAACTCTGACAAGAGTTCATTTCTACACATCTCAGGAGATAATCCTGTTTAAAAAAAAAAAAAAAAAAAAAAAACGGGACATCAGCTGTGAACCACTTTCTGGGCACTTTCTAATCCTCACAGACCTTCAATACTCCAACAGAGTTCTGACAATACCAAATCTCAATTACACAAAATATTATGGTGGTTTAGGTTAAAATAACAACATATGACTTTAGGAAGTTAATCCTCCCTATTGTCTGTAATTGTCATCTACTTATTTCTATTCATCTACTTATTTCTATTCACCTACTTATTTCTATTCACAATGTTTACTGCATACAAAACTTACTGATTTGGAGGAAGCAAATGTTAACCACCTTTGAATAACAGAGGAAATATTTAGATTCATTGATTCATTCATTTGATAAATACCTACTGAATGCCTATTATGTGCCAGACATTGGGCTAGGGGTGGGGAATCAAAGTTAAGGAAACAAAAGAGAAACAAAAAGATAGTTATTAAAAGAAAAACATTCTCCTGTAAACATGGTGTCCAGAATATAATAAAATAATGATTTAAATCTCCACTTTCAGTTTTTCTTACTGATGAAATTAAATTTTAGTGAAGACTAGAAATCTGTTAAGTCAAATTTCCACCAAAATTTTGATAAACAGTGTCTAAAATTATCTGGACACTGAAAGGCTTTAAAATTCATAATGCCATAAAATGATTCATTTTTATTTGAGAATATAAAATGTGATTGTCAAATTTTAAAATGAATATATTGATAATGTCTCGTCTCCCATGATTAGAAATAAAACCATGAGAAAGCTTAAATGAGCTTATTAAAATAGATATGCTGTGCAAAATTTGTTTCCAAAATGTAATTTCATAACATTTAAAAACTGCTATTAACACAAAAGACAATAGTAATGGGCAAAAGACAAATTATTGCATTTTGCCATGATATAGTGGCCCAGATAACCATGGAGGGAAAGAACCTTAATATACGTCCCCGATTATATTGCAAATTGATTGCCTTGATATTGTAATGGTGGTGTGACACAGCATAAATAACCCAAACTTGCCTTCTGCATATTTTTTGAGACCTCTTCCTCCCTCTTTGTACTTAGATTAAGTGCACAGCCACATACACACAGGCACATGCCCTTCCTCATCAATATTCACGCTCATTAATTAGCAATACAGGAAGACTATCATTTGGGAAACTCCTCAAATCTTAAATATTCAATCAAGCAAAGCAAATCACAGTAAAAAGAAAATACACGTAAATAGTCTATGACCAGACTGGCCCTGGAAAATAGAACATAATTTCAAGAGATAGTCGTCTTTATAAATGTTGTTTTAAAAAGCCCCAATTATGTTGTGCGACTTAAGTCAAGACCTTAGCTTTCCTTTGAGCATGTCTTGAAACGAAAATAGAACCTCTACATATTCTATAACTACACTTTGCTTTTTTTTCCTTTCCTAGAACTAGTTGACACAATAGAAAATAGCAGAGCAACGGCTTTTACATTGTTGAGCAAAATAAATCCAACGCTACACAATATAAATGTCCCATTGATATTTATTACCAAATACTTATTCTGAAAACTGATAAAGATTAGTTAGACTCAACAGAGAAAATATTGCTTTATATTCCATTTTCATCATCAAAAGCTGTTTAGTTATATTATGAATTTACAGATTTAGGAAAAAAAAAAAAAAGCTTTCAGAGAATATGCTATAAATGCCCGAAAAGCATACGGATCTTTTTCTGAATCATTTCGGTCAAGAAACAAAAAAAGAACCCATGAACCATCAAACAAAAATCTTAATAAGAAAACCTAGGATGTGGAATTATGAAAGAAACATACCTTTGGCCGAACAAGTTCGCAATTTCTCATCTTGCCTACACAGCTCTGTCGTTCCACCTTGAGCAAAAGTCAACTCCGTGTCCCTTGTGATCTCTGTGACAAGGCCATCATATCACTGGCAAATTTTTCGATTAAACTTTGCAGATGTAGTAGCAACTTTGTTAATTATGACATTAGCCAGCTGGCGGGTACGATCAGTCACCCACTGCAAGGAAAGCCAGACAAAGAGACATCTAATCATTGCAACCAGAGCAGATAAATTTTGTTCCTTTCTCATACGTGTCACAGATTCTATTCCTTCTGACCCTCTCCTCAGCCATCGACTGTCACATTTAGATTCCGAGAGCTTCCAGTTTCCCTTTATCCCTGCCTTAGATCTGAAACTCCTGGTTATCAGGAAGACATGCGTCACCAGCTGTCTCGGAGCAGGAAAGCAATCAGGTGAATACTACTTATTATCTTGCATTGCTTTCCGAGGAGTGACAAGATTGATTTGGAACCAAGAATACATTCAGATCTCAGACAGTAGTTCCTAGGGTTTTGAGTTCAGACAGTAGGGTATGTGCTAAGTTGCAACAGGGAGGACTGCAATCCCAATGTTAAGGCTACAGGATATTAGAAATTTAAGGAAAGTTTTAGAAAATTGATCACAGCTCCTTTTTCAGATGCCCTTGTATTAATATTTTCTTCTCTACCTCTGTGCTATGTTGGTGATGCCTATGAGTCAACTGTTACCCAGCAGAGCCAGCTTTACAACGAGGTAGCCCAAGTCAACCTGTGGAATCAGTATTCTGACATTGTGAAATTATCTCCATCTATCCCTTTTTCATGAAGACGAATACTCTAAAAATTCCAATTCCTGAAACTTATCTTTGCTAAAAGTTCAAATCATATTTTTATATAATAACATTAGAAAACTAATTTAGGCATGTCAGCTAAAAATAACATACAAATTTAAGCTGGGGGAAGATACAATTACATTTTAATACAAATTTTTCCTTCAAAAAGTCTGTCTACTGAAATCATATATTAGTGTGTATCTATTGATCGATTGATATACACAACACTTGCATCATGAATTTACTGAAATCTCAATATATATTAGGTAATGCGTAGAAGCATTCCTACAAAATGATGTAACAATATTTTTCAGAGCGTAGCATCCAATGGAGGAGCAAAGGGCTTGATCTACATGGTAAGCCGTTATCTTGATGCAATTTTTACCAAAGAATTACCACGAAAATGTCTGAGTATCAACAAAATAAAGTTTGCGCAGCAGAATTTGAAAGAGAATTCTATATCATAAAGTAATAAAGTTATATTTATCAATAAATTAGTAGGTCTTTCTGGGATGGGGAAATTTAGGGAAAAGTTAAAAGGTGATTCTGAAGTTAATTTTACCTAAGAATTGTGTATATTTGGCTGCCGAACACAACACAAAATGTTTTATCTCTCTCTGTGAAAACTGCAGTTGTGGTGCACTATATTAATAATTCATGACACATATCCTAAAATACATTTTATTTTTACATGAGAACACTCCTGCCATGGAGGGCCCAAAATCTCTGTTTAGCTTAAAGTGCTGCAAAGATAAACTGATAAATGTATTTAGATGCAACCTAAGATATAAAAATGAGGATGAGATGATTTAGGGATTCCTGAAACTACAGAGCAAGGTGTTTTCACCCTGGGAAGACAAAAAGGTTTCTAAAGTCCCACCAGAACTGGCATGGGAGGGAGAAAATATGATTTCAGAAATTCTTAGAAATTATATATCTATATCTATATAGATATAGATATCTTGCTGAGAGTAAGATACTCTTTATCCTTTGTGTCTTGGGCTGATAGTAAGAAATGAGTCAGATTCCATAAAAGCAAAAGAACAAAAAAATCAGAAATAACAGGACAAGAGTGTGTTGTGGCACAACGTCAAGGACAAAGAATCTGTGATATGACTTTCAGTGATGCCCTATTTGGAAATAAGCTGTTTCTATCCCATCCATTATCATAGCCTTGGCAACTGCTGTACAGCCTGGCACATAGCCGTTTCTCAAGAAATACATGTCGATGAAGAATAAATACTTACCTTGCATATATCATCCTCCTCAGCCCACTCACTTACTTTTAAAATTAAATGATACAAAAATTCACTCTTTAGGCTTTATATGGATTACCCATATATTAATGACATATGTATTCAAACTTATATCTTTACAATACTGAAAAGAGTTTATTCCTAAAGAGTTCAAAGTAGACATTTCTCTTAAGATTTTAAAATAAGCATTAATAATATTCACTATTTGTTCCTATGAAAATGACTTTGATTCAGGGAGTTAGAATGAGTCAGAAAGATCTTTACTCTTTGAGTGGAAGAGGGGACAGTTTCCTAGGAAATGCCCAGAGAATAAAATAATGCTATGTACACAATGTTTTTTCATTGCAATAGTATCTATAAGAAAGAATGGAAACAATGTCTCCAAAGAAGGAAATCAAGAAATAAATTTGGCAATTAATCATAGGCAGTCATTATATGGTAATAAGAAAGACTGATAAAACCAACTTTTTATGACTATACTGAATTTAAAAAGCAGAATACAAAATTGTACATATATTGATTACTGAGTATATTTGAAGAAAGACTGGATGGAGAAGTGTTAAAATCGAAAATATGTTTTGTAGAATTAGAAAGCATTTTCTTCTTTTACAAAAGTTTGCTTTAATGCCATTCTAATTGTTAATCTCAAAATGTAGAATCAAAGACTCCATCTGTAAAATGGGAACAACAATAATAATTGTAATACTTACCTCACAGGTGCTTAATATTAAACCAGTTAATGTATATAAAACTCGGCATATTTTCTGACCTACAGGAAAACTCATTATATATCTTAGTTATTATTTTTTATTATAACCATCATATAAATAATTCTGACATATTTGTGCTACACCTTTTATTTTTTTTCTGTGAAATATTACCAGAACTTCACTGCATTAAATGAGGTACTCTGAAACAGGAAAACTCAGTATTCAAAACCTAAGAAACCAAACACAGAAACATGGTCTACATAGTAAAATTGATTTATAAAATAGTAACAGCAATAATAATAAAACAATAGATATGGAGGACTTCAGTTAAAATTATAATTTCTATAAGACCTACATGACTTATAATTTTACTAGACCTGTAGATCGTACAATTTTGCCTTTTTTATGGCTGCTTATGGCATACCTACAAAGATGCAGAACTGCTGGAAACAGATTAAAATAGGAGAAGCTGACCTGGAGAAATTGGCATTGCCTTGAAGAATCTCAGCACTCTTACTTTTCTTAGCACTCTTACTTTTATTTTCTAATGTGGGGCACTTGCTGATTTCTGCTCCCTGTGGCCACAAAGTCCAACTCGGAGCAGTCACCTAAGGCTGTTCTTTCTCTAGGACATGCAAGCACCACATGTTCCATTCTCATTGCTGCCATTCTAATGACAATGGGTTGTTGAAGGTATACATGCAATGTACAGGTGTGGAATGTTTTAACGGTTGAAGCAGTTGGTGAGAACAAAGCAATCTAGATTTGGAAACATTCTCCATAGAGAAGAGTGCATTCTGGATCCACACGGCTCCTCTCTGCTACAGATGCTTTTTATCTTTGTGCCCCACCAACTGTCTTCCGTTGGTCCTTGTGACAGCCCTTCCTATCCCTCTTATCACTTCAATACGTTTAATTAAGCCTCATATGTATATTAGTTTTATTTCTGCCTTCCAGCCTGTTAGATGTAGAATCAATACCTGAAACTCCCTTCTCTGTCGTGAGTCACAAGAGTCAGACATCCTGCTTCCAGGCCATTCCTAGCTCCTTGCTTACTAGCTCTGGGACTTTGGGCAAGTTAGTAAACCTTACCAAGAATCTGTTCAACAACAACAACAACAACATCTCATGGTGCTATTATGAAGACTGTGACTAACACATGTCATCTGCTTAGCACATGGTAGATATCCAATAAATGCACTCTCATTGCCAAAGTAGCAACAGAATCACCAAGAAACAGTACAGTGTAGCAAACAAGAGCAAGGGATCCAAAGACAAGCATCTTGGGTGAATTCCTATCCTAGCTTTCTCACTCAAATCAGTAATAACAACAACAATAATAATAGTAATAAATAGCTTCCTCTAGATTTTTAAGAATTAAATGTATACTTATAAATTACTTACCACATAGCAAATATTATTTTCAATTATTATTATTACCCTGCCTCCTATGCTACTTGGTTATTTTTTCCCCATTGCTTAGAGAGTTTTAGTAAAAATAAATCAGGACTTTGAATGTGAAGACCTGGACATCTATATAGTCACATATGCTTGATAATACATGGACAAGGATCATAGTTGCAGCACTATTTATGACAGCAAAAGACTGAGACTAATCTAAAAAGTCACCAAAGGTAACTGGTTAAATAAAGTATGTTATATTCATACTGTAGAATGCCATGCAGCCATTAAAATGAATAAAGTATAAGTAGGAGTACCGATATGAAAGTACTTCTATGATACATTTTAAGGAAAAGAAGAATGGTGCAGAACAATGGGTATTGTATATTATAGCTGTCTCCAACATTTTTGGCACCAGGGACCAGCTGCACAGATGATAATTTTTCCATGGACCGGAAGTGGGGTGGGGGATGGTTTCAGGATGATTCAAGCGCATTACATTTATTGTGCACTTTATATCTATTATTATTACATCATAATATATAATGAAATAATTATACAACTCACCATAATGTAGAATCAGTGGGAGCCCTGAGCTTGTTTTCCTGCAACTAGATGGACCCATCTGAGGGTGATGGGGACAGTGACAGATCATCAGGCATTAGATTCTCATAAGGAGTGCACAACCCAGATCACTCGCATGCACAGTTCACAACAGGGTTCGCACTGCTATGAGAATCTAACGCCACCACTGATCTGACAGGAGGCGAAGCTCAGGTTGTAATGCAAGTGATTTTGACTGGCTGTAAATACAGATGAAGCTTCTCTCACTTGCAGGCCACACACTTCCTGCTGTGCAGCCTGGTTCCTAACAGGTTACAGACCTGTGCTCTGGTTTGTGGCCAGGGGATTAGGGGCCCCTGGTATATTACCCTTTTGTTTAACAAGGCTTTTGCATATACTGTTTATTTATGAAGATATTTCATAACTCTTTATGAGGTATTTGGAGGATATTTCTGAAAAATATACAAGGAGCTGCACACACTGGTTGTGTCAGTAGGGAAACTTGGGTCTGGGGACAGAAGAGGAGAAGAAACTAATCTTCACAGTATATCCTTTGAGGTTGTATAAATTTATGTTATATATGTAGCTCTCCTTTTAAACCAGGAACAAATGTAATAATTTTTAAAAAGAGTCATTATTCCTACTTGAATATGCAGTCTATTCTAGTTCATTTATAAAAACTCTTCCCTTTCCCATGCTAGTGGCCATGATCCACCCGCTAATGCCTACCTAGTTGATCAGCAGTACACACAGCATTGTTTTTCTGCACCATAACATGACCTCACTACCTTTTGCTTCCAATTCACATTTCAATGTTATTTTCAAAACCATTTGTTGATTGAGTTGATTTTTGTCACCCAATAAACATCAAAATGTTGGTATTCCTGCATCTCCTTTCTCAAAGGATGTCTTCCTTTAAAAGGATTTAATTTAGCACACAAGAGACAAACCGCATTTCTATGTTCTCTACAATTCTAAAGCCATTTCAAGTAAGGAGTCCTTTCCCCATGTTACAAATGTACAAATATTTGTCCTCAGAAAAGCAGCTCACTCTCAAGGCATCCTTTAGATGCCAGTAGAATGCCCAGGGCTAAGGGCCTCTAATGGGGCTTAAGATGCCACATGGCACATAATACACAATAAATTGTGATCTGATAGCCTGAACATGTGATATGAGCTTAAAACAGAAGGCTTTCCTTATCTTTTCAAATATGCAAATTGGAGAACACATTGCTCATTACAAATATTATCTAAACAAATTTCAATTGACAACTTCATAGGAAGCTTTCAAGTGTCATAGTTTCTTCCTATTTGAAACAAATAGTCTGTCTTACTTTTAAAAAGTTCAGCTCCCAGTCACAGACTCTACCTTGGGCATACCTGAGGCTAGCCATCAGAATGCTTGTATTTACAAGGGGGTGGTGATCCTAGGCAACCTGTTGCCTCAATTGTCTTGTCTGTAAAAGAGCATAAAACTCAGGAGGTAGATGATAGTTAAACAGATTAGTTGACATATTAGACAAAATGGCTAACACTTGGAAACACCTGATAATGGGTGTTATCCACAGCAGCAGCAGTGTCATTGTCAGCATCATAATTTTAGACACTATTAGGTGGCCAATCACAGCTCTAGGGTATGAACAGTTGCTGGCCCTCTCTACTGGTTAATTTTTCTTTTCTAGAGCAAATGTTATCCATGAAGTGAACATAGGTCTATACAGCAATTGGTAAGACTTATCCTGTATACCAGGACTTCTCTAACTTTAATGATCCTGTATATCACCTGGAGATCTTGCTAAAATGCAGATTTTGATTCAGTAGGTCCGAGATGGAGCCCGACATTCTACATTTCTGCTAAGCTCTCAAATGCTGCTGCTGCTGATGGTGGTTGTGTAATACTAAGGTTATATTCCACCACGGATGTTACAGAAAGAATGACATACTTTGTAAAGAACACAATGGATATTCAACCATACAGTTATGTGATTTTTTTTTTTTTTTTTTTTTTTTTTTTGAGACAGAGTCTCACTCTGTTGCCCAGGCTGGACTGCAGTGGCGCGATCTCGGCTCACTGCAAGCTCCGCCTCCCGGGGTCACGCCATTCTCCCGCTTCAGTCTCCCAAGTAGCTGGGACTACAGGCACGCACCACCATGCCCGGCTAATTTTTGTATTTTTAGTAGAGATGGGGTTTCACCGTGTTAACCAGGATGGTCTGGATCTCCTGACCTCGTGATCCGCCCGCCTCGACCTCCCAAAGTGCTGGGATTGCAGGCATGAGCCACTGCGCCCGGCCAGTTATGTGAATTCTTATCTTCTCTTTCTCATGCTTACCTTGCTGAACAGCACTTAAATATTTCTCAGTCATGAGATAAGATGCAAGCTGTGCGATAGTAGCACAATTAGAATTTCCTCCCTATGCTAACTTCTGGTGGATACAGAGGCAAGAAAAAAAAATTGTATCATTCTTTTTAATTGTTGTTTTAATTCACATGTAATAACTATCATGGAGTACAGTGTGATGTTTTAATACATGTATACATTGTATAATAATCAAATTAGTATTTAGCATATCCATCACCTCATACCTCTGTCATTTCTTTGAGGTGAGAACATTCAAAATCCTCTCTTCTAGCTATTTTGAAATATACAACACAAGGTTGTTAACCAAACAGAACACTTGAACTTATTCCTCCTATCTAACTATAACTTCGTCCCCCTTGACTAATCTCTCCCTATTCCCCACATATTATTAGCAATAAAAACAATGGTCACATTTACAAAGCTGTTTTTAAATGAAAGGCAAAGGTTTTAATCTTCAGATATTTTAAAAGAGCGATAATTATTATTTCCTTTCTTGTCATAACACAAGTATACAGTCATAGTTTATATTCACTCTTCTTGGCCCAACAACCAAATAAGGTATTAACAAAATCCTTTTTCTGTGAACTGTATGCTTCGTTTGTGCAACTAAATGCTCGTGTCTCTTTCTTATACGACTACCTGAAACTAAATGGTTCAATCAGTAACAATATTTTACCTTCAGGAAGCTGATACAGCCTAGCTTCAAACAATTCTGGAAGCATTTACTAAGTTTCCATTATTATTTGCCTATTGCTGTGAGCTAATGCCCTTGATTTTCTGGAGGATAACCCATGAAAAAATAATCAAATTTGGATATGGTAAAATAATCCTCAAAATCCTAAAGCCCATAATCCACGCAAAAGCTTATTAGAGGCTATATGATCTCACTCGATGTTTTGTTTTTTCAGGCTTTTTTGACTGAAATTTATGGTAAGAAAATATTTACCATACAACCAAGTACCACACACACACTTGAAATATATTTGATAAAATATATTCATGAAATAATACCCTTACTAACATGAAATGCATTTGTATTTCTAATCTTTTTATTACCTTTTTAACCTAGGTTATGATCTACTAAGTTGATTTCATGACCCATTAATGGGTTGTTCAAACTTCTGAGTTTAAAAGTAACACGGCCTTGGGCAATTTCTGGAACCCAAGGTTGAGTCTCTGAAATTTTATAGGTATAGGAGATGGTCAAGAAGTGAGGCCACATGTGACCATAAAGCAAAAGGCATGATCAGAGAGCATAAGGGCATTTAATGGCAGTTCATAGCTAGAAACTATATCTCAACCCACACGGCCTATGTGTTTTCTCTCCTACTGTTTCTGAAGAGTAATGTAAGAGAATCACTTTTCACATTTAGGAAGAATCATGGAGGTAAATTTACTCACCCAGTTATTTACTATTAGGAAGTAATAAGAAAGTAAGTTAAGAATGAATATAGGTCAGAATTGATGAATACAAGGAAATGCACATGGAGCAATTTAACATCTTTTAAATGAATTCTCATATAGTAACATGCACTTACCTGGGAGTTATATCAATGGAGCAAATAGACATGTTTTAACAAAGTTGGAACTTTTAGGGACTTATAAATCACAAGAAAGCATGGAAATAAAATGGTGTGTGTTGATCGACTTTATGCAAAAGAGGCCAGATCATAACTTTCACAAGTACAAGTAGCACAAAATCATCATAGACTAAGAGTGTAGACATTTTCATTTCACTTTAATAGAAGAAACACAGCAATCAAGTATGTGAGATAAGAAACTAAAACAAACAAAATCAGGGAATCTAAGTAAAATGCTCACTGAAACCAACTATGTTTCCTTGGCTGGTTTCTAGATGCTTTCTTTCAAATTGAAGTGTTAACTGGGAAAATAAATAAATAAAGTCACATCTCAGTTTGTGGAGAGATAGACAAACTGAATATTGGGGGGTAAAATTATCTTTAGGGGGTTTCAGAGAGGCTCTGCCTAAAGAAGAATTGAGTAACCTTTCACATTTCCTTCCTGCACAGTTATTCTCAGATTCCATATGGGAAGTACAAAAATAGTGATGAAAATCTCCCCAGTTCAGGATTGAGTACTATGCGGGGGCTTGAGAGATACTTTTGAATGAAAGAAAGTTATCTGAATGTTTTTAAAACAGCAGTATTATAGAGTTATGATTAGAAATTAAATTCTTTACATACTTATTTTATATCTCAGTGTAACTAAGGAAAAAATGTATTCTGATATTTCCTAAATGGTTATTAGTATATTATATATACATACATACATATATATGTTGGGATAAAGTAAATGTTTAATAAACTAAAAGGTCATTATCACAATATTCCTCCTCTTGGAGAGAGACTTTTTCATAACTCTCTCAAGGGCTTTTGGCTCTTAGAAAACATCAGTTTTATGCTCAGCTGAAATTATTCTGACAGCTTTGACATTGCGTTATCATCACAAGATCATGGTATACTTAAAGATAAATGAAGATTCATAGAGAGTTAAAAATAATTAATACAAGTCTCCAAAATACCAGATTAGAATATCAAAGGTCACTCATATAAAAGCAGATACTTTCTGGCTCAATTAATCATAACTCTAAATGATTACAGGTGGGTAAGCAAACAATATCCCTTCACTGTTCCCTCAATATTCCTTCTCTCCCACCTCACATAAGAATGTATACATTTCATTTTAAAGATTTGTTTCAAGAAAGATTATATTTTAGCACCCTATGACCTAGAATGGATTCTCCATATGGATTTGTTCTGATTCTAACTGATTTTCTCTGCAACTCAGACTTTCTCACTCCTATCAAACAGAGGAACACTGCCCAGCAGGATTCTTATGTTTCCATGGTAGATTTTTCTGTGTAGGTTGTATGCCTTTTGCTCCAATATGGTCTATTAAAAAGATATTATGCTATCATAAAATTGACTAAATTGCAAAGATTGGCAGTTCCCATTTTTTATGCAAACCTGGCCCTACAAAGCACATACACACTCATAGGAACCTAATTAAATACTCTCAAGTCTGGTAGTCCCTTATAAAGCAAGAGAATTAAAAATCGTTTGGGGGATTTTTCAAGAAAGTTTATCATGCATGCCAAAAAGAAAAATAAAAGGCCAAGATGAAAAGTGGAATTTGTGCCTAGGTTTTATAATGGCAATTTTTATTTGTTTGTATAATTATTAATTATAATTTTAAATTTAATTTAGGAGCACCCACTAAAATAAGAGTATGGAAGACTGCATTAAGAGGAAGGATGAAACAGATGCAATACACAGTTAAGATCAAAGAGCCCCATCAATTCATTCAGAGAGTCAAAAATCCAGCTGAGGCTCAGAGCCCTGTCTGCATAATAAGAAAGGTTGACTAAAACATACGGATTAAACAGATGAGCTGTCTCCTGCAGAGGCATGGGAGGGAAGCCCCACTGCGACACTTGTAAAGACACTTTGGAAGCTCGCACCTGCTCCTCCACAGCCAAACCTACAGGAGACCAGGATGGCCAAAGACGTTCCACTATTGTACTAAATTGTTAGCTTTAAGAGAAAGAAATAGATATGTCTGATGGATATCTTTTTATTTGTCAAGACACTGTCAGTCCAGACAAACAATAAATTAATAAATCACCTCCATTTTTCCAAGGTGACTTTACCAAGCGCTTGAACTTTCAAAATAAGAGAAGTAGATAGTGCAAAATTTCCTGTTCCTTAAAACAGTATTTCAGTGTGCCTACCTCGTGATCAATTATTTTTTCCAAATGAATAATGCTTTTCTTGAGACAATCTTGAATAACATTGGTAAATACATGCTAGTCTTGTTTTCCATTCTCAGAAAATTATCATTTTTAGTAGCATGAAGTGTATTTCAATTTTTATGAACACATTGCCACATTATACTTAAAGCAAAACCAAATTATATAAGCTGGTTCTATAACTATAGTAAGAAGATAGCACAGGCACTTAGGATTCTGTGCCTGTGAGAAATGTTGTATTTATTCTAATGACCTCACAAAAAAGTTATGTTGTAGCTACTGATAAGAACCGATTCTGAACATCTAAACAATTTTCTTTTAAGAAAGCTGAACTACTTTCAAAGAGCTAAGCAAGCTAGGCCTTTGGGAACATAGATCTACTGGGGAAAAAATTATACGATTGTGGAACATTAAATTTCAAATAAAATTTTAAAACTCTAACTTTGGTATGGATAAAATTTGTCACGCACTTGATGTAGACTGATTCAAATATGCAATTAATAAACTCGAACAAATGGTAAGCATTAGCTTTTGTTGTAGTCACCAAAACAAGCAATATCCAATTTGAAGAGATAGCAATGAAATCTCCCTGGAGTAAAACAAGCCACCAAATGTCAAGAAGTGATTTCCTGGGATTGACGTACAGACTCTGACCTGCTCCTTCATAGTCTAATTACATTATCACTCAGTCAACCAACCAACACACTTTTACAGTGTTCATTATGTATAAGGGACTGTCAGAGACAAAGAGAAGAATTATACATGAGCTGTAAGTAACAGTACTAAACCCTAAGTACCAAATGTGTGATGAAGATGTACAATGCAGAAGTTGACCATTGAGGGATAAAGATATAGAATTCTTCATTGAAGAGGTGAGATTTGGTTGGGTGCAGTGGTTCGTGCCTGTAATCCCGACACTTTGGGAGGCCAAGGCAGGACAATAGCTTGAGGCCAGAAGCTCAAGACCAGCCTGGGCAATATAGTGAGACCTCATCTCTATAAAAACATTTTTTTTTTTTTAATTAGCTGAACATGGTGGCAGGTGCCTGTAGTCTCAGCTACTCTGGAAGCTGAGGCAGGAGGATCCTTGAGCCCAGAGTTTGAGAATGCAGTGAGCCATGATTGCACCACTGCACTCCAGCCTGGACAACAAACAGAACGAGACCTTTTTTCTAAAAAATGCAAAAGGTTGGATTTGACTTAGGACTTGATAAGGTAAAGACAGAAGTAGAGAGGAGGGAATTGGTTTTCCAGGAGGAAAGAACAGAGACAGAATAACCTAGAATCCAGTCTGAGAGAACTTGAGAGGGAATGTGTGATTCAGTCTGTCTCAAGATAGTCTTGAGAATCGCCTAACATTCTTATTGAAAACTCAGGTTATCAGACCCATTCCAGACACTGAGAATTAGAATCTTCAGAGATGAGACCTGGAAATTGCATTTTTGAACAAGGTCACAAATTATGATATTATTGTTAATCTCTATGAGGCAGTGAGAAACCTTTAAAGCATTTTGGGAGAAGTGAACTAAAGGATATAGTTAAAGGACTTTAAGAAGGGAGGGTTGAGAGAGCAGGAAGAAACTGTGGGCAAGAAGTTCAAATCAGAATTTTTAAATTTTAACCAAAGTGTATGGTAATAATATTCATCTTTGCTCCAAATAAATATCAATAGTTTCAGTTCTCTTAAAAACAGAAGTCCTTAATCCCAAATCTCATCAGATTTTTCTATGTATCAGTATTCCAATTTATTTTTTAAGAATGACTTAAATTGAACTAATTTCAATAAAACATTTCTATTTAAAAAAAACTTTTAAAAAGTGCTCTACTTTATCTCTGATAACTCTACTTCAAGTATCCATTTTCAGAAGGTCTTACTCAATTCTAACCATTCAGAGAAATAAAAATAAGTTTGGATAATTATTAGAAAAATTAATAAATCATCCATAAATACTGAAATATTTGTCAAAAATTAAGAGACTAAGTAATATTCAGTGCTGGTGAAGGTCCTGTGAAGAGGACAATTGATACTTATTTATGGGAGTTGAAACTGATACACCATTTCAAGGAACCACTGGTAATACGTAAGAAAAATTTTAATGCACATATTCCTTAACAATAAAAAAGTGACTATAGTCTAGCTTAGAAAAGTAACTACAGAAGCCCATGATGATAAATAGAAGGATCACACAGAGACACATACACAGATGTTCATATAATTATTAATTTACAGAAAAAAAGTGTGAGACAATTTACAAGAACATCAGCAAAGGCATAGTTACATCAAAGTGCATGTGTAGTATGGAAAACTATGCAGTTATGATCTCAAATTCTGAAAAACCTGTTATTGTGGGATAATGCTCAAGATGATTGATTTGAACAAGCAAATTATAGAAAAATACATATAGAATAATCCAATTTTTAATGAAAAAAGCAGTGTTTCTATGTGTATATATATATGTTTTTCTTTCTTTAAAGAAAAACCTTAACTGGCAGATCTGGAGAATGGAAAAAGAAGTGAAGATAGGGCTTTCCCCTTTTGATTTACATGTCTGTATCACTCAGATTTTTTAACAATGAGTAAAACTCTTCTATAACTTAATAAACTTAAAATTTTAACTTATATAATATTTGAAAAATATATTAAATGCTTGCCCAAGATTTTAAATAACTTGGGAAAATAGTGCCACTTGAAGATGGTGTGAAGGAGAAGCTGGCTTCCTTTCTGTTTGATTAATTCTCAAAATTAAGTGAAATTACGGTCTTTAAAAACCATTCAGAAAAGTGAATGATGTATGTATTGACTTTTATGTTACAAAAAGCTTTCCATTTTTATTCATCTATCAATCTTTCCATCTGATAAGAGGAGAGTTTATAATATCTAATCTTTAAAGAGTAGAGTCTGAAATAAATACATACACATAATACTAGAACTTATAGGCTAAATTATGTAATTATGATACTTGATCATTCATTAGATACCTTTCATAAGACTATACAACTCATAATAATACTATTAGGTATTTACTTCCCATAGAATATTGTAAATGTTAGGTATTTACTTCCCATACAATATTGTAGCTTGCAATATGCAGGAAGTAATTTTACAGCAATTCATTTTCAAAATGATGCCCAATAGATGCTCTTTAAATTACTAATTTTATGTAATATAAAGATGGATTTTTTTTCTATAGCCTATATAGCAATTTCTAAAGCAATTAACACAAAACTAACATAAATCTTTTGAGTCAGAAAAGTTCTTTGAACTTTCAAACACCATAGAAAGAACATAACTTCATCATGAATTTCTCTATATAATTAGGAAGATTTATGTATTTTTAGGGTTTACTTGTGAATTTTTCAGCAATTTGTTGTAATCTACCTTCACTCCTAATTGTAAGAAATATGAAGAAAAAAGTAAATTTTAATTTTATAAATTATAAAGATATATTCAATGTACATTGAATCAAGTTTTCAAATATTTAATAGCACCACTGATATACATGTATCCCTTGCTGGCTGTGTATGTTACAGGGAAATGAACAGTTTTGCCAAACCTATTCAGATAGGAAATGATGAATAAGTTATGTACTGCAGGGTTTTACAAAATGTGACGGCAATTAGCACACCCTACACCTGTTGTTTTATTTACGTTACTTTCAAAGCCATGGTTTACAAACTGAGCCATGGTTTACAATATGAGCAAGCATTAGGTTCTTGAGCAAAACTATTCCTTCCATAATGTAAAATTACAATTCCAATAAAAGGAAAAAATAATATAAAGGATTTCTCAAGATATATGATAAAAAGAAATAGTCAACTACTGTTGACATAGTTTCTGTATCATACATCTCTAAAAACTGGAGATTCATCATAGGAATGACCTATGATTTTTAGAAACTCTTTGAATACAAAGTTGTAGTTAGATGATACAGAGAGCATCTAGGAAAGACCAAAAAGAAAAAATTACCAACAAAGAGTTTATAGAAGAGACAAAATATATACATGTGAAACAATTGGAAAATATTTTAAAATAATAGCACAATCATAGATTAAAAATATCCACAGTAAGTTCTCTGGTGTTTCTCAAATCCTCAGGCATGGTCATTTTTCTTCATAACCATGCCAAATACATAAACATATATTTTCAGAAGCTATTTAAATATTATTCAGCTTCATCAATGCTCATTTTTTTATTCTTACCCCACCCCTGGGACTTATCACCCTATAACAATGTAAAAATTACAAATATTAGAGATAAAATACATAAGTTCTATGGCACAAATTAGTAGCTCAACAAACATTGATTGCTATGATGATTTTTATTTATTTTCCCTATTGGGAAAACATGTTTATTCACTTAATTATTATTGAGCTCCTACTGTGTGTTTGATACTATGTTTGGTACAATGCTAAGGTGATGGGGATGAAAGATGAAGAAATTGGCAAGGTCCCTGAACAGACATGAACTGGTTTCCTTGTTTTAAAGATTTTTCAGAGAAAGTAATTCTGTACTTTAGCCATGCATTGTCTTCCAGGTCTGCCACAACTTACTTCAACATTTTAAATACCTCCCTTTTTTCTTATTTCTATTCTCTAAAAACATACATTCAGACTATAATAGATGTGCAGATTTTTTGTTTTTTGATTTTTAATAATGCCTTTTAGGTGATAAGGAAAGTGATACTGAGAAGCAAGGAAGAATAATAAAGCACATGAATATTTGGTTTAGTTTAGGCCTAACTATGAAAAGTTAAGAGTGTAAAGGAAACTAGTGAAATTTTAGAGCATAAATCATATCAGAAACATAAACTGCTCCCCATAGGCTTCTTAATAGTTCAAATTTAGTTTTCATTGATCATGATTTACTCTTTTCCTAACTTAATTGAAAAATGTCTTTCAATATAATTACTATCACGCAGTATGCTTAGGTAAGCCAGAGATCAATATCATAGCTTTAGCTTTGAAAACAGTGAGTATTAACTTTTTAAAAGGTTTCACACACAAAAAAAGGTTTCACAAAACCAGCACCTCCAAAGTACTGAAATTGGTCTTAATTCTTGACAGTGTTTGTGTAGCAGCAGAACTTTTCATTTTTCTCTAAATACTTCTATTTCATCAGCAACAGATGAATTCATTAACTTCATTATTAATTCAAATGATTTTTTTCCCTTTTATAAGTCCCAAGGTTGTCTCACTAAGATCAGCTCTTACTCTGTGTTCCATAAAATGTAATCAATCTCTATTATTGTCATGAAAATGGTATTTGTCACTTTGCTAAGAAAAAAAAAAAACAATATACTTTCCAAGAATGAACAGGCATTTAATGCAATGAATTGTTAGCTAAATTTAGCTTGTCAACAGTTCAGAATGAACTAATCGAAATCCAGAAAATTTAAAGAAGATTGGCCAATGAAATATATAGATATAGATATGGCATAGAAATTAATATTTGGGCATTAGAATAACCTGTCATTTTCAATCCTGGCTAAAAATTGGGGGGATTTAAACAGGCAAATCTCCAATCACTATTTTGGAAAACAAAAGTGAAATCCATATGCTCAGAAAACATTTCTTGAACATGGTTGACAAGTAAGAAAAGCTTCATTGTCATTTCCTATAGAATTTTCCAGGTACAGAGATAATTATAGAGTTGCAAAATTCTAGGAAACCTTAAAGGTCAGAAACCCATAAGGATGTTGTCATCTGGAAATATGTTGCCTCTGAGCTTTCGTAGGCTATGAATTATTGCAGTAATTAACTACAGAGCAAGAATGGTGTTTCAGAGTCATAGAATCCAAAGCACACTTTGCCAGTCTCTTACCAAGACTTGACTCTTGCCCCTGTACTTCCAGTTTCTGCTGAGTTACCTTCTGCAAAGAGAAAGCTGGTGACCTCTTGCTCCTTGACAACCTCTTATTTAAGAATAACCCTTATAATTGGAAAGTTCTGTCTTGAGCTAACATCTACCTCATAAAAAACTGCCACTGTTTGCTTCCAGTCCTACAGTGGAACAAAGTAAACTCCATCTGTTGCCTTTCCTTTGAGGCAGCTCTTCACTGCTTGAGGTCAGCTATCATTTCTCCTGACCCTTTTCTTTTCTGGACATAACCTATACAGTTCCTTCACCCATTTCCCATAGCACACCATTTACCATAGCACATGGTCTTCAGAAAAATTCATGGCATTATCTTCCCAAGACACTCCAATTGATCCATACCCCTTTTGATTTGCATCACCAAAAATAAACATAAGAATATGGGTGTGTTTAAAATAAAAATAAAACTCATTGCAGTTCTAATTTACTGTAGTTGGAAACTGCGTCTATATAGGTAATATAAGAGCTAATTCCCTCTTTCTCTTTCACAACAGCTTCATCAGATTTGTTTAGGGTTAAATTTACAGGTTAACACTAGAATAGAAGCTCTATGAAGGCAGAAGCTCTGGTCTGTTTTGTTGACTCTCCCTCTCCATCTTCAACATCGAGCACATAGTAGGCACTCTACTCAATAAATATTTAGAAATGAGTGTAGGAATAAATCAGTCCATTAAAGCTGCTGGATCTTTGCGTATTTGTATTTTTGACAAGCCAGAGCCCTTCCATTCTCTATTCATGAAACTGATTTTTAAAATACAAAAACCATATAGGGCTTTGTAACTGAGAGGTGACAGCATGCTGGCAGTCCTCACAGCCCTCGCTTGCTCTCGGCACCTCCTCTGCCTGGGCTCCCACTTTGGTGGCACTTGAGGAGCCCTTCAGCCTGCCACTGCACTGTGGGAGCCCCTTTCTGGGCTGGCCAAGGCCAGAGCCGGCCCCCTCAGCTTGCAGGGAGGTGTGGAGGGAGAGGCGCAGGTGGGAACCCGGGCTGCGCGCGGTGCTTGCGGGCCTGCGCGAGTTCCGGGTGGGCGTGGGCTCGGCGGACCCCGCAGTTGGAGCGGCCGGCCGGCAGGCCCCAGGCAGTGAGGGGCTTAGCACCTGGGCTAGCAGCTGCTGTGCTCAATTTCTCACCTGGCCTTAGCTGCCTTCCCGCTGGGCAGGGCTCCCGACCTGCAGCCTGCCATGCCTGAGCCTCCCCCTCGCCTCCGTGGGCTCCTGTGCAGCCCGGAGCCTCCCCGACACGCCGCCCCCTGCTCCACTGCGCCCAGTCCCATCGACCACCCAAGGGCTAAGGAGTGCAGGCGCAGGGCGCGGGATTGGCAGGCAGCTCCACCTGCAGCCCCGGTGCGGGATCCACTGGGTAAAGCCCGCTGGGCTCCTGAGTCTGGTGGGGATGTGGAGACCCTTTATGTCTAGCTAAGGGATTGTAAATACACCAATGGGCACTCTGTATCTAGCTCAAGGTTTGTAAACACACCAATCAGCACCCTGTGCCTAGCCCAGGGTTTGTGAATGCACCAATCAACACTCTGTATCTAGCTAATCTGGTGGGGACGTGGAGAACCTTTGTGTCTAGCTCAGGGATTGTAAACGCACCAATCAGTGCCCTGTCAAAACAGACCACTTGGCTCTACCAATCAGCAGGATGTGGGTGGGGCCAGATAAGAGAATAAAAGCAGGCTGCCGGAGCCAGCAGTGTTAACCGGCTCGGGTCCCCTTACACGCTGTGGAAGCTTTGTTCTTTCTCTCTTTGCAATAAATCTTGCTGCTGCTCACTCTTTGGGTCCCCACTGCCTTTATGAGCTGTAACACCACAAAGGTCTGCAGCTTCACTCCTGAAGCCAGCGGGACCATGAACCCACCGGGAGGAACGCCAGACGCGCCACCTTAAGAGCTGTAACACTCGCTGCGAAAGTCTGCAGCTTCACTCCTGAGCCAGCGAGACCACGAATCCGCCAGACTCGGCCAGACAGAAGAAACTCT
This sequence comes from Homo sapiens, assembly GCF_000001405.40. Lineage (NCBI taxonomy): Eukaryota > Metazoa > Chordata > Mammalia > Primates > Hominidae > Homo > Homo sapiens. The sequence goes on along the minus strand of NC_000012.12, from coordinate 97,512,100 downwards.
GAACACATCCGAACGCCAGAAGGAAGAAACTCCGAACACATCTGAACATCAGAAGGAACAAACTCTGGACACGCCACCTTTAAGAACTGTAACACTCACTGCGAGGGTCCGCGGCTTCATTCTTGAAGTGAGACTAAGAACTCACCAATTCCGGACACATAACTATTGAATATTGTCTTGTTGATTTAGATTGTTTCCAATAGCTAAAACTATACCAACAGGTATACACATGAAGGTGTATGTATAAAAGGTGCTATAAAGTAATGGCCCTAGTTAGCCTATGAGACTTAATGGACTCAGTCATTTTGCCATTTTCATACCCCCTAGTTTCAACTACAAAGTAAACATCTCTCTGTAGATCAATCATTCCATTTTTAATGCTGCTGTAATTAGTTATTTCATTTACTCTTCAAAATAGTACTTACTTCCTACATGAGGCAACTGAGGCATAGTAAGATTAATAACTTGCTGTGGGTCACACCAAAAGTAAATTCCAGGGCCAGGATTCAAAATCAGATACTTCAGAATTCAAATCCTATATTCCTTTCACTACCTTATGCAGTTCTTTTTAGAAAATTGAAAGAGAATATGAAAGGAAAAAATAGCAAGAAATTTCTAAAGAGAAACTCTCTAGGGTAATTTGTATTTGCTCTAATAAAGAGAAGTACAGGCCACAGTGGCTCATGCACTTTGGGAGGCCGAGGCAGGTGGATCACTTGTGGTCAGGAGTTCAAGACCAACCTGGCCAACATGGTGAAACCCCGTGTCTACTAAAAATACAAAAATCAGCAGCATGTAGTGGCACGTGCCTGTAGTCCCAGCTACTTGGGAGGCTGAGGCAAGAGAATCACTTGAACCCAGGAGACGGAGGTTGCAGTGAGCAGAGATTGTGCCAGTGCACTCCAGCCTGGGCGACAGAGCGAGACGCCATCTCAAAAAAAAAAAAAAAAGAAGGAAGTACAATTTCCCAGAGAGTTTATTATAATTGCCCACTAAACATTTTCCCTGAAGTAATTTCCCTCCTCTGCTCCAGTCTCAAACAAAAATAATAACACAAATTTCAACTTCGAAATTTAAGTCAAATTTTGGATTTTCGTAACTGTGGCTGCAGAAATTGATGAAGTGAAAAACAATAAAAAGATCCCAGAGAGGAGAAACAAGATCCCAATTATGGACTCCATGTGAATAAATTGTGTTTGCACAATGACAAATCAACTACTCAGTTCAACTTAAAAAAAAAAAGTGACTGGAAAATAACATTCAGCCTATCGACTTTATTGGTGGGAATGGGTCAAAATAGACTGGTGATTAATTGAATTGTTTTAAATTTTTGACTATTTTGGTGGATGTCACATAGAGTGAACATGCAAGACAAATGCTGTTTCACCTACTGGGCTTCAGGAAGTAACCAAGAAGTAACTCCCTATGTGATCAAAGATTATGGCAACTTTGACTAATGAATTGAAGAATTTGGCAATTTGGTGAAAACATTCCTTTCAAATAGAATAACTAAGATTCTACTGTGAGGAACTGGATAATCACCTCTTTGAATAATAGCATTATGAACACACACTGTACCAATTTTTTAAACTATCATGAAAATTTACTTTCGTATTAAATAAGAGCACGTAATGGTCCATCTTCATTTGTAGCAAAGCTGTGGATGCTCAATTCATTTTATTACTTGCTCAATTACAAAATAAATAAGTGACTCATGGAAATCACTTATTAGATCTAACAATGAAAACCAAAGATCTTATTTTCTCTGTGGGCTTAATCTGCCCCTCTGGTTTTTATGAATAGGATTTTTCTATGCCTCTATCTATTGTTGGCACCTCAGAAAACGCTTCTTAGAGAAATTTAACTGTAACTTTCTCTAAAATCCTACATTTGCTTCATTTCTAAGGTCACAGAACAAACCAAGTTAATTAAATGTATTTCTTTGAATGAAACATAGCAGATACTTACTATGTCTTCCATAAATGCTTCCTCTCTTATAAATCTCAGAGTATAAATGAGTGTACATGTATATTAATCTATTAGCTAATAATTAACTTATCCAGCAGTCTTTTATTGACCACCCTCTATGTGTCAAACATTGTGCTAGACCATTGAGATTTGAGGAAATAAGGCAAAATTATTTTCCCCAGGTAGCTATAGTCTAGTGGGGAAGTCATAAAAATGAGCATAAAATTTTAACACAGTGAAATAAAAATAGTACTGCAGAGTATTGGGTTCCCTGATGTCACCATCACCCAAAAAAATGCCTATCACACAACAGACATTCAATATATATTTGTTGACTGGCTGTATAATTGAACAAGTTACATTTGCACCAGGAAAACAGAGGGGCACCTCCATCAATCCAGGGCTCCTGTACTGGGGACTGGAGTGAGAGATAAGGAGGTGATGTTTGATCTTACTCGTATTTGTCTCCAGAATATTCTGACTTTATTCAGTATGAGAGGGGAGGAGAAGGGTCAGGGGAGGGAGAGAGATGGGGAAAGAGAGAGAAGGAGAGAATGTAGAACTCACTTAGTTGTCCACCTAAGGGAATTTTATTATAAGGTGACTTCCCCTACAAGGCAGGCTGTTTGTCTCAACCTCAGAGGAAAGAGGTTCTTTTTATGCTAATTACAGTGAGGCCCTAAAATATAAAGTGATGTATTTGGACTTAAGTGGCTGAGGGCAGAACCTGGCCTGCAATTCAGTATATAGTCCACTATGCCGTATCCCATATAACGAATTAATGAAAAAGCTTTTTATACTTGAAGGCAGACTTCAACAAATTTCAATAACAGTAAATTATAGGTTTGACTTAAGACATCAACAGATCAGAGGAACTCAAGTATCAGCTGTATGCCTATGGTGAAATCTTTATAAATAAATTGATAATGCTCCCTTTCTAAAGGTCAATCTTTTATTATTCCATACTAACTAGAATGCAAGGGAGAAGGAAAGTGGTAACACAGCTGTTGAAACAAAGTAACAACGGTCTCCTGGTTAAAATCCTAGTCAAAGGATGAACTTTCCGAGAATTCATTTTACCATAAAACCTCAAGAAAATTAGCCAGTGAGTCTAGGTTTCCTCCATTTATGCTGTCTTCAGCAATGATGAATCTGGTAAAAAGAGAAGCTGATTTCTGTCTAAATATTTGTCTTCTTTTAAAGCTGCCTCAGAATAAATTAAGCCTTTCTGCCTAAACCTCCACGATTGTAGTAAAAAGCAGAAGCAATGTTGTAATTCTTGACCGTCTAGTTTCTACCCCACTACGTTACTACTTTCAGACATTTATATTTTGGCCTCCTGTCCTTCTGTTAAACTCCTGAATTAATCTCCTACTCTGGGTAAATTAATCAATAGATTTCCTCTACTGCTCTGAAGCTACTCAATGATGCTAAAAAAGAAATCAAAAACAAAAAAAACACAACAACAACAAAAAAGTTACACCCTGGGCAGACTGATGCCAGTATAAGGGGATGGTTTCCAGTCTTAACTTAGCATCTCACTGCTTCTCAGAAATCCCTTCACTTGCATCTTCTCAGCTTCCTGTCCTAGTCTTCAAACCAGCTATTACAAATCTCTACAATTCTCCTTTTGTCCACTCTCAGCTGACCACCTTTCTTCCTCCTTCTGAAAGAATAAAGGACCCCAGGAGGAGGAAATCTCATTTTACCAGTTGACAATCATGCTTAGCTTCTTTCCTCTAATCTTGGAGGAGGGAGGTATACATTTTTCTCTCCACAGCACTGGCTTGCACTCTCTTCCACCTCCCCCAGGAGTTGTTTCATTAGTGTTTCTCTTCTTTTCTTTTCTTTCATTATAAACATCTTTCCCTTCTAATGTGCTCAACTCTCTCACTTTCTCGAAAGCCTTACTTTGGTCATACTACTTCTTATAGATAACATTTTATTTCCCTTCTTACCATTGCTGACTCTGAACTTCCTCAAGTCGTATTAATTCATCCATTATACTATAACTTATATTCCCACTAATTCACTCTCTCTGAGGTAATCATAAACATTTTTTCCAACAAAAGTCTGATACTACTCCACCCTGTCTTTATGCTACTTGGCCACTTTGTGAAATTTGATACCACTGAGTTTCTTCTGCTCAAGACCATTTTTGCCTTCGTTTCCATAGGGCTACTCTGGTCTGAGTGTCTCTCGCTTCCTTGTGTCTACTTTGACAGACTCTTCCATTCTATACTTTCTTTTAATGTGAGCTGGCTTGCCAAGTGCCCAGCTGCAGTGTTCTTCCATGCTTTCATTCATTCTCCCAGGTTAGATGTTGAGAAAAAAGAGGTTCTACAGCCTCACAAATACTACCTCCTCCATTCAACACTCATCTGTCTCAAGACATACAAAATAAGAATGAAACACTCACAACATTTTGAGTTCCATGTTCATATTACTAACCTCTGGAGATCTCCACCAGGATTTCTTAGAGGCATTTTAAACAATATTTATCTCCCTCTCCAGCCCCATTAAATTGGCCTACTTCTGGTATAAGTCATAGTGGCACGACCATCCACTGTGGTATTTTCAACCAGAACATTCACTGCCATCATTAACTTCTCCCTCTCTCTGCTCCATCTCATTCAACTGGCCACTAACATCTGCAGATACTAACTCAAAAATGTTTATTGAATCTAGTCTGTCTTCCTCATTCTTATTACTATGCCTAAAATTACCTCATTATTTTGGAGGCTGGAAAATAATGAAATCTTTCTAACAATTCCTGTCTTCTTTCTCCACATGCCAGTATGCATATTTGTCTATGGTTGGCAGAGTTAGCCATCTTTTTTTTTTTAAAAAAAAAAAGACAAAAACAAAAAAAAAACAATAACAACCCAGCATTTCAAATCACAAAGCTGTTTAAAAAGCAGACATGTAATCATATACCTTGGTCAGCTATTCCCTACAGAATTAAAAATCCAGATGTCTTTGCTTTATATTCAGTCCATCACCACCTGGTCTCATCACATCTTTCTAACTCCTTGTTTACCTCCTTTTCCTCACATACATGTACACTCAGAGCTCCATCATATTGAAATTCCCAACATAACTGTGGCATACTTTTGCAGGTGTTATCTTCTCCGCTTAGAATGATTCCTCTGGCCGGGCGCAGTGGCTCATGCCTATAATCCCAGCACTTTGGGAGGCTGAGGTAGGCGGATCATGAGGTCAGGAGTTCAAGACCAGCCTGGCCAACATAGTTAAACCCCGTCTCTACTAAAAATATAAAAATTAGCCGGGAGTGGTGGTGCGTGCCTGTAATCCCAGCTACTCAGGAGGCTGAGGCAGGAGAATTGCTTGAACCCAGGAGGCAGAGGTTGCAGTGAGCGGAGATTGCGCCATTGCACTCCACCCTGGGTGACAGAGCAAGACTACATCTCCAAAAAAAAAAAAAAAAAAAAAAAAACAGATTACCCTAATGTCTTCAATCCGCATGCTTCAGCAATCAGCTTAAATGTCATCTTTTTTAGGTGACACATTTCCCAGTTACCACATAGGGATTTTCTGACACTAAATTTTCTCTACTTTGTCTGGCAATTTATTGATTTTTCCTCTCATCCCAACTTGACGATGTCCTAAAAGACAGATAATTTATCTCATTCATCTCTATCTTTGAGCCTAGCACAGTGCCTGGAAGATAAGAGGTTATCAGTTCATATTGACAAATATTTTTGATAAATAAGTATTTTATATTAATCGCTGAAAAATAATTATGGAATTTCACATAGGGAAAGAGGCTCACCATTATTTTGATTTCAATATGTCTCTCATGTTAAATACAGATTAGTTTTATGAATTAGATAAATCAGTCATAAAAGAAATAGGGTTTTGAGCTGTTCTATAAAGTTTTAATTATGTTATAAATTTGGACATTTGAAAAGATAGTTTGATGCTAATAAACGCCTTTTAATTGTACTGTAATATAAAATCTAATGTGGTCACGAATGTTTATATTTTTCAATCTACCTACCTGGTTTATATATTAAAAGTGTAATGTATCATTACATGTACTTACAATAGTTATAATGGCTACTTTTATTAAAATATGTGGGTTTTTAGAATAATTAATTGACCTCATTTATACAGAAGTCAATATTAATATTTTAAATGTTCACACCTGCATGTATTACATTTATTGTATATTCATCCTCTTGGCAATGTATAAGATAATAAACTGGTTTTCAGGTACTAAGATCTAACCATACTTTCTTTCCATCCATCTGAAAATGTACAAATTGAAATCTTGAATTTTTTTGGTAACAAGGATTTTATAAGTAGACATCTTAAATTCATTTTAAGCACCTTGTCATGGCAGTGATATCAAAACTTAAACCCAGCTCTAAAATTCTCTCTGGATTATATTGAAAGCTCTAGAAACATAAAAAATAAAAGTGATCTTAGTAAAACAGAAGCCACCTGTGTACCATCCACACCATTATTAATATGCAATAGCAAATATGTGCGTTTTGTAAGTTAATGGATAAGAATGACTGAAGTTAGTAAAACATGTAATGCATAGCTTTGCCACCATTTATATTTACGGTTTGCATGAAAGAAACCACTTGTGATTCACAGTGAGAATTCATTACTGCAGAACACAAATGTTACTGAGTTTTCACTGTAAACCTGTTCAGTCTTTGTTGTCAGAACCAAGCATCTGCTAGTGTGCTACCATGCAAGAGATCTAAACATAGCCCTATGCTGCTGTCAATTTTTGCTTAAAGTTTTGTCAAAACCCAAATACTTTTCAAGCAGCCACTTATTTGACGAGACTGGCATTCATCACTGATTGCCGAGACTTTCTTAAATCAGAACTGTTTTGATGCTCATTTGTGATTCTGTAAGCATAGTGAGTTAACTATTAATATATTTCTAATTGCTCTTGCAAGTGCCTTAAGAAAAACCATTATATTGATTTTGCTTTAGACACTGCTGAATAATTTGCATGTCAGACACTAAATTTCACTTATTTCAAAGTATAAATCCCAGAGAGAAAATAAGAATCAAATATTTTTCAATTAAAATCTTTCATAAGCCATGACTAGCAAAGTGAAATAAAAGTGAACATAACATGAAGATTAAAATGAGAGACTCTCTAACAGGGGCGACCAAGGTTTCCAGGAAGATAATCCTTTTTATATTACTTTCTTTACCATTTCCTTCTCTCATCAGAGAGAGAAAGTCCAAGAGTCATTTTCTATGTGTCCAAAGGCTAGAACTCAGTAGAGCAATGCATAAAGAGAACTCACTCATTTTCCCTATCCTCCTATCCTGGATATAAAACAAATTGAAGTCTGAAACCATATGCATTAGGATAGCCAAGGTATAGTGAAAACAAATATTTAAAATAAATGTAAGTGACCCCTTCAGGCAAATCTAATTTTTCTAAGGACTCCTTTTTTCTTCATGTTCACAAAAATAAATACAATTCTCAGAATCCCTCTTTATTGGTAATACAAAAGCCAAAAAGTAAAAGGTAAGGTTTTATGATATCATACTCTTTACACATGTAGATCATTGAGCTAATAATGCTTTTAAGGCAATATTATAATATTATGATGAAAATACTGACATAAAATAAGAAACGTATTTTAGGAAACCTAGTATTTAAGATTTAGATTAAACCTATTCATTAAAGTTTGTGCATCTGTGCATTCTTTTTTTTTTTTTTTTTTTTTGAAATGAAGTCTCACTCTGTCGCCCAGGTTGGAGTGCACTGAAGCAATCTCTCCACTCTGCAACCTCTGCCTCCCAGGTTTAAGCGATTTTCCTGCCTCAGCCTCCCAAGTATCTGCGACTACAGGCGTGTGCTACCAGGCCTGGCTAATTTTTGTATTTTCAGTAGAAATGGGGGTTTGCCATGTTGGCCAGGCTGGTCTCCAACTCCTGACCTCAAGTGATCTGCCTGTCTCGGCCTCCCAGAGTGCCGGGGTTACAGGAGTGAGCCATCACTTGAGGCCAGGAGTCCGAGACCGCCTGGCTAACATAGTGAAAACACATCTCTACTAAAAATACAAAAATTAGCAGGGCGTGGTGGCACATGCCTGAGAATCGCTTGAACCCAGGAGGCAGAGGTTGCACTGAGTTGAGATGGGACCATTGCTCTCCAGCCTGGGTGACACAATGAGACTCTCTCTCAGAAAAGAAGAAAAAAAAAAGTTTTAATTGTATTGGTCTTTCTTAATAAATGAATAGTGACATATATTTATCAAGCAGTGACTGTGAGCATCTTAAGATGCATTAGTCATTATCCATGTCTGAACTGCAATATTCTAGATGGGAATAGAAAGTGTGTCTGTACAAAAATAAGATCTGAGATGGACTTTTTCCACTTTCCTGAAGCATGCAGGGATTTGCTCCCTTCACACTTTAGCTGACATTTACTGTAGCATTGGCATTTATTAATGACTCCAAGTTTGGGTGGATTCACCAATGTCTAATTTGCAGCCAGACATCACGAGGAGGCCTATTTGGCTCACTTGGGGAATTTTTCCCATTGTTAAACATTATCTTTTTTGTCTGTGGACTTCGTCTGGTTTGCCAGTTAGCAGTGCATGGTTACAGTCATTAGTCCTCAAAGTGCTTATTTTTTTTTAATAAGCATCCCACCTTTTTTTTTTTTCCTGGAATTAAAAAAAATAAACAATAATAGAAAGGGAGTGTTTTTGAAATTCTCTAATCTCACTATAGATAATTTACCCATTTTAATTTTTTCAAACTAAAGTCTCCATGTGGTCAAAGTTCACGTCGATAAAATTGAGTCAGTATAAGCTTTTGTTTAAACAAATTAAATGCTATTTAGGTGTGCCTTGTATTGCAGATCCTGGCAGGTAAGGCTAAAGTCCTATTTAAAAGTTGGGAGCCTGTTAACTCCTGATGAATTTTGCTATAGGAGAAGAAGGAAATTAAAATAATCAACAGATGCTAAGTTTTTGAAACTAGAAGGAAGCTGCTGGAAATCAATATGGTAAAGACAGGCAGTGGAGAGATATGGAAAGCATAAACAAAATTTGCTTTTAGCCATACTAACTTTTAGCTATTGCCCAGACACAAGGAACATGACATGGAAAAGCAGAGAAATAACATGAAAGATTCCATGAAAACAGGTGCTCTATTGGGAGACCAAGACTCCCAAGAAAATAGGTCATGAATCAAAAGAGCCCAAGGAAGTCACATTGTACAAGAATATCAATATAAGTGTTTACTATTACTACATTTAGAACTCTTATTTATTTTTCCTTATCTAGGCTAAAAGTCAACTATTTTGTGAAGCACTTCCTGACTTGACAGCCAGAGCTTGTCAGTTCTACATTCATAGAGGCCCCACAGTGGCTCATGCCTGGGAATCCCAGCACTGTGGGAGGCTGAGGTGGGTGGATCATTTGAGCCCAGAAGTTTGAAACCAACCTAGGCACTTAGTGAGACCTCATCTCTATTAAAAATAAAAGAAAAAATTAGGCAGGCATGGTGGCATGAGCTTGTTGTCTGAGCTACTCGGGAGGCTGAGGTGGGAGGATTGCTTGAGCTCAGAAAGTGGAGACTGCAGTGAGCTGTGATTGCACCATTGTACTGCAGCCTGGTGGCAGAGTGAGATTGTCTCAAAAAAAATCATTTATTATAGCAGATGCTACAATATTTTCAATGTCTGCCTCTGTGTGCCTCCACAACCAAGGTGGAAACTTCTTGAGGGAAAAATCAAGTATTCAGAGTTTTATCTCCAAGATCTAGCAATCTCCCACAGGACCTGGTGCATAAGTGTGCACTCCATAAATGAATAATCAGTGCATGAATTATTACATTAAATTTAAATAATAGATTTTACACCAAGACAAAGCATTGCTTAAGAACAAGAATGAAGCAGTTTCATTTGAACTTCAGGACACTAAGGTCACCAATTTAATGGCCAAGAAAGTCTCCATTATAAGACAAACAAGGATTCTTTCTACTTTCTGCCACTATTTTTACCTCCACTGATTGCAGAAAAAGTCCTACATTGACATGACTACAACACATATAATGCAATGATTGGTCCAAACAGATCTTCTAATCTAGTACCTCTTCCTTAAAGTTAAAGTCCAATCATTATCAACCGTAACTCATACTAATACTGAGTTAGTGCGGCATTCCAAGCAGCAGTAATGTGCTTTGAGAGGGTGGGCCAGGAAACAAGATAAACTAAGTTTTGTCTTGAAATCTGGCATATAATATTGCCAAATAAGCACAAAAATAGCAACTTTTGCGTCATCTATTTATTAAGGCTTGTTCTCTCATCTATTTTCTGTGGATATTTCTCGACAGGTGGAGACAGGTACCTGCTATAGTCCCTGTTCTCCCCTGAATGACACTAACCAGCCATTTTTCATGGCCATTCTAAGATCTGCTTTGACAAATGCTGAAAAGGGGACCAATGCTGAGCTAACTTGCTCTGCCCAGCAAGGAGAGGCAGGTGACAGGCATTTCTGTAGTGTCACTGTGGGAACTAACCAGAAATGTTTGCTTTTCTGGCTTTGTCATCCTGCAAGTTTTAATTTCTGTAACCTGCTTGGATACGGTGGGTGAGAATGTTAATTAATCAACACAACAATGAGCCTGTCCTCTGGAGAAAAAGTAATATACCTGCAATATAGTGGTATACCTATTTTATCAAATAAGCTAATTTACAATGGTCTACATTTCTCAGTTATGTAGGTTACAAGACAGTAGGCCTTCAAATACATATTCCATACAAAATTAATTTAATTCCTGTGGGTATATTGTTAAGACATTCCATTTAACTTTCCCTAGATAAAAAAGCACAAAAAGTAGGGGCAATGACTTTTAACGTTTAACTGTGTTTTAGTCTATTTCCTACCTTGGTATCACCCAAGGCCTTACTGGTAAATATTGAAATTAAATCCATGCCTACAAGACTTCTGCTAATGAATAAGAAAACTGCCTTATCTTCAGCTAGGTCATATTCCACAGTCCTAGACAAGTGCTCCTCAAAGCCTTGTCTGTGGCTGGCTGTTGAGTCCAGCAGTTTTGTTACTGGTCCACCACAAAATAGGCACAGACATTGTGAGCAATCATTTAGAAACACCTATAGCAAAGTGGCAGAGTAATTTTATGTTTGTTGAATCTAATAATAGAAAATTGAGTTTGTGTCTTGTATGTCTGGGTTTTAATTTTATTTTTCTAGTAATTCAATTGTATTCTGTTTTATGAAAGTATCAATCCATAGTTGATTGTTAATTAAAAGAAAACTGAAAGAAAGATTCTTCCCAAGATTAGAGATACTCAGCAAGTTAGTGCAGTGGAGTGTTCAGGGTCGGGCTGACCTGAATGGGATTGCAGCTCTTCCACATAGAGCTATGTGGACAAGTTATTTAAACACTCTGTGTCCCAATGGCTCTAGCTGCAAAATGCATATCATAATATCGGCATCCCAGGATCCTAGGGGAAAATCCAGTTAATATTGGCTTTGGTGTCAGACGGCCCTCAGTTTCTTCAACTGTTAAGTGGATGTAATAATTCCAGTGTCACAGAGTGGTTTAAGGATCAAATAACTTGGATAAAATCTGTAGTTCAGTGCCTATGCAGTGTCTAGCAAAAACCTCAAGTCAGCAGTCATTATTATTGGAAGTGTCTTATGCACAGTAGGTTCTTGATAAATATTAACTTATATCATCCCTCATTTGTGTAGAGGATCCTGAAGCACTCGTGCTTCCTGATTTCAGTCCATGAATCGTGGACTGAAATCCATGACTGATTCAGTCAGTATATGACCATGTCATACACTGATGCTCTCCAAAAGGATCTGAACTCTTTGAGAAACAGTTTGTGGATGTGGCTCAAAGCAGCAGGACAGGCTGCTTCTGTTTACCAGCGGACGTTTCTTCTCTTACATTTACATCGGAGAAAATTCTCCTCTCTGCGTTGAATGATATAATGCTGGGAGAAGGCAATTGACAGCCATATCATGGGAATGCACAGAATAGTTCTTTCAGGTAATGGGGAAAAATGTCAAAAGATAGATCATCCTATCTCTCCTTTCACAAATTATTAAACATGATGTGTCTCTTCATGCCCATCTTTTTAAAAACATGCATGAGGGGCTAGTTGTAATGAGTAAAAAGAAGACATAGGCCGGGCATGATGACTCATGCCTGTAATCCTAATACTTTGGGAGGCCAAGGCAGGCAGATCGCCCGAGGTCAGGAGCTCAAAACCAGCCTGGTCAACATGGTGAAACCCCATCTGTACAAAAATACAAAAATTATCCAGGAGTGGTGGCACACACCTGTAATCCCAGCTACTCGGGAGGCTGAGGAAGGAGAATTGCTTGAACCTGGGAGGTGGAAGCTGCAGTGAGCAAAGATCGTGCCATTGCACTCCAGTCTGGGCAACAGAGTGAGTGAGACTCTGTCTCAAAAAAAAAAAAAAAAGAAAGAAAAAAGAAAAAGAAAAAGAAAAAAAAAGAAAAAGAAGAAAACATAAAAAGCTCTATATCATTTTAGAGTTTACAAAACACTTTGATCTTATTTGATTTTTACAATACTATGGGCAGAGCCTTCTATTTCCACCTCTGATAAACTCAGCTGAGAAATTAAATGGTTTTCTAAGCATACATTGCTAGTGAAGGCATATCTTAAATTTGAACCCAATCGTTCAAATCCCAAAACATGGGTGCAGAAAATACAGGTAAAACAAGTTACATTTTAAAAAAGAATATTACAGGAGAACATCTCAGAAAAATAGTCGGATATGTGAAAAACAATTATGAATACAGATCTCTGAAAGAAATACAATGGACAAGCAAGAACGAGTATATGGATAGGATGTGGGTAGAAAAAAAAATTGATGTATATCCAAAAATAAAGAATATTAGGAAAAAATGTTCAAAGGATTACAGTTTGTGTTTAAGGTATAACTAGATACAAAACCCACAGATATAAATGTGAGAAAAGAAAAAAAAATCGAAAAAGCTGACAGACATTCCTAAATGGTCCCAGGCTTAGAGACAGAGGCAGCCTTTGAGGATGTCAGACAAACCCCATAGACAGCCCCAGCGGGCACCTTCAGCAGAACTAACCTTACCCATTGGCCCACTTAACCATTACCACTCTGAGGAGAGCTCCTGAAGGCCAGGGGTAGATCACACTGTCAGACAAATGTCTCCAGCTGCTACCGATGCCTGAAACCTCATCAGCTTAGTATCTGACCCTTAATAAAAGGTCAGTGACCTTCACAGGGGCAGCACCTCAAATGTTCTCAGTCATCTAGATCTTCGTGTGGATGAATTTCAGGTCCTTATTGAAAGGAGGTCTTAGCAGTAGAGAAAAACAGAGAGGCAGAGCCCATAAGGACTTCTCAAGAAAGGCTGGTAATGCTGACAGAAGGTACTGGCTTTTCACGATTTTCCTAGTTTCTGTAGTTACCACGATTGCCTGACAGAATTTTCTTTAATATTTTTATCAGGTAATTTTAGGCAACATTTTTTTTAATCATAATGCATTACACAGAAAAATTGTATATAGAAGATATGTGTATACATGCAAAGACAGGCAATAAATAACAACAATATTAAAGATCATTGCTAAGACTCGTCAACCCCTTACCATAGGCTTTATACTCATTATCCTGTTTAATCTTTACAACCACTCTATGGGGATGGGGATGATTACTTTCCTCATTTTGTAGGTGAAGAAGCGGGTTTAGAAACTGTTTATACAGCTAATAAGTGGTAGAGCAGAAATGCGAACCAGTCCAATTCTGGTTCAACCACCATATTTGTGCACCAAACTTAATTGGTAATATTTTCATCATATCACCCACATTCATACATAACATCAATATTCTAGATCCCCGTAGCAAGGAAGCCAAAGCCCCTTATTACTAAAACTTTAAAAAATAGTAAAATAATCTAACAGAATAGAGTGAATTTCTAAGCTAAATCACAAAGCTTCCAATTAAAAATGGTTTTGCTTAAAACTTGCTTGGGGAAACACCCCTAGACCCAAGGAGTCCTTGTTCCCTCCCCTCCTCTATTTGTATTATTACTTTGTTGAAAAATTTGGACTAGTCTGCTCAGTAAATATGTGTGAGCAGGTATTTGACCTGAACCATGGATGATTGATCTTCATATTTCAAGATGAATCTGTTCAAGGGGTCTATTAACTTTACGTCACATTAGAGAGAAATGGTACAGCCTTCTTTTGAGCTGTAAACTTATTAACATAGCATAGCGGACCCCTACAAACCACAGTAGCGGAAGGGTGACTGCCTCCTTCCCCATCTCCTCACCATGACAATTATGCTCTAATTCACATTATATGTGTTTCTTTGATTAAAAAACAAAACACATTTTATTCTCTAGCATTTTTCATTTAACAAGTTAGAAAAAGAAAGGCAAAAAAAAAAAAATCATCCTTGTGCCCTACCTCTCTAAATCGTATCTTCATTCATGACTATCATGGGAAAGGGTTTTGAAAACCAGAAAGCACTAAACAAACGTAAGGCCTCATGTTATTAGACAATGAGGGGGTCATTTAGTGCACTAGAGTGCCGTGGAGTTGCCCTGGTCAGTGTCTGAATTATTTTGTTTATATCCACAGCAATGCTGCTATACTTAAACAGAGAAGTGCATGGCAACTTTGAAATATTTTGAACTTGTTGATCTTGAACCTCTCTTTAGAAAATAAATGAGGGTCCAAAATTCCTCATGGGCCCAAAGGACATTTATAGATAGAAAATCTTTGTCAGGGTGAGGCCAAACTGGCTACAGAATTTGTCTAATTACTAAGACAGAGGGACCTCAAGCCCTTGAAAAGATTCTAGGTACAGTCATAGCATGCACATGCATTCACCTTTAATTATTCATATTTTTCTTGCTAAAACTTTGAAAATGTTATTTTACTTTTCCACTGTATTCTCTGTTAACTGTTGACCTAATCTGGTAAGAAATATCTAGAGGATGGTCATAGAATACAAAACCAAGCAAAGCAGGTTTATATTCCATGGTAAGATGGGATATGTGCAGACTCCAGGGAAAGAAGAGGCTTTGTAAAATTTATTTCAATATATGAGTATGTGGGCACTAGCTGAGGAACTTTTTGATTCATTCATAAAATGAGTTATGATATTATCACTGTCATCTGACACATCTCAGAACTTTAGTCTTCCTACTGCAACTGTGTATTCCATTCACCTATCCAAGATGACTCTTACAGAGTGATCTAAGCTCCCTTAAAAATGCATTCAATGTCAATGCAAACTGATAATATTCATCCCAATTTCATTGTTCCCAGGGGAAGTCCCCTCCAAAAAGACAATTCCACAGCCCATTACTATTCAGGGAGCAGGGCTAATGTTTTTCCTCACTCTTTCTGTCCCCAAGCTTCATGTGCATGCACATGAGAAAAAGACATCCAACACAAGAGAGTGACAAGCCAAAAGGTCAAGGATCAGCATAGTGATATGATAGTGTGTTTTATAATATTTGCTTGATTAAGTGAGCTTCACAAAATACATAAGGAGGTTTATACTTACCACTTAGGACACAGTAATCAAATTAACAGAACACTGTGAAACCCATTCTCAATTTCTTGTTCTAATAGGAGCAAATAATGACACGTAAAATTTTGTAAAACACATATATGTTTGAGGTACTTCACAAACATGTATATTTAATGGGATTTTTTTTACCCCAGATATTTAATTTTTAATAACCCAGGAGTTATTATTAAAACTACTTGGAATTCTTCTAATTCTTCTACTACATTCTATTTTGGCAGTGGTAGAAAGTAGCCCCATAACATGCTGGAGAGAAGGGTACACCCATTTGGGTTGAAAAAAATCCACCATAGTTAATCCTCAAAAGTGAAATTTTTGCATCCTATAATCAGGAGTTGCTGGGCATTTGATTAAATACCCCAGGCATTTCATCCCCAACCTACTTTCATTTCTCCCCCCAACTGGCAAACAAGAGAAATTAGACCGAGAACCTGAAGAAACAAAGTGTATACTTTAATACAGAAATGCTTTTACCTGCCATCCTGCTGTGAATGAAATGGGCTGGGCTTTCAAAATGTTAGTCAGCTTAAATCCCAGTTGGTGGCACTGGGAAAATGTAGCCACGCAGTCTTATTGCTGTTTCTGTTCTTTAACTGCCAACTGGAATACAATAGAGGTTTCAAATGGAAACAAAAGAGAGATGGATCCAGAAAGAACCAGAAGGACGACAACAAAGCAAGTCAAGAAAATGCTAAGGAGCCAAAGACACTGTGCTCCCCAAAGTTGTCATCCCAGACCTTCTTCACATTGAAGATAATTATGCTTCCCTTAATTGCCACTTCCCCTCAGACAGTCATGATATTTACAAATCACGAATTATCTAGTAGATGCTTATCTTTGCGACATTTTAGGAAAATCATAAGCTATACTTAACCCAAAGAGAGAATGGCTGTATCACGTTGCTCAGACATGGATAATATATATTTTATATATTATGAGGGATTTTAGTATAGTATACAGGGTAGCAGTGTTGAACACACTAATATTTTTGGACTTGAAGACAGTGCCTCCATTCTGATGGATTACAGTATATATAGCATACATAGAAGGCTAGATATTTTAGTATCCTCATATTGCATCAACAGGTACCTGGAATTTTACTTATGTTCAGCTTCTCCATCATCTCGCCATTGCTTTTTTACTTTTTTTCTTGTCATGCAGACATTATATTATTACAATAGTAGACACAATCGCCACTTATCTCACAATCCTCATGTCCTCTTTTAACTTCAGAATGTGTCAAAGTATATATGCCATTGTCTTTGGTTTGTGCACATTTAAGAATTCACACATCAAAAGTCAAATTTTGTCCAGGGTTATAGAATAGCATGCCTTTCCCAGCGGCTCCCCCCCCATAAGAATAATGATGTACATAATTTATATTTTAATTTAAATATGCTGTATGGTGTACTGAGTTATATTTTTCTAAGCTGCAAAGGATGAAAAAAACAGTAAAAATAATGTGACTTACACATAAACAAAAGATATTCAGTAGCCCGGCTTTTAGGTCACAGTTTAAATAATTGTATATGAAGCTTTATATGATAGATTTCTACATCAAATGGATAAATGAAAACTTTCCTGGGGCTAGGATAGTCATAAGTAAAATCGTATGAAATCACATCTTACGAGACATGATAAAATCTTACCTTATCAGATGTGACATCCAAAATGTTGCATTTTCCCTGTGATTTTATTAATAATGCAGAAGCATCCTTCTAATAGACAATATCTTTTATAGAACATTGTCTTTGGTAATAATCGGAGTTAGAGTATTAACTAGGTGATCCAAAGTTAGAGCATAAATTGTAAACAACCGTGGTGGTTTCAGCCAGTCTGAAAGTTCAGAATAAGAAAAAAAAGTAAGAATTTTTGACTGGCCAGCAAAAAGTAATAATCTAAAAAAAAATACTGAGGTTTTTATATTACTGTGAATGTGCAGGAATTTTATATTTTAACTGTCTTTTAATGTCATTTTATTTATAGCGATGTGGTCTCTGTTACCCAGGCTGGAGTACAGTGGCACAATCATAGCTCACTGCAGCCTCAAATTCCTGGGCTCAAGGGGTCCTCCCACCTCAGCCTCCCAAGTAGCTGGGTTTACAGGTGTGAGTCACTGCACCCGGATTAATTTTCTTATAATCCATTTTTGATCCCACAAATTACTAAAACTCAAATTATATCTATCCCCAGACAAAGCAAGATGGTAATTTGTCAATTTTCTACTTTGAGGCCTAAATTATTTTCCTTAATCCTCTACTCTGCTCAAATTCATTATAAAAATTAACAATTTACCATCTCACTTCACATGAAGAAGATAATATTATAGAATGTGGATCCTAGGATAGAACAACCAAATGCTACCTGGGGACAGATGAACATGCATGTATGCGTAACTTGAATTGTTCCAATTATTCTTTTGCTTATAAAACAATTTCTGTATGAGCTCCAGAAGCCACTTTGAAGGAACATCCATTAGCATACAACATTTTCTACTTCTGGAAGCCAATTCACAATAAATCTCTTACCTTATAGAGAGACAGAACAGCACAGGGCTCTAACAGGATGAGTGATGCATAAAATGGTCTTCAGCTGACTTCCCATGGGATTTATATTTCCAAACCTAGGAACACCATCTGCCTGCACGGATGGAATGCTAAGTAATGCAGTCAAACAATCAGTATGTTATGTATAGTTTTTTAGCTTTAAGAAATCTAGAAAAAACTGTAAAATATGTAAACAAACAAGTTTGTGTCTAAAAATTATAGCACAAATTAGCTGGAAAAATACATAGCTTAAATAAGGAAGGTTAGTGATGGGCTCATATTTGTAAGTGTGATTGTGATTATGTAGATAATATGCTTTTTCTTGGAAACTGACGGGTTGCTGCATTCTTGGTTATAGGTTTAAGAGAGAGACTCTTTTATATCGTATAATGCAAGTATTCCACGTGGAAATCACAGGATCTGAATTACAGATAAAATGTCAGTCAAGGAGTCCATTTTTGGTGGTTTATTTTTCAAAAGTACCCAAGAGAATAAAGAAAAGAATCTAAGAAAATAAATAAGAGAAATGTATATGTTGAAATTCTACTTACATTTTCTCATTTATTTGTTTGAAAAAAGTATCACTAATTCTTTTACAGTACAGTTTCAAATCAGACTTATTTCCTGTCTAAACTTAGCCTCTGTTAATTGTGTCATATTTCTGCAGGCATGGGAAAGGAAATCAATGCCCCTACTCACCTTTGGAAGAATTTCACTACCAAGTCTCCGTGGTTCTATGGGATCCAATAATCCTTGGCTCAGTATTGATTTTTGTATGACACCTGTAGAAACAGTCTCTCCTTCCTTTCTAACAAAATATAGCAACAAAAATCGTGTAGTTTCTGAATGAATTAAGCATACGTTATTAAGCACAACCTCATCCTGTAAAGCAATGTGGTTTGTATTTTTTTAAAGATGTTAACTTTGCTTGATTTTTTCTGAGCCATTACTACTGTTTAAAGGTGATGTGAACATCTATTTGTAAAAATAATTTGAACATAACTTTCTTAGGTTTCTGGCAGCTAACTCTTATATTGCAAATAGCATTTATTCTTCTAAGAAAACAGACAAATGGTAAAGCCTATCTGAGTTCAATTTCCAATTTTAAAATATCTCCAAAATCAAAATCTTTTTGAAAATAAAAATATACAATCATGCTTTTAAAATCTAAAGCTTTGATGAGATAGAGGACCTTCAAGGGAGTAAACTGGGTATATCAAATCCTAGGAGAGAGAATGGGTTAAATTTGGGGTGCATTTTATAGCATTAAAAGAGTTGGAAAAACAGGCAAGAAGCATCAGCCTTTCTACTTTTCTTGACAAACACAAATGCAAAAACAAAAACAAAACAAGTCATGTTTCCAATATTCTTTACACACCTGATTTAAACCTCAAAGGTATTTGTTTCACCCTAAGCAGACTTCTTTGGGCATGTCTGATTATATTTCCCCGCAGCCATTCTGTGCTGAGTGGAGTAACTACAGTTGGCAACCTATTCCATCACTCACTCCATCATCCTGAGAATCTGCAAAATAAAAATGTAGCGTTAAAAAAAAAACAACAAGCAAACAAATAAACAAAAAAACTTTATTTTACATTTGCTTTTCCTAGTAAAATCCTAGAAAAGAAAATGCAGAGCAGCGTGTTTCCCACAATATATGTGACATCTTGGTTAAAAGTGACAGGACCATGTTACACTCTGGCAGGTTTAGTGTTAAGATCTGACAGATATAAACCTGCACGAACAACCTCCCTGTCACAGATATTTAAGCTCATGTAAAAACTTTGATTTGATAGTCCCTTGATTAGCTTTTGCAACAGTGAGTGCTACTGCCTTTCAAGTTCATTATAAATTACTGAATTCTTCACAGTACTGTCAATTTAAGCTCTTGTTTCACTAAAAGGCAGGCATCTTAACCACTCATCAAACCTGTGCACATTTTTGAATTAAGGAATTAGATCAATCCAAACTCCAGTTCTCAAGGGAGAAGTTCCATTGTTTATCAGGCCATGTCTACACTGGCTGAGCAAAGCGCTCTGTTCAGAAGGAGAAGCGCCTTTGGCAGCTAGAGTCCACATAGCTGACCCATGGACGCTCGGGTGGAGTTTCTTCACCTAATTACACAGTGCAATGAAATTACTGAACATTTGATGAAAATGACCCATGACGACAAAAAAGCCATGACACGATTGTTGTTCTAATCTATTGACATGGTAGTCATTTATAATGTAATTCAAAGAATCTATAAGAATGAGAAGATGCTTACACTTACAGCAGATGATGCATATGGGTATCGAAATACTTGATAACTCAACATTTGGTATTGCCCAAGTCATTCTTCCTAAACAAGACAATGGTGGCACAATTTTAAAATGCAATACCTCTTCCCAACTGGTCCAGGTTAAGCTCGCAATGCTAATCTTATATTAATAGAGAAATCCACAGAGTTTAAATAATTAAAAAGATGATTGTGATCACACACACACACAAACGGGTTAAAAGGTAATCAACATTTTGGAGGAAATATTTACATTTTTCTGACTTGTTTAGTTAAGATTTAGTAACATCCATGGGTGCATTCGATTCTGGTGACAGTACCGTGCCCTCGACTCATCTGGAATGTTTTAGATAAAAAGTGGTTTAGCAGAAATGTTCTACTAACAGCCATGAAATTATAGACTTTCCCTTCCATCCATTCAAACACACTCCACCCTGTGAAATAATAGAAACGACACTAATCACCTTTGGAATTTTGCCAGCCTTCCCCATAGGTGAGCTGCAGAGTTCGACCAAATTGCTTTGGAGGAATAAAACCTGTCTTACCCCTGTGAATGCTCTCAGAGGGCTTCAGAGTGCATGCATTTCGATTCATCGAAGAAAGCAGAAGCAAAGGTTTAACTGTGTGGGAATCTATCAGAACTGTTATCTATGACATACACTTACTTCTATCAACATCACCCCAAAATAAATTAATTAGGTCAAACTCAAACCCATTTTCCCTAATCACTTGGACTTTGCAAATGGGAGTAGCTCATTGTTTTTCTTTTTTTGCCAATCCCAACTTAAGATTTTCAAGATAAGTGTTCAGTCACTCTGTTGCAGTTTGATAGTTGTGCAATTTATACATCAAATCCCCTTTCGCTGGGTGCAAACTTCCAACTTCAGATGGAGTCATGACAACATCTGGCTGATTAGTTTTTTAAATTACCATTCAAATTATAAAACAAAAGAAATCTAGTTGCTCTAATTGCCTTGTTTAGAAAAGTTCATCCAAGATAAGTTGAATTTTGTATCTTCTTTTTCTATATGAAAGCCCTGAGAATGTCTAAATATAAATATAAAATTGTTGCCAAACATATTTTAGTGACATGAAGATAATGATGACGGCGGTGGAGGTGGTGGTGATGATAATGAAATAGCAAACATCCTTATGATACTTGACTATGTGCCAGGCACTGTCCTAAATGCTTTGTGTATAGAAACTCATTTAATCCCCCAACAACCCTGTAAGATAGATGCTATTAGCCCAATTTAACAGATGACGAAACAGGATTACAGAGACAGCAAGTAACTTGCCCTGGATCCCATAGTTAGTAAATGGTAGAGATGGATTTGAATCTGTGCAGTCTGGCGCCAGTGTCTGTTTTCTCTTAGATGGTGCCGTGCTTGGCCTAGCCACAGTGTTGAAACTGGCATATCATTATGCATAGAGATTTAAATTAAAAAGTGGTGTTTTTACATTGGCTCTTTCCTTCCTATATGAGTGGAATTAACATGCCTGGAACTAGAGCTTTACTCTGTAAACTACTCTGTCCGTCCGCCAGGCTCATTCTTCTATTTCTCACTCATTCTTCTAAATCTCATTCAGGATTTCCTTTACACCTTTCAAAACTTACATTTTAAGATGTTTGTAAATGTGAAAACTATCACATAAGAAAGGAACTGTAAGAATAAAAATGATTAAATTGGGCCTAGGAATAGAGCATGTACCTAAATGTAACCTCATGGGATCAGGCCTACTGAGGTCAAATCCTGATGCTACCTATTCCAAGTTAGACAAGTTGTTTTATTTCCTTATGACTTAGTTCCACTGTCTATAAAATGGGAATGAAAATAGTACTACAGTTTAGGATTGTGAAGATTAAATAAATTAATCCATATAAAATGCTTACCCCAGTGCATGACACATATCAAGCATTTGATAAATATGAACTATTGTTATTATTATATTTAGTTTATATAGACTAGCCTTCAGCTGCAACTAAGCATTAACAATTAAAATTTGTCATTGTAGTGTGAAAGTATTAACACATATTTAAGAAAAATTGGTTCTTCTCACAGGAAATCCTTTCAGCACAGGGACAATTTGGATTTAAAAATTCACTGAGACATATTTTCACAAGTAATTTTATTCCCCCTATTTTTGAGAAAATAGACAAATTACAGATTGTGACAGAACCACCTAAAAAGTCATCAGAGTTTACGATGTTATCACCTAACAAGCTAAAAGTAGCCTTTTTTTTTTTTCTTTTTTTCTTGAGACAGGGACTCTCTATGTCATCCAGGCTGGAGTGCAGTGGCACGATCACAGCTCACTGCAGCCTTAATCTCCTGGGCTCAAGTGATCCTCCTGCCTCAGCCTCCCAAGCAGCTGGGACTACAGGTGCACGACACCATGCCTGACTAATTTTTTGTATTTTTAGTAGAGATGAGGTCTCGCTATGTTGCCCAGGCTGCTCTCAAACTCCTGAGCTCAAGCGATCTTCCCACCTCAGCTTCCCAAAGTGCCGGGATTACAGGTGTGAGCCATTGTGCCTGGCCTAAAAGTAGCTTTTCCTATACAGCAAGGTTTTAAATAACATAAAAGTATTGCTTGCTTAATTGTTTTTATATCATAATTCATATTTCTAAACAGAGTTACTTAAGTCAAATTGACCTCGATGGCAGTGATGCAATTTTAACAATTGTGCAATTAAACATCAGTAAAATTGTCCATATCTTCAGCTTGTCCATTTTTTATGCATACTTCTCAATAATCTGAGTGCTTATAGGCTTATGTTTAAGTCCCAACTCTTTGAGGCCATATGGGTGAGTTAGAAATGGCTATTCTGGAGCATAAAATAGAAATTTCCATCCCAAAGAAAGTGTAATGCAAGGACTAGGAGAAAATTAATTACTGAGTGCTCACTTGTATGGAGCTACTGGGTAAGTGCTATACAAAGAAAACGGAACGGATTGAAACCTTTTTGCTTCAGTTCTAAAATGGACACCTTCACCAGAGACAGCGTGAAAACCCCAGAGGCCCAGAAGCTATTCTAGGTAAATCTCACACTTTCACCTGGATATTCCCAGGATGCACCGAACTGCCTTTTTTCCAGTTGGGCCACCACGCAACTTGAGAGCCGCTTGCTGGTCCCCAAGGAGCTAGCAGTGAAGAGAGACACTTTTGCCTCATTTCCCAGTACCTCAGAGACCAGATATTCTTTGGCAATCCTCAAAGAAAGAAAGTCTTGATGTATATAGGTAGTGCCTTGGTCAAGAATTAAAGTTTTGAATAAAGGGGTTGGTGTGTAGCCTCATCTGGGACAAAGAGAGTAGACTGAAAACAAGGCACGATCAATGTGTCTCAATGTGAATCCCAACTGCACCCACCTAGGTTCCTCGCTGCAACCTCCACCTCCCAGGTTCAAGCAATTCTTCTGCCTCAGCCTTCTGAGTAGCTGGGATCACAGGCATGCACCACCAGCTAATTTTTGTATTTTTAGTAGAGACAGGGTTTCGCCATGTTGGCCAGGCTGATCTCGAACTCCTGACCTCAGGTGATCCACCCGCTTCAGCCTCCCAAAGCGCTGGATTACATGTGTGACCCACTGTGCCTGGCCAGAAAACCTTCATCCTGAAATGGGATAGCTATCATCAGTCTCCAGGTCTCTAGATGGGGATGGCATGTCCCAGAGACAGCCTTCTGCCGAAAGTCTCACAGAGTGAGCAGCAGTTTTAGAATTAGAATCCGTGGGGGTAGAAGGAGACGGTTGAAGTGTTAGAGAAGAAATAAATTCTTCATAGCAATTAACTGATTAGGAGGAAAATGGAAACACAAGGAAAGACACAAATGACTTCTACTGGCAAGAGACGTCAGCAACCTCAACCGTGAATTACTGGCACAGACAACCGGGGGATGTGAAGAACAAAGACTGCGAGGAGCTAAACATGGCAACCTGGTTTCATTGGAGAGGATGAGGCTTCCCTAGCCAAGGGAATGGACTCATGCAGTAACTATGTGGGGAAGTTATCTGATGTTCAGACTTTCTATCTGAGAGCATCTTTAAGTTACTTAAGCACAGTGTCAGTCACAGCGTTATCTCCAGTATCTTCAACAAACATTATTAGCTGCAGCTGTTACTACTGCTACTCCATACCCCACTCTCTCCACCCCAGCTGCTTGAGGTCCATCAAACGTGCTTTTCAGATTTTCTGAACAAATTACAAAATTCCTATTTTCTTGTGGCAGTTTCATTTTTCTTATTGTTGCATGTTTAGGTCTCTTTTAAAGACATTTAGATCTTTTAACTTAAGTTTTGGAAAGGATACTCCTTATTTCATATCATATACGAAGTCTAACAAATAATCTCCAAATATCAAATGGAAAGTTTAAAAAAGCTCACATCTACCCAGTGTCTCTCATTGGCTACTCCATAGACCTGCTGTCATTTCTCATTATCCTTTTTTTATGATTCCACACACAAATCCAACCCAGGTGATTTGGTTCTTAAAGAAATGAATGTGAATTAATTCTGATGATCATAAATTTTAATGAGACAACACTTCAGATGCTCTCAGATGTTCCAAATGCAAAACTTATCTTTTCTGTGGTGAAACTGGAAATTCTTTTCTTAGGAAACCTTGATTGTTTCACCCCTGCTATTTTTTACATAATGAAACAATTTGCATATCAGCAAGGTCAGAGGGGACGGAACTGGAATCTCAGGCTCCGCATCTCCCTGCTGCTCCCAATGCCAATGCTACACATTTCTCATTCCCTTTTGTTCATAAGTTTTATAATTTCACACAATTACAAGTCGTATAGCATGACATCAAGCTTGATCTTGTCATTTTGCTTGATTGTGCAAAATTACAGTCGTTCCAGAATGTTGACAGAATTCCTTTCAATATTTTCTCTGTTCGTTTATTAAATGGCAATGTCATACTTAAAGAATGATCATTTCTGGGACCACTCATTCAAATCTTTAAAGACTGACATCCCATTAAAAATTCGTTTCTCCCAATCACCCTCTATTCTCTCTGTCCCCAGTACACTCAACATGTCAGAAATAATTATAAGTGGCTTAATATATACAGAAGCCATTTCTATTTAATATTCCAGAATGAATGAATGTAGTATTGCTTTGTTATCAGCTTTATTCTGGTTCGAAATTTACATTCAGTATCAGTAATATCTCATGAAAAAGTTGAAACCTGCTCTAATGTTTCCAATTTCTCTAGATCAGCCCTACTTTCAGACATCGTTTGTTTCTTACAAATAATTATTTAATATTAATGGCAAAGGTCTGTCTTCCTCAAAGATGGCCCTCACCTGCTTTTGCTGCTTTTCATAGGAGCATGTTCAAGGTAGCCATGTCACTTATTCACATTAGGGCAGCTTGTTTAAAAACAGATTTCTGATTAGAATTTTTTTAAAAAGCCAGAGGTGATTATCAAGCCCATTCAGAGTTCTCTCTTATTTCACATTGCCTCTTTAGAGTGGGCACTGCCTGTTCTTTTTATCAGACAAAGGCGGAAAACTTGTTTTGTATCCAAGGTAAATGGAGAATGTCTATACCTGTATTTTTTTTCAAAGCTTACCATTCTTACCTATGGTAAAAGACTATTACAAAGGGTCCTACTCTATCATGGTCTTGCTAGTATTGTAGAATAAATAAAGCAGTCTCTACAAAAGGATGCATTCTGCGTACCTATCTCCAAGTTGATGGAATGCAATGTATTATGGGAAACATTATCCCTTTGCACAGATAATCAGGATTACAAGCTTTCTGGATCTCTGACTTGTTGGCTGATATTACCTGCTTGGACAAGCTCTAAAAAGACACACTGCCAGGTGGGCCTACATGTGGAGAGGCCCAAGGCTTGCTGAAATGCCCTGATGTAAATGCTGAGAGACTAGTTTCCAAGATGGCTGCGCCTTGATGGAAAAAGTTCTTGACTTGGACAGATGGAACTGTGTCTCCTCTTTGCCACTTATTAGCTATGTGGCTTTGAGCAAACCGTTTATGCTTCCTGAGGCTTATTTTATAAAATGCTGGTAATAATGCCTTTGGGGGCTCATATAATAAATAAAATAATGTATGTGACAATGTCGGCTCATAACAAATTATCAGGCAGATGCTTGGCATTATTTTTCTTAAGTAATTACCTAAAGCTAACAAGCAAGTCAGTCAAGATCATGGATATCAAACAGAAATCTAGAGGAAATCTGTGTATAACATAACCACATTTGCTTAACACTAGGAATAGGAATTTCTTCTAATGAAATATTACCATGAGTAAAATTTAATCTTATGTATCTATCATATGTACAGGTAACCAATTTTCAGTGAGTGGAAATGCAGTAAAATACTCAAAAACTGCATATAGAGTAGACATAAATTAATACTTTTTAATAATTCAGGAGGCATTTCATTGTCTTATTGTACCTAAGGGTCATAATTATGATTATCAGTGGCTAATTTACTAGAGAAATGGATGGAATGCAAATGACTCTATGGTATAACTGAGAATAAATCTTTGGAATTAATCCATGCTATCCATTTTTAATAGTCACAGGTCTCTATTTCAAAAATGCAGCATGACTTCAATCATTCTAAGTTATCTGACCAGAGCTTTTTGATGATTTGTATTCTCCTAAGGGGATGTTAACCTCAGCACAAATTTCCACATTCTAACATATCACCAAGCATGTTGCCCAAACATAATGCCTTGTGGGTAGTGTTCAAGGCTGGGAAGTCTTCTACGTGTCTGACCCTGATGCACCAGGTGTGGAAAGAGCAGCAAGAAATAACTGCAGAAAGGGGAAGTAGAGAGGAAATAATAAGCTCTGTGCTGACTAATTGATGAGACTGTCAAAAAGATGAAAGGAATTAAAAGCTAAGGAAGACTCTGTAAATTATATGGCACTAGAGAAGTCTAAGGTATTATTATAATTATTGTTATTAATAGTCTTAGTTTACAATGGAAGAGTTATATATAGCTTGAAAGAGAAGAGCTCTTTTTCAAATGATGTTACATTTATTCCTTCATCATCCAATTCTTGCTCTCTCAGCTTATTTCTCAGCCAACATGAGTGACATGTATAGTCTATCCTTGTTTTCTTCTGTTTTTATCATAGTTTGACACAGTTGAAATAGATGGGAAGATCTTGCAGAGAATAAGGCTGCAAGCAAATTCTGAAATTTTAAAAATAGCTGTCTCTGAATAGTAAAAGGGTTTCGGCACATAGGAAGCTAAAGATGCTGTTGTTAATATGACTAAAAGCATGTAGCAATTATTGTAGGATGGTAGAATATTCTAAAAGCTCAGCATCTGCACACTATATCTGTTAGGATGCCATTGTCACAAAAGACAGATACATGTCAGAATGGTATCCACTTCTGAGCTTGGCCATCTGAACTGTCTACTTGAAATAAATAAATCTGCATATGTGAGTGTGCGTGCATGTGCAGGCATAGCTCTTATGGTTGTATTGCTATAGACACACACATTTATACAAAAATATATCACTGTAAGAACTGAGGACATATTTGACAGAGGGCTATAAAACTCTACAACGCCATCAACAATCATTCATAAATCACTTAAAAGTAGAACTAGATTAATAAAGGTAAATATTCATTTCCCCACCACAAGAAGAAGAGCTGTTTCCATCTCCTTAATTAACTAATACAAGTATCTTCAGAATATTAGCAAAGCACAGTCCATAGTGCTTAAAGAAGAAAGAAAGAAAAGTATAAAATGGTTATATAAAGGGCAGTACAGTAATAAATAGAATGAAGGAGGTTTACATTGGCTAGCATGGAATGATACATTACATACATTAGGTCGAAAAGCAATTTGTAGAACGTTAAGTATAATATTGTCCCACTTGGGCTTTACATACACACATAGACAAGTGTACTTACAGAAAAAAGTGTGAAATGACAAGAATCAATTAATACTTCTGGGAAAAGAAGTAGAATTGGGGAGGGAGGAGGTACAGCTCCTTTTCACTATTTAAATTTCAATATAGCTATTATTTTTACAAGTATTTTTTAAAGAAACAAAGGAGATATAAGTCATAACACCTCCACATAGAGAACACTGAGTGTAATTACAAGTTTTTTAAATCATCGAGCCTACCAATTTCTGTTGGTCACATTGTTCTGTAAAATGAACATTTTTAAATGGAGGGACATAGCCATCTTTTCTGGCTTACGGCCACTTACCCTTCACAAGTACTTCCAAAGCTTCATCCAGAACATTATGCCCATGTTAACCTCAAGTCTGAAGAATAGAAAATACTAGTAAATCCATCTTGCTGTCAGCCCACATTTACCACAAAAAGAATGTTCCTTCTTGTTTTTAACTGAACAGATTTAAAGCACTAGAAATAAAAATCGTACCCTACTTTTAAAAAACCTATCTATACATGCTTACCACAAAAACCTCTATGAGTAGCTGTTTCAGAGCATGGGCTTAAGCGAAAGCACATCCCACTTTCACCATCATCAACAGCGTGGTTCTTTAGCCCTTTATTAGTGCAACTAATATGGGAACCTTTGAAATAACAGAGCACAAAGGGCCAAGAAACTAAAAATTCGGGTCTGATATTTTGTCTACAATATTATCAAACTGACAATAGCATACAGTGGCCTAGTCATTCATTCATTCATTTGAAAATATGACTGTCCCGTGAGCCGTGCACCTGGTCATGGTGAAAGTGTGAGACAAATTCTCAGCTATTTGCTCCCCTCAAGAAACTTACAGTTGTGTAAGCAGGAACTTCAAAAATAGAAAAAATCTTGGGTGGTGCTTGGCATGAGGGGCTTCTGGGTTCCTCTGCACTAATCACCCCCATAAACAAATAAATAAATAAATTTATTTAATAAATAAATAATATAAATTTATTTAATAAATAAATAATATAAATTTATTTAATAAATAAATAATATAAATTTATTTAATAAATAAATAATATAAATTTATTTAATAAATAAATAATATAAATTTATTTATTAAATAAATAATAAATAAATTAAATATTAAATAAATAAATTTATTAAATAAATAATAAATAAATTAAATATTAAATAAATTAAATAATAAATAAATTTTAAAATCTTAAAGAGTATCAATTTTTTCTAATCTTTGAGAAATTCCTGCATTTTTCTTTGATATAACCAACAATTTTACTCGTGACGGAAGTAAAGCATTAATATTTATTTCCATGATGTCGAAAATCAAAACAAAAAAAGTTACTAATGGAAGTAATGAGGAGTAATGGGAAGCTACATGGAGGGCTGGCAAACCATTACCAGTGGCCCAACCCAGGCTGCTGCCTGTTTGTGTCAATAAAGTTTTACTGGAACACAGTCACACTCTTCTCTTTAGGTATTGTCTCTGGCTGCTTTCGAGCTACCACAGAAGAGAAGAGTATTCATAATAGACCTCATATTCTCCACAAAAACTAAAATGCTCACTAAACTAGCTCAGTAAAAGTTTGCCAATCCCCAAGACGTTAATAAAAACTGGACAATGTACTTAAAAACTGGAATGTATTTTTTGTCTATTTTCCATTTTGATGTGTGCTTTTTGGAAACTTTGGTTTCCAAAGGGATTCCTTAAGGCATGTATGTTTGTTCCTTCTCTGATATTAGGAGGAACAAAAAGAGACAGTGAATAAACAGTGTTGTAAAACATAGGTTGAGGGAATTTAAATTAAAAATAGAATGGCTTTACAAACAATGTTTGTAAATCTGAACTTTGCCACTACATTCATGCTCGTGTTGGCCAAGGGCTGAAGTTTCGAGATGGATGTGGAAAGAGCAGCCTGAATCAAATGAGTAAGATCACAATGGGGCTTATTTAGCCAGTCTTGGAAATATTTATAATATCATGAGTACTGCCCAAATTTCTGAATGTCCCAACTTTATTCTAAAAAGAATCTGGCCAAAACATTTTTTTAAAATGCTTCAGCTAAATTTTCATAAAACACTTGCACGGATGGAACAATGAAGACTACTGCCAAAGATGCTGCAATTTAATTCTGCCTGGCACACCGGCCAGGCTTGTTTGGCATTTCATTAACAAAAAATAAACCTCACTCTTCTTCCTGAGAAAATAGCATGTGTAGTATTTTTGGGGACAGCAAAGCTCAGCATGCTATTTCTCGGTATGAAAAAAATATATCTGAAATGTGGATAAATAAAGCTTTTAAAAGCCTTTCTTTGGCATGGTAACTGGCCACCCTGGGAAATCCGTGTTCTTAGTATGTGACTGAATAAAGCTAACATAAAATAGACCTTTAAATGTTTAAAAAATCACAGAGAAACAAGGTAATAAAATAGTAAGAGGATTGTTCTGGAAACAGAAAACACATTCTTGTGACACTTTGACACTATGATGCTCCATGCAAGCCAATAACTTCATCTTCCTTAATTTTAGCCTCTTTTTGGAGTAAAATATACATAAAGTATGGATGTCATAAGAGAAGAGGACAGATACTTGTATCTGTGACTTGTTTGCTCTTCCTCAGAAGAAATGAAAGAAAAAAAATTAAAAGTTAAAAAATATATAAATGCATCCTTACATGAACAACTTCATGACTCAATTATCAGCAGTGGAACAGACAAAGATCGTTCCAGTTCTGTGCCAAATTCTTATTCAAGGAAGTCTGAATTTAGTTGAAGAAAATAAGTTGCTAACAGCTATCAATGAACTGTATAGCTCAGGTTAACATAAATTGGATACTGATATAATTAATGTAATGACTGGATTATGTACGGGGTATTGATAAGGCTAAGGATAGTTGGGATGGGGGTGGGGACAGGACACATAAGGGAAAGTTTCTTGGAGGAGGTGACACACTTGTGTTGACTGAAGAAAAAGTAGGAGTGGGCCAGGAAAGAAGAGTGAGAAGAGACTTAGAGGCAAAGTAGACAGTATGTGCAAAGAAATAATATGGTTCATGTGTAGAATTCCAAGCTGTTGCATGTAGCTGGAAAGCAAAGTGCAAGACAGGAAATTGTTAGAGATAAGACTAGAAAGAGGGAGGAAGCAGCAGATTTAAGGCTAGAATTTAGCTTGGGAATATTTTGTGCTTTATCTGGCAGAGTAGGGAAACACTAGAGGGTTTTAAGCTTGCACACAGCAGGTCTGCTTTGGGTTGCATGTTAGGTGGATCGCATGGTGACAAGGCTGATGGAAGAAAGGTCATTTGTATGGTGCAGATGTCCAAGCAAGAGATGAAACATCACAAGTAGCAGTAGTTCTGAACTACAACAGTGGTAGTGATCGTGAGCCTTGCAGATGGATTCACGAAACGTTTAGTGTGAAAAATTAGCAGTTCCCTAATCCCAGCACTTTGGAAGGCTGAGGCGGGCAGATCACGAGGTCAGAAGATTGAGACCATCCTAGCTAACACGGTGAAACCCCGTCTCTACTAAAAATACAAAAAAATTAGCCAGGCGTGGTGGTGGGCGCCTGTAGTCCCAGCTACTCGGGAGGCTGAGGCAAGAGAATGGCATGAACCCGCAGGCAGAGCTTGCAGTGAGCCGAGATCAGGCCACTGCACTCTAACCTGGGTGACAGAGCGAAACTCTGTCTCAAAAAAAAAGAAAAAAAAAGAAAAAAGAAAAGAAAAGAAAAGAAAAATTAGCAGTTCCTGGTACTGGGTTTGATATGGAAAACAAAAGTGGGCAAAAAAGAGCCAAAAGTGATTCTTGGGTTTCTAGTTTAGATGAATGAGTCGACAGCAGTGCCACAAAATGAGACAGAAAGCATAGAATGAGAAACTACGTTAAGGGGGATGATGATGAGGTTAGTTTGCACACGTTAGGTTGGAGGGTGCCTGTTGGACATGGCAAGCAGTTGGATATTTGAGTCTGAACTGCAGACAAGAGACTGGACTACAAATAAAATGTCTGAGTAGCTACAAACCATGATGGTGGATGAAAGTACTGAGGAAAAGTGTACAGGGCAAGAGCAACGGGCTGAGGATGAACCCAGGGGAAGAGGAAGAAGGGAAGTCCAGGAAGGAGGCAAAAAGACATAATTAGAAGACCACCCAGAGGGTATGGTACAGTGGAAGCCAGGGGAATGGGCAACTTTCAGAGGGAGGGAGCTATCAATGGGGTCAAATGCACAGAGAGATCTAGGAAATAATTTAAAAGCCCACTGGATTTAGCAATTCAGGAACTACTGGTTCATCAGTAGTAAGGTAGGAGCAGAAGCCAGATGCTGGGAATTGTAAAACAAAGTAAAGACTGGGCATTGTGGCTCACGCCTATAATCTCAGTACTTTGGGAGGCCAAGGCAGGAGGATAACTCGAGGCCAGGAGTTGTAGAATAGCCTGGGCAACATACAGAGACCCCCATCTCTACAAAAAAATTAATAAAATAAAAGAATTAGGCAGGTACAGTGGTGTGTGCACCTGTAGTCCTAGCTCCTTGGGAGGCTGAGGTGGGAAGATTGCTTGAGCCCAGGAGTTTGAGGCTGCAGCGGGCTATGACTGTGCCACTGCACTCCAGGCTGGGCAAGAGAGTGAGACCTTGTCTCAAAAAAAAAAAAAAAAAAAAAAAAGCAAAGACAAGGAAACACCCAAAGTACAGATACACCAAATTTTCAAGAGGTTTGAATGAGATGAGGAGAGCGATCAGAATAATAATGGAGAGGGACCAGGACAAGGGAGAGGGCATTTGGGACAAAAGAAACATGAGGATGGATGGATGCACTTGAGCCACGGAGCACTGGTGCCCGAGTGCCAACCCAGACCACAGCTCTACTAGAGGCTGCTCTGCTTCTCTTTTCCATTTGAGAAAATTTGGGAGCAATTTGCCCTGGTCCTAGGATGGCAGGCTCTACAGCAAGCAAAACATGGAATAAAATGGAGTCAGATGTATTGTTTTCTTGTTAAATCTCCTAAGGAAATCAGACAAAAGGCAATTTCTTAAATAATTAGTGTTCACTAAAAGTCTCTTTTTTAACTCCTATTTAAGCCCTGTCAGTCACTATCAGAGTGCTTACACTTTATTTATAATAATGCTTGTATGATAGGTGTATGGGCACACTATGAAACATCCAAACTGATACCTGATTTATTGGGGAATGCCAATTATACTCACTGGTGTTTGTCTACAGTTCAGAATCTCCTACACTGAGAAGGGACAGTACACCATAAGTTAAAGGAGGCTCATCTGGGTATAAATAGCTTTGAGACTTCCCTGGCTCTGTCACTACCTAGCTGTGTGACCTTAAACAAGTCCTTTTTCCAAGTTCAGCCTTCCTTACGACAATGAAATGAGATGCTTCCACTTCATGGTTTCCTCTACCAGAATTTTCAGTTAAGAGAAGACTACAGATAATCTGGTTATACTTTCTACGATGTAAGAAATTAAATCAAAATGTGTTTTATAGATACTGAAGCAAATATCGAGTAGTTCTCAGGTCATAAAATTATGGTGTACATCTTAGAAGAGAAATATCTACTGATAATTAGGAACGATAGCTATACAAAGAGCCTTCCATTTTCAAATGAAAAGCTCATTTGAATTACACAATATTTTCCTTCCCTTTCAAAGCCCAATACCAAGTGTTTGATGACAAATCAAAGCAGAATTGTTCCAGCCTTAGTACATATGCCACTGTCTCCAAAAGCAAAGACAGAAAGACAATTTCTGGAGACAAATAATTCATTTCTGTTTCTGCTCTATTCACTTAGAAGGATATAACCACAGCTGAGATTCAACCTGACATTCAGTCATACCAAGTCTAC
Organism: Homo sapiens; assembly: GCF_000001405.40. Lineage (NCBI taxonomy): Eukaryota > Metazoa > Chordata > Mammalia > Primates > Hominidae > Homo > Homo sapiens. The sequence goes on along the minus strand of NC_000012.12, from coordinate 97,477,941 downwards.
GGATTTCTTTACCACACAGATTGCAATTTCTCTCTGCCGTGTCTCCCTAGACAATGCTGAATAAAATGACCTCAAAGAACTGGCAGAGGGGAACTACACAATTAAAAAGTGCTTTTAGCTTTATATAAAGTTAAGCAACACATACTTGTGATCCTGAAGATAAAATGGAATAAATCACAGTGCAAAGAAATAACCTTATCCTTTCTCTTCCTCATTGCAGAGACAGAGGAAAAACCATGCATTAAGTATGTTTGTTCCCTTAAAGGTTTGCTGGGATCCTGCGTATTCTTACTCAGTCCTGCTCTATGAGTAGCTTTTCTATCACAGAAGCAAAACCTATGACCAGTTTTTAATTTTTTTCTATCCTTTAATGTTTCTGAATCCTCCTCTCTGTAGTGTTAAATTGTGCTGATGTTGTTGTTATTTTGTTTTATATAATTTTTTACAACTATTAAATTTATCCCCCTTTTTGGTTTTCACATCATAGCTATAGTTTCAGTCCTGGATCTGTTGCACTGTCACCTGGATTATTGTGGCCTTTCTTATCTGGTCTTTTGATTTCTGAAAATTAAGATTCTTCATCTGCCTTTCCATGGCTCCAAGTCTTCATGAAAAAGCCTATTATCAATGCTCAGCAGGATTGCTAGGTTTGCTTCCACTGCTTATCCATGGACCTCACCACATCTACTTCCTCCTTAGGTTTCCACGTTGATATTTTATATTGCTGGCTTTCCTAACTTCAAAGCGCATGTGGGCACCTGACTCTGCCCCATGCACTATGTCTCTTAACCCTCGTTAGTCTGCCATATTCTTCTCAGTCAAGTCACCTCCGTACCCTCATCATCTAACCATTCCTATTTTATTTCTAAACCTTCCCCTAAAGTCTTTCCTAAGTCTTTAAATCACTTAATCTTCCACCTTCCTTTCCTCAGTAATGCCTGGCTCTAGAATTCTATAAGAAGCCCATCTTTGCTAGCAACCTCTGGAAAGCAAATATCCCTTAGTTGCAATTTCTGAAGTACACACCATTCTTTCCTCCATTCCTTTCTTAATATCCCAAATTACCCTATGATTTGAATATTTTATGTCTTTATGACTTTAGTAGTATTTTCTAATTCCAAATTTATTATATCTATATCTCTTTTTTTAGATCTTCAACCCCTCAAGTGCAGGTATTATATAGCTATAAATCAGCCTTTTGGAGTACTGTCCAGACACCATTTTGAAAATGCAGAAATTTTAATGGTGATAATAAAATAGAAAGTATTATGCAAATTTGCCTATTCTTCCATGAGGACATGAATGAACAAATCATTTTGGAAACCACATAGCTCGGCTCTATCAGCTCCCCAGTGGGCCTTGATAGCACTAAGCCTATTTCTTACCTTGCTCTCTGTCCTGTGGAGCTAATCCAACCATAGACTTGCCTTTGAAGTCCACTGGAACATCATGCATGGGTGAGCTCCAGAGAGCACACAAAAGCAAGAGAAGAAAACTGACATGTTATTCTTAACCAGAGGGACTGTGCTATTTCCGAGTTTCTATACACACTTGGGCATCCCACAGACTTCAAGAGCCTGCAGATGAAGCAGGAGAAGAAGCTGAAGTTATCAGTGTCCTGCAAATGGGCAGCAGATGAAGCCACAGTAGAATGAAACTTTTAAATTCCCAGTAAATCATTCTCTTTTTTTTATTCTTTATCAAGAGTCATATAATCACAAATATAAAATTCTTTTAGGCTATAAAATGACTCCCTGAGAATGTCAAGCTCTTCTGCAAATGGCATCCACTCTTCATCTAAGGTATAAAAATTGCCTTATAGACTAGCATTCAATTCCATGCAACAGACATTTATCCAGAATCTTTACTGAAAAGGAGTTGTGCTCATCAAGATGAGAGCACCATCAACATCTTCAAAAAGAAAAGCATAAAGCAGCTCTCATAGCATATAGTCCTCCACAGCCACTTAAAAGCACACTCTCAAACAACGTCAGTATGTGATGCAGCAACGTGGGTGAAATAGAAATTACAGCTTTAACACTGTAGTATTAATACTTTAGTATATCTCTAATATCATAACCAAGGGCTTAAACTAAATCGCATTTGGGAAACATATTTATTATGTATATATTTTTGAAACCTGCATGTCCTTTCCTAAAAACAAATTCTACTGGAATAAGATAATCAACAAGAGGACCCACTACTTAACAACTATGTGTGTTCTTGGGTGTTTTTTTCTTTTAACCTCTCTAAACCTCTGTATAGTAACCTGTAAAGTGTGAAGGATCATAATGTTTGCCTTTAGTCCATGTGAAAATGATGCCTGACATGTGGGAAATGGTAAAAAAAAAAAACAAAAAAAAAGATACTAAGGTGGGTATTATAATCGTTATTATAATCCTTATTTTACAGAGGAAGAAACTGTGTTTCAAACATACTAAGCAATTGGTCCATGGTCGTAGTAGGTCTGGAATTTTAATCTAATTTGGTTTGACTCCAAAGGCTGTACTCTTCCTACCACAGAGGTTGCTGCTTCTCTTACAGCCCCAAGGTGAGAAAGAAAAGGTGACATCAGCTGAGAAGATCTTCCAAATGCCATCAGACATAGATGCCTGTGTTCCAATCACCCTCTCTTGAAAGTGTATGCGCAAATACTAGAATATTAGACCTTCAAAAGCCTTCCAATGCCCTCAAATCACAGGGCACAAACTCCAAGGTAAAAATGGCTGAAACCATGACTGATCAATGTAGCCTAGAAAAGTAAACATGCACCTGAGAAGTAGAAACTCACTGATTACTGACAAGATATGGACAAGACAATCAATTTGTGCTGCTGGACACTGATTGATGTAGCACTGCAATTTAGATTTCACGTTTAAATATTTCAAGATGAAAGCTAAGAAGTTGTATTTGTTTTCGGAAGCAACATTACTCAAAATACTTTGGCTACTTTATTGGGGAAAAGACAGAAGGCAATGAGCAATTTATGTCAAAGTTAAATTATTATGAATGAGTACACTGGAGATGTACCAAAGAGGTGTATCGTCTCCTAATAGTAACAAAGTGAGTATGCCTACTCTCAAACATATTTACTTTAGAGACATGACACTAAAATTAAATTTGAAGAAGACATTGGACATTATGATCCAGCAAGTGAAAGTGAAACTGGGAATAGCTGAATCTGTAATTCAATAAAAACAATTTTTTTTCCACATATTTTCTTTCAACTCTTCTGATTTCTGAATTTAACCATATACTATATTTCCTCAATATATAATCCTTTGTCCTTCTCAAGGTTTTTTTTTTTTTTTTTTTTTGGCTTCTTTTTTCTTCAAATTGTGTGTGTCTTAATGTGTATTTTTAAAGGTAGGTCAGACATACTGTCTCTAAGTACCTAATGTTCAAGCTGTAAATCACCCAGAGGAAAATGAGGGTGGGGGAAAAGGGGAAGAAATTCCATTGAAGAATTTCTCAACCACATCTTTTACATTGCATGGAGTTCAAAGGTGTCCCCTGCAAATGGCTATCAAAATGAAATACAGCTCAGAGCAGACAGCAGTGAGAGGAGTTCCTTATTTGGGAGCACGAAAGGCATTCACAAGTCACAGGGAGAAGGTGTGCAGCACCTCTGCTATCATCATCTGTTTAGACAAGTGGATGGCGAACCTTGCTTCCCAAAGACACTGAGAATTGAGAGTGGCCGCATCCAGGAGTGGGTCTTATTAAGCAGCCTTCTTTCTGATTTTCTCCATGATGTGTCCAGTATAAGTCCCTTCACGTAATAGGATCTCCAGGAAAATTGGTCCTTTGCTACATCCTCCCCCTGCCCCCAATAAAAGGGTATCTGTCTTCCCCAGCTCACAGAATACCGTACACTGTCAATAAGAAATGTCTACTAGGAATGTGTATTTTTTTAGCCAATTCTTCCCTTCCCTGGGCAGAGAAGCCAGAAATAGTCAAGGCTCTTTTTTCTACATCTACAAAACACAAACTCCACCAGAGAAAAGAAGAGAATAATTAAGTCATTACTAGGCCTTTGCTTTTCAACACACAGGTAACTAAGGGCAAAAATGTCAAGGCTTTTAAAGTGAAGTTTTCCAATTCTTTTTGGCCTGCTAATCTTTGGCTTTCCTGGAAAATGATTATGAACATGCATACAAAGTTGTTTTTCCTTAAAATAGTAAACTTTCCTATTTGAGATAGAAAGCGAGAATTGAACCAATACCAAAGCTCTTTGCTTAATGTTAAGTTTTATTTGGAATAGTGTTTTTATCTATGTGGGTAAATGGTATAATATTTCTGCCAGAGAATGAAGCTATGGGCAGGGCTTTACACATCCTGGGATGTGAAAGACAGCTTTGAAAAGTTTTCCATCACATAGAATGTGTTAGCCTATCTTCTCAAGATAGTGAGGAAGTTGACATATTTCAAAAGATAGGCACAAGCAATGATGTAAACTATTTTTAAAACAGTTCAATTTACATTCATGTCCAAACTATGGAAGACTATTGCAAAGTTGAATAAGGGCACCAATAAATCCACCAAGCCCCCAGCCTTCGAAACACACACACGTATTTTACTATAAACCTTCAATAAAGTAAAATATTTGTAATTTTTAGACAGTTGAATTAATCACTAACAGGATGACATAGTTACATTTTTTAAAGTTTTTATGAAATGAAAGCCTTATGTTTTTGCTGATGAAATCAGTTGAAAATTCTAAAATCCATTTCCAAGAATTAGCCTTTATTCTGAATATTCTCATTATTCTCACAACAAATAATCTGAACCTATATTCTGAGCCTAAAAGTTGTATTTGATTGTTAATACTGCTTCCTACCTGTGCAGAAATAGCTTTTCCCTTCACACTACTAAAGTATGATTGCTAACAGTAATTTTATTATATTATTCAATTAGTTCTTCAAGGTTTTCTTTTCTCTCCAATTCTACTACAGTTGATGAGAGAACGATTATATTTTCTCCTTTTATAAAATCCTTCACAGTGCCATTAGCAACACTGTTCAGATGAGATAATTAAGAAAAAAAGCCAATTGAATGATTGAGTGAATGAATGATTGAAAATCTTTCCGAAGTTATAATAATAATTGTGATTATTGGGGTCAAAGCAAAACCATTTTAGTCTAAAAGATTGTACACTATACCAACTTTTACCCAATTTGGAATGAAAAATTACATTTCCAAACCATGTAGAAATTCTGAACTCTTTGAAATATTTTCTTTTGTGGGAAAGAACCAGAAATTCTTTGTCATATGTACCCATTTATCTTATTTTAGTTACCCAACCAAAAGATAAAATAATATTCTCAAAGAGATAATTGACTGGAGGAGTTTAAAGTGTTTATAAATATTAGAGATCCAATCAGTAAGTAACTGAGTTAATTGTCACGGACTGGACTGCATTGCACTGAATCAGCAGGATTCAAGTGAGGACTACTTGACTCTGGATTCGGATCTTCCTAGCACTTTAAAAACATCAGGCTTAAAATAAAATGGATCTGAGTCTTTAAGGCGATCTGCCTGTTTATACTGGCATTCTGCACTATACCATATTCTTACTTGTCAAACCGTTTCCCTGGATTGAATATAAGCACAACATCTGATGAGAGTCCATGTATGTCTCCCGTTTCCATTACGTAAGTATGTACCTTCTAGATGACTTCCTCACCACTTGAAAGTTACACCATTCTCAATATTTTTTAAAATTAAAATTAAAAGCTGCTAACACAAAACTATTTCTGTAAATGTCACCAAATGGAATTTCTTTTAAAGATCAACAGCATCATCATACAACATGCCTAAAAATGGAATGGTATTATTCGTGCGTCACTTACAGCCTTTCACATATTAAGTCCACGGCCAACTAACAAAACAGAGGACTCCAGGAGCTTTTTAAAAAAATCTTTTGACCAAAGTGAGCTATGAATTTGGCATAAAATATCTCCTTTATGCTTGTAGGTTCAAATTAATATGCAATGTCCCCAAATTTGCATAATAAGAATTCAAGAGGAAGCCAAAGGATCTATCTTCACAGTGACAAAACAAGCCGTTAATATGGAGGAAAAAAAATCTTCAACCAACTCAACTGATGGCGACTGCATTGAGAAAAGTGGCTGATTAAATATTTCCCTTTCCAACTGCATGTTGTGCGTTCTTATGGCAAATCACAGAGGCTAAATATTGTTCTCCATTTGCTATTCTCATTGTGCACCCAGGTGGCAGTGAGATGCCAACAGTTACACACTGTAGCTAAGGGCCAAGGTTTATGCCTGAAATTAGTGTCAAAATGAAATCACCATAGAAAGTTAGGGTTAAAGGGGAGCCCAGCTCATCCTCTGCATTTTACCGACATCAACACAGCATGTGATAAGCATTTGGAGCACAGTTCATTTCTGGAACTCTCACGGGCTGTTCAGCTACTACTACTACAAGACAGACTGTGGAAATATCTCTTGTTTCTTAAAAGCAGGACAGCTCAAAGCCTCAGGGCCAAAGCTTTATGCTCACTTATCTCCACTAGCAGGTAGGAATTCCCAAAGAATGGGGCTGCTTCAGCAGGGTCCTCCCATATAAGTTAGAGGGTACACACAACCTGTTACAGTCACTGGTTTAAGAAGCAACTTTTCTAGCTTGCTTCACCCAGGAAAATTAACACACGCTACACATATATTATGCAAAAGTAATACCTCCTTGAAGGAAGCCCTATCTATATTTATATCTATCTACATTAATCTGACTCTTACAGCCAGTAAAACAGCCTTACAGCAGAGGTCAGATGTAGTACTTGATTTTTTTAAATATCCACCTGGATTTTCCTATGAAGTAAAATTTCTATCTTAATAACTTGGTTTGCGTGTTCATAAAAATGCAGACACGTATCTCTCTTAAGATTTCGAGGCTACACCTTTGCATATAATCAAGCAAAAATATAAATAAAATTAACCACAAGTACTGTTTATTGATAGAGGAGATTTGCACTAGGAGTTTGAATGTTGAATTCGGCTTTTATTGAAAATAAAAACCCAACATGAGGTATTAGCTAATAAAACTTTATGATGGTTAAGGAAATGGCTCTTTTTTGGGGAGTGGTGGGTGGTCAGCAACTTTTATGATACTGAAATATATCCCAGGAAACAGAAAAATAATCACTTAGAGTGTAAAACAACAAAATCAACTTAGAGTTAACAGCATTGTAGGCCTGAATTGTGATGGAAAACACACAAACACAACACAATTGCACTTTCCCTTAGAAACTCCAGAAAGTCCATTCTATATCAAATGTATTAATATAGATAAAAGTGACAATCTATTCCAGGAAGAATCAAAAATGTATTGCATATATTAATATATTCCTTAATGATATCTCTAACCCTAATATAAATATTTAAAGATCTTTAAAGGCCTTAGGTTATGATTTTAGGAGTATTATTTTCTCCTTCCCTGCAAGCTTTCCTCCATTGTCATTCTCTTCCTCCTCCCTCCCCTCCTCTCCTTTTTCCTGGCCTAAAACATGTATGAACTGCATACCCTATGCCAGGCACCGTGCTAGGCAGTGGAGGCTCTTACTTCCTAGTCTTCGGGTCCTATCTTTTTAATATTCTTCTCTTATTTCACTGCTGGGACCCTGAACTCTTAGCCAGTATGTCAGTTGGGCACACCTACAAACACAGACACGGTAAAAAATGTGGAGCATTATCTCGCTCAAATCATCTTAGTTGTTGCAACTGTCAGGTGTTAAATAATCAATGCAGATAAAAGAACTTGGGGATTTAATTTCTAAAACAGGCTTCCTGGGAGCCAACGGCTTTGACCCAGACATTGAAGGTTTGAGGGCTTTGAGAAGGCAGTGGCAAAATTATTTCAGGTGCAGGAATGAACAGAGAAAATGCAAGACAAATTTTGTGGGGGCAATGAGCAAATCAGCCTTACAGTGTAGACCATCCCTATTTAGAAATAGACAATGATACAGTTGGAAAGAAGGACTGAAGCCAAATGGTATGAGATCTAAAAAGGTTTGACATTTTAAAATTGTATCCTATTGGCTCTGGGGAATTCCTGAATGCAGAAGAAAATAACATAATAAAAGCCTCAAGGTAGTTGTGAGGTACCTGTATTCTAAGGACGTTGACTTGGGCAATAAAGTACAGGGCTTTAAAGCCTGTTCTATCCACTGCTTTATTCTGAACATCTTGAACAAGCCTAGGACATTACAGAGGCTCAATAATATGTGTTGAATAACAAGAAAAATTAATGGCACCTGAAGGACCTAGATTTTAAGTCATCTCAGCTGCTCGTTAGCTCTGTGACCCTGAAGAAGTTAACTTCTCGAAACCTCAGTTTCCTCATCTACAAACAAACGTAATGATGATACCATTCTCATAAAGTGACTGAGAAAATTAAATTAGAAAATGAAGGTAAAGGTCTTAGCACACTGTCTGGCATATAGAAAGTAAATGTTAGCCATTCATAATTAGAATTAGAAATCCCTTAAAATAATACAGGAAGCATTGGAAGGAAGCATAAAAACAGTAAAACCAATTTAGTGTCTGCTGCAGAGTGGGCCTGAATAATAAGGAAAATGGGATAAATTTAGACTTTCTAAATACATATCAATAAGATAACTTCTTGAAGCACATTCTGACTGTTTTACCAATATCTTCTTCTAAATTGTATATACTGTATACATTTATATATATTGTATACAATTATATATATAGTAAATGTGTATATATATACACACATACACACACACACACACACACACACACACACACACACACACTGGTTTCTCTTCAGATTGTATAAATCTTTCCCCTTTTACTAAATTGGTATATATGCCTAGAATATATATATCTTAAGCCATTTAAAGAGTAGAAAAGAGAAATATATGCTCCAAAATAATTTGGATTGCGATGTGTGATTCATGATGATGTATAAATCACTAGTAAGATTCCCATAATCTACAAAATCAGGAAAATATATTAAATACTGAACTAATGGTGACAAATCAAGAGCCACAAGAATAGTGTCTGGCACACGGTAGGCACTGAACCAACATTTGATGCATGAGTGAATGAATAAATGAATGCTTTCTAAATCCATATGGGAGGAGATTTTTAAAATAATTCATTTGACTTCCATGTTTCCAATTTCTAGCAAATTGAATTCTTCTTTAAATATTTTCTGGAAATTCTGCATGTTTTAGGATCTCTACGGTAAACTATATTAAAACACTTGAGATCGTGATAATTAACTACAAACCATATGTTCCTGACCACTGTGTGTTACCTTGTATCTCTCTAAGGAAACTACTAACCTACTAGTATACTTCAGTAACTGCATTTGAACTATGAACTCAATTGTCAGAAAAACACAGGAAATTCACAGACTTATAAATCACAAGAACACTGTGCTTAAATAATGTCAACTAACATAAAGGGCATGAATGAACAGCTTAGAGATATTAGTAAGGATGCAAAAAGGTTTTGTACAATATACAGTGTAGTATTATAGGATCATAAAGTCTAGCAACTTTAGAAGGATTCAGGGACGTAACGAGTCTATATAGCCCTTCTCTTGAAAAAGAGATTATAAACACCATTAAGCAAATACAATGTTCATATTTTAAAATCTGAATAAATTATTAGTGAGTCCTAGATTGTGTAATTAAGCTTTTTAGGATAACTTTTTTCTTAAATCATTCTGGTAGCATTTAAACAACAGCTATCCAACTGATAGTGAAACAAATGAAAATTTGCTGTTGGATCACAAAGATGATTAAATACAAAACCTGTAGATAAAGCTTTACCATGAATCCTTGCCAACAAGGTAGAACAGTAACTCAGAGTGATATTTTTACTAGCTATCTAAGAGGGCCCCTCCCTGGCAGTGCATTCTTTATAATAAATTTCCTAGATGATGCTCTGTTTTGTGGAAAATAAACCAAGATAGCTGAAAAAAAGATTTTATTGAATTACACAAATAACTGGCTACTACTAAGAAAATCCATATCCTAATATCAATCCCATGAACATACCAAAGCCAATTCAAATCTTTTAGCACTTCATACACAATTTCTAATGAACCAGGTTTTAGCCTTTCCCCCGCCTCTCCCAAATTCAGGCAAATGGGTCAGATAAATAGCATCAAATTCAATACAACTTTCTAGGTGACAGATAAGAATAATGGCACAGCACAAAGACAAAGGCAGAATTATAGTAGGCAGAAAGAAACTATAAGTAAGTATTATAATAGCTGGTCTGTAATAGTGGTATTTGAAAAGGAACATAATGACAAGAAGAAAGCAAACTTGGAGAAATGTAGTAAACATATCAGGAGAGGATAATGTAATCAGATGCCAGAGCTTAATTTTACTTCTCTAAAAAATTACACTAATGGTGTGTTAATTCAGCAATATTATATTCTGACTAATTATTTACTATAATCAAGTTAAATTGTATAAAAATTTGTCTAATTAGCATTTATAACAATGCAGTCTGGAAGCTATTGGCTTTGTGTAACTTGTACAGAAAAATTGATGTCAGGATTTCATTTTGACTTACATGAAAATTGATCTAATATGTCATAACTTTAGCTCCCAAAAGATATGATTCTTTAAAAGCTATGTGATTAACGTTACTTGTGTGTACATCTCCTGAAAGAATTGAGGTGCAAAGATGTTCCTGGTAACATTAGCGGTAATCTTATCACGTTTATATCTCTGCACTTACCTATTTAATAAAGAAGATAGCTATAACAACAGCATATTTACATGCACTTTTTATTTCTTAGTCCAATTTTAAATTTTAAAATATATATGACATCTGGCAAACAAAGTAAAACCAAGCAAAGTAAAATCACTCATAGTATTTACTCCTTGTTTCCTTCTTTTCTCAGCTTTCTCTGACTTGCATGCCTCTTTGGTTTTTCTCCTTAAACTACAAACTATCATATCAAATATTCTTCCCTTTAAGACACTCCTAATTCTCCTAAGGAAGTGTCAAATTAAAGTAGGCGCAATCTGGAAATACTCACTGTTTTATCTCAAGAGTTCAATGCAATTGCTTGAGCTGAGATAAATGCATGAAGACTTTTCTGAAATAACTTTTACATAAGGATAAAATGATTTCTATACAAGAAACAATTACCAGCCAACATTATTATCACCAGAAAATTGTAAGCTAGAATGAGCAATAAAAACATTGTATTTGGAACGAGATATTAGAGAACAGCTATTAAAACATTTTACTCAATTTCTATTACACCTTAAAATGAAAGTCATCAAAATGTCATTACAGGCCTTTTCCCCAGATTCTTCAGAGAGTGAATTTAATCATTTCAGGAAATTGAGCACTATCCACCATTCACTTAGATCCTTTGAAATAACAGCAAAGCAAAACACAATGTGAAATTTATAAGACACTTTATATTAAAATGTGTTCATATACATAATAGATACATACCGAGGAGTACTTGTCTCCAAATACCTAAAATTAAATCTTGGGAAATTAACCACTTATATAAAATATTACCTTCAAGAGGACTTGAAGTAAGAAACCCAAGTAAAGGAGCCACAAGTTGAGCTCTGTAAAACCCCAGAGTTAATAAAGCACTAACATATCAGGGCTTTTTTAATACCTTCAAAAATCAATTATTTGGAAATTACTTCAAGCCACAATGATTACTTGTACGCCGAAGCATGGAACTTTTGCTGCTGCTCTACTAAAGAAAGCTAAACATTGGTTGAATAAGTGCGATTACAATAATATAGGCATGCTTATTGGCTCCTTTAGAAAATTGGTACTTCGTAAAGAATTTTCAAGCCAGAAGAGACCTTTTGACATCACCTAACCCTGGTTCTTAATTTACTAGTTCTAGAAATAAAATCCACATAAAATAAATATTACTTTTATTGATCTCCAAAATGATCATTGTCTCTAAAGAAATAAAAAGCTGCTTATTTTCAAGGCTGAAGGGAAACAGAGGGAGCACCTGCTTGCATTTTATCACCAAAGCTAGCCAATCTTCAGAAAATGACTAACAATCAAATTCTCTAAGCTCTTCTCTTTAAACCTTTAATATTTTTAAAAAATCAAATTTTAAATAATTATAATTAGAGAGCAGTTTTCCAATGCTACTGGCAAGAAGTAGAGGAAACGGTTTGAAAATTGCACTTTTAAAAATGTTGAATTTTTACCTTTTGATTCGAGGAGGATGTCACTTCTCATGGAACCCATTTTCCTGAAGATATTCAGCGCTGGCCGATTTAGAATAAAACTATTAGCATATTACTTAAAAAAAAACTTTACTACAAAGCCACAATCTCACTCGAAAGAAAGCTGATGGTGCTCATAAGCAGTAAATGCCTTTCCTGATACCTATTTTGTCATCAGCATCTTATTAGCAGAGTGCATGTTTTCTGCAGCATCCATCAATTAGCCGTTTTTAAGGAAACGGGAAATGGATAAGGGCTCATCTGCTAAGCAAGGCTGTGTACTCCATAGCCTCTTAATCACCAAGGCTCCTTTCTAACAAGGTTCTACAAGACAAGGAAGCCTAGAGACCATTAAGTAGCACACAAACAGACTATTCCCGGGAGTCACCAATATTGGATACAACTTTCCCCCAAAGAACCAGCCTGCGACTGAAGGCGACAGAGCCGCCCGTAGCAGAGCCGCAGCACATCTGCCAGCTTGTGCCTTAGCGCTTGGCAATTGCAAAGCAGATCCCAATACCATCAGACAAACTACTCCTGACTTCTTACTCCCCCAGCAGAATCCAGGCATTTGGAGAGAGCCTGCCGGTTTCACAGGCACCCCAACTAGAGAGAAGGTAAGGAGATGGAAGGCTCACCCTTTCATAGTCAATCCACCTAGAGCTGCATCATCCGAATCACAAATGAAATGCTAATGTACAAGAAAATGAATGCCAATCTCCTCCACTTTGCTCCAAGTTTCAGTGGCCCCTCCACAATAAAAGATAGCTGTTTGTGGAGGCTGCCTTGTTCCATACCATTAACTCAGAACAAAACATATTTTTAGTGGGACAGCAGTGTTTACTTGTAAGAACTGATGAATTGCTCGGCACCATTTATCACTTGCAGACAAAGACGTTCAGCCACGATTTTGGACATAAATCAAGGTACATGCTCCTCAATAAGAAAAAAAGACTGCTAAGTCCCCAAAACCACGGAGATTGAGGTCAGACTGGCCATAGCAACCACCAACAGGACTTGGGCCTCCAGAAGGACCTAGCAACCGATAAATGAGTTCAGATCTCTTTTCATCTCCACTGGTGTGAAAGCCAAAATTAAAAAGATTAGATCACCCTGCACCCATTACAAAAGGTGCCACAATGAAAAAGTCATTTCCAGCCTTTGAATCACATCAAATAAATAACATTCATCCCTGCTATAATGAACAACTTTCAAAGTAAATTGAATCTCCATAGTACTGCTTTCCCTGGCTGAACAGTATTTACATAACAATATATCACAGGAAGCTCCGAATGGATCTTGTAAATGGGGACCTGGGGATAAAAACCATCTTTAGCCCCGATTACTGCATATTCAGACTGCTTTTCGGTCCCCCTCATTTAAACAATGTGTTGTATCAGGAACATAAACAATGCTTTTAAATTGTGGGAAATGAAAGTTTTTGGTACATTTTTAAATGTCTGGACTCATCCCAATAGACTCCCTTTTGTGGGGCACTAAGAACATAAAAATCACTTAACCTCCTAAATCGATGTCCTGGACTCATTTTTGTGACAAAGAATTCTCATCTATGTGTACACTTGCTTCTTTGTTCATGCCAGCAATGTTTCACTATAAATATCTGCTGAGTTTTTTTGTATTACTTGAAATGAAAACACATTTGCAGATTTCTTTTTAGCGTGCGACTCATTCATTATTTCTTATTTCCTCGAAAGTATAAGATATTCTCTATTGCCATAACAATGTCTATTAAGTTTTAGTAATATCTCTACACAAAGTGTTCATCCTCTACAGTCTAATTTTGAGTCAATTTCTCCTCATCATTAAAAAAAACCAACTAATTTCCAAAAACATATAGGCTTCCATAAACTATTGTACATTTCATATATATTTCAAATGGAGTATGTTCCAAATAAGACAGTTAAATCTATGTTGAAAACATACCATCATAATCTTATCTTTTTGTGACAGCTCACGTAGATATTACTATTTGAACTCCACAGGGAATCTCATTAATTTTTGAAACTCTCTGACCTCAGTACAGTTGAGTGTAAAAATAATTACAAATTAAGAATGAAAGAGCATCCCTTGAATTCTGCATGGCCATATGCTCTTCTACGTTGCACAAAACATTGCTAACTATCATCAAACAGAATTTTTTTCCAGATATAAATTTAAACAGCGTGCTGAATATCACCAGACAGACACAAAAAGCAGCTCACCCTTCCACTCAGCTCCGCTCACACTTCACCTCCGACGATTCCAGTAACACAAAGCCCGGAGAACACAGGTTTGCAGGCAAGTGACAGCACAGATGATACCCTCACAAAGATATTTCCCTATCCAGAGTTGCTTTCTATCCCAATGTTGCAGACACAAAGTGCAGAAATACAAGAATCAGGGCATAAATATTTTCTTACCTAAAACTTGTCCGAAGGACAGTCTTGTTATTGTTGTCACCTCCGGTGCCCCCTCTCGCCATCGCGGAAATCGGCTCCACTGTGTGTACTGCTCTGTGCCTCAGTTACAGCTGTGACACTCATCTGCCTGCATAGAACCTATGACGGGAAATGAGAGAAAGAGAAAGAGAGGATTTGCGCTTGTGTATGTGTGTGCTTGTGTGTGTGTGCGTCTCTGTGTGTGTGTGTTTCAGAGAGAGAGAGAGAGAGAGAGAGAGAGAGAGAGAGAGAGACTGCTGACTTGAGACTAAGAACCTAAAACCTCCGGCCAAGTCAAGCCTGAACAAATATGATCAAAGCCGTGTCCTTCTTCAAGAGAGTAGACAGATATTTTGTTCTCCTCCACTGAAAAGTGGGACTGTCATTGGGGATTCTCACCAGGAAAGTGCAGACAGCGGCAGACCTTCTCCAGAGTGCTAGTGCTGCCCAGCAGTCCGTGCAGAATACAGGTACCTATTGTTCCAGAGACAGATATGTAGCCAGCCAGTCAGACTCTGACAGATCTCAGCAAACCAGCGAGCCTGCCTTCATTTTAACTCCTTATTTACTAGTGCTTTTTGGTCAAATGCAAAGTCTTCTCATCACCCCTGAGAAATAAATGGAGATGATACAGATAAACTCACAGCAGAAACTAATCCTGTGTCTTTTACAAAGAGGGATTCTTGCTATTGAAATGCTGAATTTGATGCAAATGTCTTATTTTTTGGGGAAGAAATGAAGCATTAGATTACATGAGCAAGACTTAGCAAGTATAGGAAAACCTTGATATTCAAGATGAACAGTGCAGCCGATTTAAAAAGAGAGGAATAAGGGTTGCTCAAAACATCCCGAGTGTAAATATATATACTCCAACACAAACCGGGTGAATAAAGCCAAGGGGTCCCAACCTTTTGCAAAGGGGTGTGGCACATTGAAAACCTGCACAAAAAGCCACCCCAACAGACCTATTTCCCTAGAGGCTAGAGTCTTTGGTGTCTCTTTTTTAGATCCCACTGCTTTCTCAAGCACCCCAAAACACCTCCCACCCCCAGTACTGCACCAGTGTCTGAAATATATCTAAGGCAGTGAGACAAAATTAGGGAAGGTCAGAGAAAAATAACTTACTCTACATTCTCCCCGATGGATTCCGAAACCCAGAAGGTACATTTGATTCTTTAAATTCCTGGACCTTAGTAGATTACAGTAGGTTTCTCACTTTTATCTTTGTGTATTAATTGATTGATTTTCTTTTAAGGAGTGAAAGAAGACAAAATACCTTGCATTTGATTGTTTAGCAATACTAGAAGACAAGGAATAGAAAAACAAAAAGTAGCTTGTCATTTAGTTAAAATAAGAGATGGAACTCTCCTTCCCCAGAAGACTTAATATACAAGCTCTTTGAATTTTTTTTGAATACACATCGATTCTCATTAATCGCTACCATTCACCCAAGAAGCATATTCTGATATAGTAGGTGTGCTGCATAGTGTAGAAAATGGTTATGAAACTCCTTTGTAAAATCCACACTCAGGCATCACTTAACAAAGCCAGAGGGTAAATCCTCAGTGCAATAGGGGGAGGTTTAGCCATGCATGCCTGTTAATGGTAATGAGATGTGTAGAACATATCTGCGCACTGCCAAACAGCTTCTTCTAAATATCTAGCATTTGTATTCTTTATTTTTTAGAAAGAAACTAATAAGAGATTGCGTGACGTTTCAAAACTCCGCACACAAACAAAAAACAACCTAGAAAATACAGTTACCTCCTTTCATACTGTTTCTTGTCCTAATCCCAGCACTTTAAAAATATTTCAGGTCATGCTAATTTAGCTAGGACTGAGCAATTAATATAGGCTTTAGAAACTCTTTCCGAAGTCAAAATTGCTTAACTTGGTGACTTCTGAAAAAGCTGCCTTGTGGTTTCTACTCAGGGAGAGCTTCTATTATGTTCAGAAGGGAAAGGACGTCAAAAGACTGCCTGAATGACGAGAAAAGTATATGGGGTTTCTGACTATACTCATCATAACCTATAAGCCAAGAACAAAACAAGAGAATCTCGTAGCCTGCTTCTTCTAAGTGGCATGAACTGATTATTTTCAAGCCCATTTTAAAGAACATGTGTCTCTTTGTAAGGTCAAAGGACAACCTTATTTCACATTACTATCTTAACAGCAAAATAGCAGAAGCCCATTCAGTGAAAGAAAGTAGGATAGATTATAGGTAGGTACACATATAGAACAGAGCTGAATCACAGTGGAGGTGACAGCTTCCACGCAAGGCCCCGGTGACTGACTAATGTTGCAGTTTGAAAGAGGCATCTAAGCGCTCACTCCTAAGCATGTGATAAGACTTAGATGTAAGTACATTCAATTAGAGCATTACCCAGGACCCATCTAGATGTTATTACCTTTTATGATTTTTTTTTTCTTTTTGATCTCTCTATCCCACTTCTGTTGTCTTCAGAAAGCCAAGCTTGGTGAGCCAAACAAATTTTAAATATTCAGCTCTTAACATGTTTGAATACAGACAGTTCTCACAGTCAGGCTCCATTATTTTCTAGAGGTATATACAGAGGGTTATCACCATTAATGAGAGTCGTGGGCACATGAAAATAAAACACAGAGACACCATAAAGAGTGTGGATATGTGTGTGTGTGTGTGTGTGTATAAAGAAGTATCATACTTGTGCAAAATACATGTTTTATATGCTTCATGAGTATGCAAAAGCATCATTTCTTTCTCAATAAAATTTTTTGTGAAGTCCCTACTAAAATATCTGTCCCTAGAATACCCCTGAGGTCCATTATATAGCTCTGAGTTTATAATTCACACTTCAGTCCCTAATTTGCCAAATAATTCATGTCAAGCAAGAGTCCAACATGAAATGCCAACTGTTTCTTGAAAGAAAACAAACCATAACTGTTTCATGTGCTAGGATTTTAAGAAATAAACATTTGAGGATTAGAGGCACCACTCACTAATAGTAGTAAGGGGCAGGCTAATGCTTCTGAGAATCTATTGGGTATCTATCCCTTTTCATCCACATCACTTGATGTGAGCAACTTAAAATTAGGTTTCCCAGAAAAAAAAAATTGTGAAAGGAAAACAGAATCTCTTCTTTATATTACAGACTGTTCTGATT